>NC_000012.12:128603877-128905501 GCF_000001405.40 Homo sapiens | reverse complement strand
TCCACAAGAGCAGCCCTGGGGGCTGAAGTTCACTCACCGGTTACAAACTAACCCTCACTGGGCACATGTCCGTTCATGTGTCCTCCAGGATCAGATATCGTGTGAGTAAGTTTCAGAAATCCTGAAACAGAGCTGCCCTGAGCACACAACAGCCCTCGCCACACGTGGCCACGTGGCTGATCCAGGGCACGTCTAAGGCCCTGTTTGAATTAAGATGTGCTGTGAGTGTAAAATACACACAGGATTTCAAAGACTTCACACACAAAAAGGTAAAATATGATGTCACTAGTAACTTTCATATTGATGACATATAGTGGGTGTGTACTAGGAAATTCGGCCTTGACCAAACAGAGGCATGACCTGCACCCTTAGCTTCTGGGAAACGGCGTAAGTGGTGTAATACCTGACAGCTGAGTGTTTAGGGTGGGAAATGGGCCAGGCGCGGTGGCTCATGCCTGTAATCCCAGCCTTTTGGGAGGATGAGGTGGGCAGATCACTTGAGGTCAGGAGTTCGAGACCAGCCTGGCCAACATGGTGAAACCCAGTCTCTATTAAAAATACAAAAATTAGCCAGGCATAGTGGCAGTCACCTGTAATCCCAGCACTTTGGGAGGCCGAGGCAGGTGGATCGCCTGAGGTTGGGAGTTCAAGACCAGCCTGGCCAACATGGTGAAACCCCATCTCTATTCAAAATACAGAAATTAGTTGGGTGTGGTGGTGGGCATCTGTAATCCCAGCTACTTGGGAAGCTGAGGCAGGAGAATCGCTTGAATCCGGGAGCCGCAGGTTGCGGTGAGCCGAGATCGCACTACTGCACTCCAGCATGGGCAACAGAGAAAGACTCTGTCTCAAAAAAAAAAAAAAAAAAAAAAAAAAAAGACTGTTTTCATGCTTTAACCATCACCTGGACACCAGTGACTCACATGGCTGTGTCCCCAACTGTGCCCTCCTCTGAGGACAGTCCTACATTCTCAGCTCTATTCTGGATATTTACCCGAGTCCAATATTTGTCACTAAGTCAATACATCCAGAACCAAATGATTCAGTTCCTCTCTTTTTCCCCCTCCAAATTCTATTCCTTGATTTCTTCCAAACTGTATTGATAAAAATGTTAGGTTGTATGAACGCTCTTAAACCCCTCTTTATTTCTTCCTTACTGACTGTGGTCTGCCAATACAAAAGTTACCTGTACCACTGTGTTTATGTTTTTTAAAAAAAGTCTTTATCAAAGTACATTTGCAGGTAAAATGGCACATAATTATAGGTGAAATGGCATGATATTGGTAATTTTTGAAATTATTCTCGAAAACATTGTATGTGTGTGTGTGAGTGTAGGTGTGTGTGTGTATTCAGGAGGAAGTAGAGTAAATAAGAATTGAGGAACAATAAACTGGGTCATGGGCACATAAAGGGCTCACTCTACTATTCTTGCTACTTCTACACATGCCTGAAAATTTCTTTAATTAAAAGTTCTGGCCGGGCACAGTGGCTCATGCCTGTATCCCAGCACTTTGGGAGGCCAAGGCGGGCGGATCACATGGTCAGGAGTTCGAGACCAGCCTGGCCAACATGGTGAAACCCCGTCTCTACCAAAAATACAAAAATTAGCTGGGCATGATGGCGGGAGCCTGTAATCCCAGCTACTCAGGAGGCTGAGGCAGGAGAATAGCTTGAACTTGGGAGGCAGAGGTTGCAGTGAGCTGAGATTGCGCCACTGTACTTCACCTTGGGTGACAGAGCAAGATTCCATCTCAAAAAATAAAAATAAAAATATTTAAAAAAACCAAAAGGTTCTAAAGGAGGAGTCGTTCCTAATCAATCAATTTAAAGGATATTCACCGGGCCTGAGACAGTATATACTATTCTCCAGGGATGCACGAGTGACTACCTCATGTCCCTTTCTCAAGAAGCTCACCACTTGAGAAGCACGGGGAAGAAAGTAAAACATGTTATACTCATTAGAGACAAGCATGAAGTGTGGCAGATGGTTACAGAGGCCATCAATTCTCCCCCTCCCTGCATCCGTGCCCTTGTAAGGCAGCATTAAAGATCCTCTCATTATGAGGTGGGGACCGTATCTCCACCCGCTGAGTTGCTTTGGTCAATGGGAAGGAGGCAAGCTTATCACAGGCAGAGGCCTGGAATGTGCTTGTGAGTTGAGGCCCGTTCTCTCTTCCTGCCGAGCCTAAAACAGGATGACAGACCCCATGGAGACAGGCCTCAGGGGTCCCCACCATCCCAGCTAAGGTCCAGGCATGGAAGTGAGGCCACCCTGCGTGTTTAAGGCAACTGGTTTGTTAAGCAGCAAAAGGTAACTGACAGAGGAAGGGAACTCATCTATGCCAATTCTGGAGGGTCAAGGAAGGATTTATGGTGGAGGATGATATTGAAGGCTGACAAGTTAGAGAAAAGGGCAATGAATTCATGGAAAAGGAGCATGCTTCCACAGGTAAAATATTTCTTTCTTTTTTTTTTTTTTTGAGACGGAGTCTTGCAGTGGCACCATCTCTGTTCACTTCAACCTCGGCCTCCTGGGTTCAAGCAATTCTCTTGCCTCAGCCTCCTGAGTAGCTGGGACTACAGGTGCACACCACCATGCCCGGCTAATTTTTTGCATTTTCAGTAGAGACAGGGTTTCGTCATGTTGGCCAGGCTGGTCTTGAACTCTTGACCTCAGGTGATCTGCCCGCCTCAGCCTCCCAAAGTGCTGGGATTACAGGTTGAGCCACTGCGCCTGGCAATTATTTCTTTAATGTCTGTCTTAACCAACACAGTTGGGTTCCCACGTTTGCTGTTTCATTTAATTTGTTGCAATATGTTGTTTTGGTTGAGGTCTATAAAGAAAATCCTGCCTCTTGCAGACAGGTAGTAGGAAAAGAAAGAGTATTTTAATGGCCTTTCCGATCACTGTAGGCATTGTTCTTGGACACTGCACCCAAACTCAGCAAGTGGCAATTTCTTAAAGTTTAGCTGCATCAGGGAACTTTTCTTTTTTTCTTTCTTTTTTTTTTTTTTGAGACAGAATTTTTGCTCTTCTTGCCCTGGCTGGAGTGCAATGGTACAATCTCGGCTCACTGCAACCTCCACCTTCTGGGTTCAAGCGATTCTCCTGCCTCAGCCTCCCGAAAGTAGCTGGGATTACAGGCACGCACCACCATGCCTGGCTAATTTTGTATTTTTAGTAGAGTCGGGGTTTCTCCATGTTGGTCAGGCTGGTCTCGAACTCCTGACCTCAGGTGATCCGCCCACCTCGGCCTCCCAAAGTGCTGGGATTACAGGCATGAGCCACTGCACCTGGCCGAACTTTTCATACTCAGTTATATTAAAGTCCATTGGTCTACCTGGTACTATGAACTGATCTTTCATCTGTACTTGATTCTATAGGTCACATATTGATCATTGAAAACCTACTGGTTCACTGAGTCATGAAGATCTTTCAAATGTTTAAACGTTTCATTATACAACATCCAAAAAACTCAGATTTGTTAGTAGAGCCACCAATTTCATCAGGAAAGCCTTCAGATATTGGGAAACTGACAACCTCATGCTGGCTTTCCAAAATTCTAATTTTACTTGAAAATTCAAATTTGGCCACACATAGTGGCTCATGCCTGTCATCCCAGCACTTTGGGAGGCCGAGGTGGGAGGATGGCTTGAGCCTAGGTGTTCGAGGCTCCAGTGAGCCATGATTGCACCACTGCAATCTAGCCTGGGTAACAGAATGAGAGCCCGTCTCAAAAAAAATAATAATAATAAAAAAAAAGAGGGACCAGGCATGGTGGCTCACGCCTGTAATCCCATCACTTTGGGAGGCCAAGGTGGGTGGATCACAAGGTCGGGAGTTCGAGACCAGCCTGGCCAACATGGTGAAACCCCGTTTCTACTAAAAATGCAAAAATTAGCAGGGCGTTGTGGTGGGCGCCTGTAGTCCCAGCTACTTGGGAGGCTGAGGTAGGAGAATAGCTTGAAACCGGGAGGCAGAGGTTGCAGTGAGCCGAGATCGCGCCACTGCACTCCAGCCTGGGCGACAGAGCGAGACTCCATCTCAGAAAAAAAAAAAAATGAGAGAGAGAGAGAGAAAAGGTCAGGCGCGGTGGCTCACGCCTGTAATCCTAGCACTTTGGGAGGCTGAGGAGGGCAGATCACTTGAGGTCAGGAGTTCAAGACTGGCCTGGCCAACAAGGCAAAACCCCATCTCTACTAAAAAAAAAATAACAACATGTATTCAAAAGTTAATATTTGAAAAGCTAGTAATTTGTATTTCTTCATCAGGGACATTTTTAAGTGAAACTGGCTTAAGTGGGTGGTGGTGACTAATCAGCGAATATTAGCACAGATGGGGCCACTGCCTTCGTTAGTATTAAGGCAGCTGCATTTTACTCATCACTGCATTTTAAACCATGAGAAAAGCCAAAAGAAAAGGCTTTGCATTATTATTTAGAAAAAGCTTGACTTGGCGGAGGCCCTGAAAGAGTCCCAGGGAATCTCAGAGGTCCAGGGACCCCATTTTGGTAACCACTGGTTTGAAAACTACCTTAAGAAGGCAGATAGATAGTCCAACAGGTAGGCCAGGTGCAGTGGCTCACACCTGTAGCCCCAACACTTTGGGAGGCTGAGGTGGGTGGATCACTTGAGGTCAGGCATTTGAGACCAGCCTGGCCAACATGGTGAAACCACGTCCCTACTAAAAATACAAAAATTAGCCGGGTGTGGTGGCACATGCCTGTCGTCCCAGCTACTCAGGAGGCTGAGGCAACAGAATCGCTTGAACCTGGGGGGCAGAGGTTGCAGTGAGCTGAGATAGCACCATTACACTCTAGCCTGGGTGACAGAGTGAGACTCTGTCTCAAAAAAAAAAAAAAAAAGTTTGGTATTACAATAAAACTGGAAACCAGGATGCCTGTTGGGTTTTCTAATACTGAGATTGACAAGTCATTAAACTGCACTAGGAAATACAACCTCCATGCTCTGCCTGGGAAAAGTCTGATATAAAGAGTAAGACTATGGGCCGTCAGGGCGTGTGCAACTTCACATTCACATATGTCTAGCATCCCGAGCTTTCGGAAGAGACCACAGATGACTGGGTTCTGCCCTTGTCCCAGTGCAGCAGTTTTCAAGTACCACCATTTTGCAAATTGCAATTCCATAAAGAATGGGCAGAGCCTACAAATGATCAGGGCATAAGCCCTGTTCCTTGATCCTCCCAACCAACAGGAATAACGCCTGCAAATGATCAGGGCATGCACATTGTGCACAGCGGATGAACGCTGGTGGAGCAGGCTCAATGCAGTTCCCACCGCCAGAGACAGCAGCCTCACTCACCAAAGGGAAACTGACCTTTGGTTTTTTTCTTTAGTTTTGCAGGCACCAGCTCTATGGTGCGTTCACATAGCTCCTTACTGGGAATTCAGTTAAGTTCCCACCAGCTCATACACCAGCCCTCTAAGTCATCATGAATACAAAGTCAATAAATGAACTAACTTGTGGATCTACAAACTCTTGACTGTTTAAAGCTCTTCTAATAAACGGTCCAACCCAGGAAACTACCTCTGTCACCTAAGAGATTGTTACTCTCATGTATACAAGGTTGCTGCAACATTTATAGCGCAGCTGATAAATCACCCGATCTGAGAACATAGAAAGAAAACAGGGCCAGGTTCGGTGGCTCATGCCTGTAATCCCGGCACTTTGGGATGCTGAGGCGGGCAGATCATTTGAGGCCAGTAGTTCGAGACCAGCCTGACCAACGTGGTGAAATCCCATCTCTACTAAAAATACAAAAAAATTAGCTGGGTATGGTGGTGTGCACCTGAAATCCCAGCTACTCAGGAGGCTCAGGCAGGAGAATTGCTTGAACCCGGGAGGTGGAAGTTGCAGTGAGCTGAGATCACGCCATTGCACTCCAGCCTAGGTGACAGAGCAAGACTCCGTCTCAAAAAAAAAAAAAAAAAAAAACAGCAACAAAACAACAACAACAACATACAACCATTACTGGGCTACTTTTGTCATTCAATAACAACATCAAAAAATATCAGGGACGTTTTAGGTGCATCTACACATACAAAATCAATCTATGGGAAACATAATACACTATTGTGGCCGCAACAGGCACCGTCCATGGGAACACTGTCAGCTCAGTAAGGCTGCCTTTCGGTTCTCGAATTCTGCAATTTCATCAGCACAACCAAAATAACAACACCAGATAAACACATACCCACTGCGCTTGTGCCATTTCCTTCATTGACTCTGTGAAAGCGACAGCAAATCTAGTAAATGAACAAAAATAATAGAAACAATTAGGCCAGAATTCAATTAAAAGAACTATGAAACAGCTCTTTGGAACAAATTATGAGAGACAACGTGAGACACTAAATTTAAAATGCAATCAATCTTTATTACTTGTGGTCATTGGCCATTAGGTTTAATCTCAACTCACATCAAAAAAAAGTTTTATATGCAAGAAGTAAACCAAACGAAGCTCAAAACTCCTATTTTTTCTCTTCCTTCCACGCAAGTTCAGAGAGGCAGGGATAAAATCAAAAGCAAGAAATGAAGATGCAGGAGAGAAGCAAGGAACTTGCTGGGTTAATCCACCCTGACCATTCAAGGGCAGCCTGTCCACTCCACTAGCTCTGCCAAGGGAAGACTATGGGGACACAATCACAATTTACTGAATGCACATGGGTGCTCACTGTTATCATCTCCCTCCTTTCAATTGCTTCTTTAGGAAATGCACAAGGGATCTCAAAACTAAGAAAACAAGGTAATCTATTTATTAACATTATGTTTGCCATGAAGTGCAGGAATATTAAGAGATACTTTTTCATGGAAATGTGGAGCACATTCTTAGATGGGAAGCTCCAATACTATCAAAACGTCCATTTTTACCAAATTACGTGACAAAATCAATAATTCAAATAAAATCCAGAAGTGGATTTCTATTGAAATTTGACAAAATAATTTTAAAGTTTACCTATACATATAATTGGGTGACAAACAATCAGAAAATTTTGATAAAGAATTCAGGCCAGGCACAGTGGCTCACACTTGTAATCCCAATACTTTGGGAGGCTGAGGCAGGAAGATCACTTGAGCCCAGGCATTCAAGACCAGCCTGGGCAACATAGGGAGACCCCCATCTCTACAGGAAACATTTTTGTAATCAGCTGGGCATAGTTGAGCACACTTGTAGTCCCAGCTACTCAGGAGGCTGAGGCAGGAGGATCGCTTGAGCCTGGGATGTCAAGGCTGCAGTGAGCCATGATTGTGCCACTGCACTCCAGCTTGGGTGACAGAGGAAGAAGAAAGAAGAAAGGAAGAAGGAAAAGGAAGAAGAAGGAGGAGGAGGAGGAGGAAGAAGAGGAAGAGGAAGAAGAAGAAGAATTCAAAGATGAGATGTGTATTAACAGATATCAAAACATATTAAAAATATAACAATTAAAACAGTGTTGGCAGTGAAAAAAAGATAGAAAGATCAAAACCAAATACAAGGCCAGAAACAGACCCAAATACATTTAAGAATTTGACATAGCATAGGCCAGGCCTGGTGGCTCACACCTGTAATCCCAGCACTTTGGGAGTCCAAGGCGGGCGGATCACAAGGTCAGGAGATCGAGACCACCTGGCTAACACCGTGAAACCCCGTCTCTACTAAAAATACAAAAAATTAGCCGGGCATGGTGGCGGGCGCCTGTAGTCCCAGCTACTCGGGAGGCTGAGGCAGGAGGATGGTGTGAACCCGGGAGGCGGAGCTTGCAGTGAGCCGAGATCGTGCCACTGCACTCCAGCCTGGGCAACAGAGCGAGACTCTGTCTCAAAAAAAGAAAAAAAAAGAATTTGACATAGCATAAGGTTAGAGAAGTGGTTAAATACATGGAAAAAGTTAGTTTCCTACCTTATATCATATATCTCAAAAGATGGTTCAGGAGCTAAGTAAAAAAAGGTAAGACTACAAGAGAAGTCTGGAATGATATAAGAGAACAAGCAGCTGGCCTCAGCCTGGGAAAGGTTTTCTGAGCATAAAAAGCTATGACATTATTGGATACCACAGGCAGGGTATGAAAAGGAGAAAGAAAAAAAGCTATGAAATTAATTCTAAAGATAAAAAAGCTTTGATTATATTAAAATTTAAAAACTACTGAAATACCACAAATTAAAACAAAAATAACAATTTGGAAGAAACATGTGCAATTGACATGGAGAAAAGAGGAATAATATCCTTACTCAGGAGCTCTTCAAAATTAACAAGGAAGCCAAACATCCCAAGGGGCAAAAAGGGATGGGAAAAATGGGATGTTCACGTGAGAGCAAATATAAGGGACCATAAAATGTGAGGAAAAGTGAAATTTCTCTAATAACAAAATAAATCTAATTGGAACAATAGGAAAGAATTGCATCACATATAAGATTGGCAGTTTTAAAAATAAAAATGCCCAATGTTGACAAAGGTGAGAAAAATGAAAACATACACCCACTTGGTGAATTAAAATGCAAATATTCTTTCTGAAGAGAAATTTGAGAAACTGCATCAATATATTCACATGTTCGTAGCGTTAGACCTTGCAATTCTACCTCTATGAATTCAACCCAAAGACACAATCAGACAAGTACACAAAGACAGAAACAGATTTTTCCCTGTGGTGTTGTTTATGATAAAGATATAAATGCCCAATCTCAAAGAATCATTTACAGAATTTATGATAGAATTCTATGCAGCCATTAAAACCATGTTTGGCACCTTAAAATTATCAAAACTGTAGCTGGGCATGGTGGTGCATGCCTGTAATCCCAGCTACTCGGTACGCTGAGGCAGGGGGACCGCTTGAACCTGGGAGGCGGAGGTTGCAGTGAGCCAAGATCATGCCACTGCACTCCAGCCTGGCAACAGAGCAAGACTCTGTCTCAAAAAAAAAAAAAAAAAAAAAAAGTATGTGTCATTCAGCCCAAATTTTCAAAAATAATAACAATGAAAATATAGTCACAGACATACAAATGTAAGTAATTAAAAGATCACCTACCAAAAAGCTAGTCATGGTTAAAGCACGCATGAAGTACAAAAAAAAAATTGGTAATTTGCTTTTCCCTGGCTTCTTCAGTACTTTTCAAAATTTCTACATTGCATTGGGACAGCCATTTTTTTTAGTTAGAAAGAAAATTCTTAACAAAATATTTTATAAAGTCAGGACTTACAATCTTTCAAGACTTCCTGTAGATAATATATATCCTCCTATCTTTCTCCCACATCATTATTTTCTCCTCTACTCATTATAAAAACTACTCCCTTAATCCCACAGTCCCTGCTTCAATTATTGTCCTTTTTCTCTTTTCTCCTTGACAAAAAAAGCCCTGGTGTTACCTTGACTCAACACCTCCAATGCCTCTCTTCTCATTTAAACCACTCCAGGCAGCTCCCCTGACTGCACCATTGAAACTGTGCTCAAGGTCACTAAGGACCTCCATGTTGGTAAGCTGAATGGTCCGGTCCTCAGTCTTCATCTTACTTAACCTATCAATAGCAACAGGCACATACGCTCTCTCCTTCCTCCTTGAAATGCTTCTTCATTGGTTTCCACCATACCATTCCGTTTCATCGAACTGGCCACTCAATCTCAGTCTCACTAATTTCTCTCTCTGATTTCTCAAAAATGGGCTGCTCCAAGACTCAGTTCTTGGGCTTCTCTTCTCTATCTGCACTTACTCCTTTGGTGATCTCACCAGTTTCCAGGTTTCAATAGCATCTGTAAGGCCGGAAGCGGTGGTTCACGCCTGTAATCTCAGCACTTTGGGAGGCCGAGGGGGGAGGATCACCTGAGGTTAGGAGTTTGAGAGACCAGCCTGACCAACATTGAGAAACCCCGTTCTCTACTAAAATTACAAAATTAGCCCGGCGTGGTGGTGCATGCCTGTAATCCCAGCTACTCAGAAGGCTGAGGCAGGAGAATAGCTTGAACCCAGGAGGCGGAGGTTGCGATGAGTCAAGATTGTGCCATTGCACTCCAGCCTGGGTGACAGAGCGAGACTCTGCCTCAAAAAAAAAAAAAAAATAGCTTCTGTATATTGACCAACAAACTCCCGACCCCTCCCCTAACTTGCCCAGACTTCTACCTACTTCATACCTCCATTCGGATGCCTAATACAAACCCTAAGCTTCATACCAATGTCAAATAATGAGAACCATACTTCTAGTGATGAAATAAAAATACATATAGTTGTATATGTGCATATATACATACATACATTTCCAAGCTCTAAGAGGGCTTACAAGCAAGGACACTGAGTAAGCAATAAGCACAGATCTTAGTTTCTAAATAATATTCTCTAAAAGGACAAAAAAAAATTATAAAGGAACCAGGACTCCTTTGAGAAATAGCCATTTCCAGAAGTAGGACAAGGTAGACAGGAGATGAATCAGGGACATTTTACGATGCCAGAAAGTAGAAAAGTGCTCAGAAAACGATGAATGATGAGAGCATGTCAAAAGAACACAGGCATCAGCTCAAAGCATCTCCTGTGGGCAAATCTGGGGCAATTTGAGCAACCGAATAAACAAAAATAGTAACAGATAATCTGTAAAGGGAAATAAAATAAATATCTATGAGTCCATGTTATATATATATATATAATTTTTAATATATTTATTTATTATTTATTTTGAGATGGAGTCTTGCTCTGTTACCCAGGTTGGAGTGCAGTGGCACAGTCTCAGCTCACTGTAACCTCCGCCTCCTGGGTTCAAGCAACTCTCCTGCCTCAGCCTCCTGAGTAGCTAGGATTACAGGCACGCACCACCATGCTCGGCTAATTTTTTTTTCTGTATTTTTAGTAGAGATGAGGGTTCACCATGTTGGCCAGGCTGGTCTCGAACTCCTGGCCTCAAGTGATCCACCCAACTCAGCCTCCCAAAGTGCTGGGATTACAGCCATGAGCCACCATGCCCGGCCCCCACGAGTCCATACTGAATAACAAATAAATAATCAAATAAGTAAATGGGATCAAAGAGGAAAGTCTTCCGTAAGGTAGAATTCCAGTTAATAAACAAGACGCAGTGCAAATGGAAAAATCACCATCAGGCAAACACCACAGGAATAATTACTGCAGATGAGAACCAGGAAAGGATGATTCCTTCCCTGCAGCAGGACCCAAAAATGGCAGATTCTTCCTCCAGAAGGCCCCACTTCCCCTGTCTGTGCCTGCCCCGAGCTTTCCTTTCTGCCTCCTCTAAAACCCTGTCACCAGTCGAGGCACATTCCATCACAGGTCCCCTACTGAAGGGAAAAGTAAGGAAAGACGGACGGAGAGGATCTCACGCTGGACTTCCCACCAAGGCCCACTTTCATAATCCAAGCACCATACAGTGCTGACGCGGAAGGAGGCTCGAGCCCAGCATGGGTTGTTCTGCTGGCCTCAGTTATGAGAAGCTCTCCATTTGCTCTGAAAACTAACAAGAGGTGCAAGGAAACTGTATCTGGGGGAATAGACTTTATCCTGTGAAAATAAGATAAAAAAGAAAGAAAAGTAGCTAAATAACAATTGCCTGACAATGGGCCCTTCAGGAGAGTGTGTAAACCTTCCTTTGCTGGGAAACTTCAAAACTGAGAAACTTAAGAATTGAACAATTAGTGGGGCGTGATGGCTCACACCTGTAATCCCAACACTTTGGGAGGCCGAGGAAGGTGGATCACTGTGGTCAGGAGTTCGAGACCAGCCTGGCCAACACAGAGAAACTCCATCTTCACTAAAAATACAAAAATTAGCCAGGCGTGGTGGTGCACCCCTGTAGTCCCAGCTACTGACGAGGCTGAGGCAGGTGAATCGCCTGAACCCAGGAGGTGGAAGTTGCAGTGAGCTCAGACTGCACCACTGCACTCCAGCCTGGGCGACAGAGTAAGACTCTGTGTCCAAAAAAAAACAATAAAATTCAATTAAATTAAAAAACCACATTTCTTATGAAAAATATAAAGCTACCATTTTTGCATTTTTAGTTGAACATTGCCATTTTGAAATAGATTTACTCACTTTCACATGTGATTTTTTTTGTAAAAAAAATCTTTGGGCTTAAATATCTATAGCTTAAAACTTATGAAACTACCAATATTCAGCCATTTTATGCCTACAAAACAGCAAATTCACCTCGTTTAACCTATCGTGTGCTATAGATTTCCTATTTATGAGGCTATTTTTGAGGTGTTTCATTTTATACAAACTCTCTTTTGCTCATTTGCTTGACGATAATTTTTTCTTTTCTTTCTTTTGTTTTTGAGACAGAGTCTCCCTCTTTCACCCAGGCTGCAGTGCAATGGCGAGATCTCAGCTCACTTCAACCTCTGCCTCTCAGGTTCAAGCGATTCTCTTGCCTCAGCCTCCTGAGTAGCTGGGATTACAGGCATGTGTCACCATGCCCAGCTAATTTTTGTATTTTTAGTGAAGACGGAGTTTCCCCATGTTGGCCAGGCTGGTCTCAAACTCCTGACCTCAGTGATCCACCCGCTTCGGCCTCTCAAAGTGCTGGGATTACAGGCATTAGCCATCATGCCTGGCCAAGAATATTTTCTTCTAATATGTACCTGGATGATCCTTCACCAAATAATTTCCATAGGTTTCACATACTCTTCATTTAGTTTTGATATTGATAATGTAATTATCAAGTACTTATTACATTATAATATTTATAAGCCAAAAAGCTGAAGCTAAGGTAAGTTTGAATACTATATAATATAGAAAAAAAATTTAAATACTAAAAAAACTTCAAAAATAGACCCTATAGGAAAAATATAACTATTTAAAAACATTTGATTAAAAATGAAATACTCATTATAAAGCTAGACAAGTTCAATACTTTCTTTTACAGAAACGTGTGCTATGTTGTACTGGACAAAGAATCTGATCCATGCAGCTTTCCTGCCCACTAACCTCGATCAATAACCCCCCAAAATAGAAATCCGTGTTTGCTTTAATAACAATGAAATAAATAATACTAATAATAATACTGTAAGATGGATTCATTCAATGTTGTTTCTAGTAAACAGAATTGTTTTTCTTCCGTAAGGCAGTGCATTACCAACTACAGGAATCTAAAGGTAATGAATTTGCAGAGTGAAAGAACAACAGCAATAAGAAAACCTGTAATAAAAGATCCCCTTTCAAGGTAACCCCAACGTGTTTTAATGTCTTTTTTTATTGTAACACACACACGCACACACATGCACACTCACACGTGTGCTCTCTATTATGATAAGGTGGTGTGAAAGGAAAATATCTTGGGCCCCCAAATCACAAAGCTAAAGGGAAAAGTCAAGCTGGGAACTGCTAAGGGCAAACCTCCCTCCCATTCTATTCAAAGTCACCCCTCTGCTCACTGAGATAAATGTATATCTGATTGCTTCCTTGGGAAAGGCCAATCAGAAATGCAAAAGAATGCGACCTTTTGTCTGTCACCTACCAGTGACCTGGAAAACCCCTCCCTGCTTTGAGTCTTCCTGCCTCGCTTCCAGTTGTCCCGCCTTTCCAGACCGAACCAGTGTACCTCCTACATATATTGATTGATGTCTCACATCTCCCTAAGATGTAGAAAACCAACCTGTGCCTGACCACCTTGGGCACGTGTCATCAGGACCTCTTGAGGCTGGGTCATGAGTGCGTGTCTTCAACGTTGGCAAAATAAACTTTCTAAATAGTAACTGAGACCTGTCTCAGGTTTTTTGGGTCCACATTTGCATTGCCACAACATACGATCGGGGTCCTCAGGAAGGACTAGGGTCCTAAATGCAGTGATACCTCTCAGTAACCCTGGTTTTCAGAAGCGAGACTGACACCTACATTACCAAACAAGGAATCTGAGGCTCCCGACAGAACTTTGAATGCTGTCCCCTGTATGGAATAGGGTGATCCAGCTACATAAAGACTTGAAGTGTCCCAAATTCCCTGGCCAGAGCTTCCCAGCCATGAGGTGAGCCACAGAAAATTAATGGCTGGTGATTTATTGGGATAAAATCAATTACCAGTTTTGCTTTGTTTTGTTCTCTACAATGATTCAAAGATTTAAAAGGGTCGAAGGGATAGTTAGGCAGTACTTGTTGGACCAACTGTAAACTGTGGTTTCAGGGTTATTCTAGACACAGGTGAAGCTTTCTTCTAACACCAGCAGCCAGTGAACATGTGGGAGGACAAACTGCACAGAACCCCCTTGACTGTCCAGCCAAACCCCGAGGAAGCCCACTGAGCACCTCATGACTGATCAGAAAAGTTCTTTGTTTTGGGTATGCATGTATAGGTAGTTCTTTTGATTTAATTTCCGCTTTTTTTCACAATTTTCATATGATCATGGAAGATTCATATTGCTTTTATCATTATTTTATTTAATTTTTTATTTTTTTAATTAATTAAATTTTTTTTTTTTTGAGACAGTGTCGCTCTGTCACCCAGGCTAGAGTGCAATGGCAACATCTTGCTTACTGCAACCAACACCTCCCGGGTTCTTTTGTTGTTGTTGCTGTTGTTTGTTTTTGAGATGGAGTCATGCTCTGTCTCCCAGGCTGGAGTGCAATGGCACGATCTCAGCTCACTGCAACCTCTGCCTCCCGAGTTCAAGCAAGTCTTCTGCCTCAGCCTCTCAAGTAGCTGGAACTACAGGCACAGGCCACCATGTCCGGCTAATTTTTGTATTTTTAGTAGAGATGGAGTTTCACCCTGTTGTCCAGGCTGGTCTCGAACTCCTGACCTCAGGTGATCCACCTGCCTCAGTCTCCCAAAATGCTGGGATTACATGTGTGAGCCACCGCACCTGGCCACCTCCTGGGTTAAAGTGATTCTTCTGCCTCAGCCTCCCAAGTAGCCGGAATTACAGGTACCCACCACCACACCCAGCTAATTTTTGTATTTTTAATAGAGATGGGGTTTCTCCGTGTTGGCCAGGCTGGTCTCGAACTCCTGACCTCAAGTGATCCACCTGCCTCAGGCCTCCCAAAGTGCTGGGATTACAGGCCTGAGTCACCGTGCCCGGCCTGATTTTATCATTATTTTAATTCTTATTATTGTTATTCGTTAGACAAAGAAATGGGAGTGATTTTTTTAATCAAGGCTTTTAATCCACTTTAAATTGCTATACAAATATGATAATTTTCTAAGTATGCCTTGTCAAAAGACACAATGACAACAAATTGAGTTCAAAGATTATAATGGGCCTTTATCAGCAATTCTAGAATTGGGCAGCACCTCATTCTACAAAACAGAATGAGTGTTCTGATGAGCTGCGCAGAGAAGGCGTGTTTTACAGACAGACAAGGGCTGAAGAAAGCAGACACAGGAAACAAAAAGCAGATGGGGCATTTCAGAGTTACTTTCCCTACAGGGTTAAAGCAGAGAAGACTTCCCTATTCTGCTGACTGAAGTTGCCTGGAATTTCTTGCCTTTTAGAAAACTGGCCCATTTCAGGCTGGGCACGGTATCTCATGCCCGTAATCCCAGCACTTTGGGAGGCCGAGGCAGGTGGATCGCTTGAGGCCAGGAGTTTGAGACCAGCCTGGCAAAATGGTGAAACCCCGTCTCTACTAAAAATACAAAAATTAGCCGACTGTGGTGGCAGGCGCCCATAATCCCAGTTACTCGGGAGCCTGAGGCACAAGAATCGCCTGAACCCGGGAGGCTGAGGTTGCAGTGAGCCAAGATCGCGCCATTGCGCTCCAGCCTGGGCAACGGAATGAGACTCTGTCAGGAAAAGAGAAGAGAAGAGAGAAAGAAGGCTGACCCATTTCAAAGTTCAGTTTGATTACATAGCGCTCAGCACAAGTGACTCCTTTCTGTCTTGGGCTAGTCCGCTGGGGGACAGTGCGGGGGCTGGTCCAGAACAACAGCCTCCGATGAACCTCCTTTCACCGTATTGACATGGAAAAGTTGGGAAGTACAGCGCTGGAAGGAATTCTCAACTGGGGATAATAACTTCCCCCACCCTGGGGGCATTAGAATTATAGGGAGACATACTAAGGTAGTTGTGGTACCTGGAGGCTGCTGCCCATGATCAGTATCTGGGATCAGAGACGTGCAGGGCAGCCCCCAGGATTATCACAGTGACCCCTGTAAGAAGCCCCACTTAGAGCATGTAGAGCTGTTCTCACAGCAGCTACCTCTCAGGTCCCTGGGACAGCTAGAGGGCCATACCCAAGGAAAAGGCCTAAGCCACAGTTTAGAAATCCTGTTGGTGACCCTTCTTGCAAATGGCATATATAGCTCAGAAAGCTACATAGATAAGACCCATGCCAAAGATAGTCTACTTGGGCAAACCTGATGCAAACTAGATCCTAATTTGTGTGCTGCTAAGGCTGGAGTTTGCCTGTGATTCGTGTTTTCTACATCCAGAACACTTGTTTTTTTGAAAAGAGGGCTTTGCTCTACCACTCAGGCTGGATTGCAACCATAGCACACTGTAGCCTTGGGCTCCTGGGCTCCAGCAATCCTCCTGCCTCAGCCTCCCAAGCAGCTGGGACCACAGGCGTGCCTCACTATGCCTGGCTCCATGCAGACCATTCTAAAGAGGCTTATCTAATATTAACTGTAGTTGAAGACTTAAGTGCAATAACCTGTTAGCAATGACTATTTGTGGCCAAATAAAAATGTACCAAATGAAAGAAAAGGTTACATGAAATTGGTTTTAAGTGCTAAGATGTAAACCTTCCCGGCAATTGGTGCCCTCGGTCTTTGGTTTCAATTAATTCAATTCACACAGTTTAAATGTTTGGCATGGATGAAATTCTCGCAGGTATTACCTGGCTTCCTCAAGAACTCTGCCCATGACTGTGTTTTTTTCCGCCTGGTTGGCATCTTCATTTACATCAGTTCCACCAAAGATGACTCCAAAAGGGATTCGGTGGCCTGCAAAACGATGACAGTCACAAAGCAGAATTTAGCCCTAAAAACAGCCTTCACCAACCATTCCCAAGCAAGGATCTTAAACACTGAAGTTCCCAGATCGCCGGAGCTGTTTGTTGCTGTACATTTAGCTGCATCCACCTCTCCTGGATAGCAGAATAGGTATCACTACAATAAACACAACACCAAGAGGAATCACGGGAGGCCCCAACCACTGTCGTCAGGGCTATCTTTCAATTAATTCATTTTAAACTTTAGCAAATAAAAAATATTGTTAGCCTCATCTATCAATCAAAGCCAAGCTTATCATTCCTAGGAAATGGGCTAATCTGCCATCATCAAAATTCATGACAAAAAAAGGGCTCTCCAAACTGAGTCCTATTGTTCATCAACACCAACAGGCACCGTGCTAGCTTGGGACAACAACAGGGGAGAGAGAGGTACAGACAACCTTGATAATATCCTCAAGAACTGTTCAGTACAGCAGGGGTGATAAATTATGACAGGCTCAACTAGGATAAGGGCCAAAATAACACAAGATGCTGAGCGCATAAAGTGGGAAAGAATTTGCAAAGGGAGTATGTATATTCCGAGTGACGCGTCCTGTGCGGATGGGAGGCAGTGTGTGAGTCCACTCCCTGCTTCCTTGATGAACATTTCATGAGCGCAGATGGGCAGGACAGGGCATTAGCCCTGCCCATCTCAGGCTGAATGATGTGCTTATCAAAAGCGACTCCCCGAAAGGACTCCCAAAGGTCACCTAAAAATTTCAGAGAGACTATGGCCTACAAATCACCCAACAGACCAGATCTAACTGGAGTTCACCCAGTTAGATTTCTCAAACAAGCTATTTCTATCAAGATATTTAAAGGAGAAGATACTGATCTTTCCTTTTACTGGCCTTTGAATTGTTTTTGTCATGTAAATTAGCAGATCTCATCTTCTTTCTCTCTATCTAGGTCACTCTCACCCTAGAATTCCACTGCTATGAATTCAGCCTCCAGATATTAAGCTCAACAATAATACACATGGCTCCAGCAAGGCTGCTAAAAGTAGCACAGTTTGAGAAGCAACTTACTTGTGCATTGGTGAAGACCAACTCTTTTTTTTTGGAGCTCTGTGTGTGTGTGTGTGTGTGTGTGTGTGTACTCACATAGAAAGACTGGCCAAAAAAAAAACGCATATTGGTGAACAAAAGATGCTTGCACAAAAACAAAAGCCATAAACACACATTTCTATATGCACAGAGCATCTGTGATAGTACACAAAATAATAACTGTTGTCACCTCTGGGAAAGAGACCTGGAAGACTACAGATCTGGGATGGGCCAGGTGCGGTGGCTCACACCTGTAATGCCAGCACTTTGGAAGGCCAAGGAGGGCAGATCACCTGAGGCCGGGAGTTTGAGATCAGCCTGGGCAACACGGCAAAATTCTGTCTCTATTTTTGTAAAAATACGAAAATTAGCCAGGTGTGGTGGGGCACACCTGTAATCCGACCTACTCCGAAGGCTGAGGCATGAGAATCACTTGAACCCGGGAGGCAGAGGTTGGAGTGAGCTGAGATCACGCCACCGCACTGCAGCCTGGGTGATAGAGCGAGACTCCGCCTCAAAAAAAAAAAAAAATCTGGGTTGGGAGTGAGACTTACTTTTCACTCTGTAACATTTTATATTGTTTGAATTTCTTACTACAGACCTGTAAGAACTTTTCCAAAAACACAGAGAGACATAGAAACGCCCGCCCAGTAGAGGTGGTTCACCAGGGGTTTAGGCTTTGGGAGATGTTGAGACAGAGTGAAGATTTTTCTCATATGGTAAGGACATGAATCTGTGGTAGGGAGAATAATTGCTCCCAGAGATGTCCACATCCTAATTCCCAGGACCCATGAGGCTGGGACAGGGGAGGGGTATTACGGTAGACTATCGAGGCAGGCTCAACATAACCACAGGGGTCGTTACAAGTGGAAGAGGGAGGCCAGAGAATCAAGTTCAGAGTGAGGAAGACCTCACCAGCCTGATGGCTCTGGACATGGAGGAAGGGCCATGAGCCAAGACATGTGGATGCCCCTCAAGGCTGGAAAAGACAAGAAAACAGATTCTCCCCAAGAGCCTCCAGGAAGAAGCGCAGCTGCTGACACCTGAATTTCAGCCTGGGAGATCCGCTTCAGCTTTCCAACCTCCAGAACAGGCTCCCCTGTCACCGCCTCAGGGGTCTTGGGAAGTAGGATGTGGACATCTCTGGGAGCAATTATTCTCCAGAACTGGAGGTCAGGTGATGAATTTGTGTTGTCTGAAGCCACTGGGTTTGTGGTAAATTATTACAGCAGCAGTGGGAAACTGATACACCCTATTGCCACAAAGGGACTGTATTAGTCCATTTTCAAGCTGTTGATAACGACATACCCAACTGGCATGGCAATTGGATATGTCTGGGCAATTTACAAAAGAAAGAGGTTTAATGGACTCACAGTTCCATGTGGCTGGGGAGACCTCCCAATCATGGCAAAAGGTGAAAGGCACATCTCACATGGTAGCAGACAAGAGAAGACAGCGTGTGCAGGGAAACTCCCCTTTATAAAACCATCAGATCATGAGAGACTTATTCACTGTCATGAGAACAGCACAGGAAAGGCCCACCTCCATGATTCAATTACTTCCCACCAGGTCCTTCCCACAACACACGGGAATTGTGGGAGCTATAATTCAAGAAGAGATTTGGATGGGGACACAGCCAAACCATATCTGGGATATTCCCCCAATAAAAACTGCTACTAAAGGAGGCTAAGTAAAACAGTGGGAGAGTCGTTTTCAGTGAAATTCCCAAAGACAGAAAAATAGACACCTAAAAGATACACACTATCAACGAGGTTGTTTAAAAGGTGTGAACATATTTAGTACTTAAGATGACAGCCCTTTCTTACTCAATCAGACCAGCAGCAATAACTCATATATGTCAAAGCTAATTTGACCTATCTGGAGAAATCACAGGACTTTCACTCCAGACAGCCCCAGGTTAGAATTCTGCTTCTCCGCCTAGAACAGGCATGCCTTTGGCCAAGCTACTCAGTGACTGTAGTAAATAACAATGTATTGTACACTTGAAAATTGCTAAGAGAGGGGCCAGGCATGGTGGCTCATACCTGTAATCTCAGCACTTTGGAAGGCCGAGGCGGGTGGATCACTTGAGGTATGGAGTTTGAGACCAGCCTGGCTAACATGGTGAAACCCCATCTCTACTAAAAATACAAAAATTAGCTGGGTGTGGTAGCACATGCCTTTAATCCCAGCTACTCGGGAGGCTGAGGCAGGAGAATCGCTTGAACCTGGAAGGCAGAGGTTGCAGTGAGCCAAGATTGTGCCACTGCACTCCAGCCTGGGCGAAAGAGTCTCGACTCTGTCTCAAAAAAATAAGACTTATAAATTCACCCATGATTACAATTGAAAAATTCTGGAAGTCCTCTGCTATAACATGATGTAGATAAAATATTTTTGCAAACTCTCTTTTTATTATTGTATATATATATGGTGTACAACATGATGTTTTAAAATATGTATACATTGTGGAATAGCTAAATCAAGCTAATTAGGCCAAGCACAGTAGCTCACACCTGTCATCTCAGCACTTTGGGAGGCCAAGGCAGGAGGATTGCTCCACCCCAGGAGTTTGAGACCAGCCTGGGAAACACAGCAAGATCCCATTTCTTAAAAAAAAAAAAAAAAAAATCAAGCTAATTAATATATGTATTACCTCACATATTTATCATTTATTTGGTGATGAGAACACTTAAAACCTACTACTGTCTTAGCAATTTTTTTTTCTATTTTTTGAGACAGAGTCTCACTTGGTCACCCAGGCTAGAGTGCAGCGGTGCTATCTTGGCTCACTCCAGCCTCCGCATCCCAGGTTCAAGTGATGCTCCTGCCTCAGCCTCCCAAGTAGCTGGGATTACAGGCAGTGCCACCATGCCCAGCTAATTTTTATATTTTTAACAGAGACAGGGTTTCACTATGTTGGCCAGGCAGCTCTCGAACTCGTGACCTCAAGTGATCCACCCGCCTCAGCCTTCCAAAGTGCTGGGATTACAGGTATGAGCCACCATGCCTGGCCCCTCTCTTAGCAATTTTCAAGTATACAATACATTGTTATTCACTACAGTCACCATGCTGTACAATAAATCTTGAATGTATTCCTCCTAGCTGAAATTTTGTGCTTTTTGACCAACGTTTCCCTAATCTCCTCACAATCCTGAGCACCTGGTAACCATCCTACTACTCTCTGCTTCTATGAATTTGACTTTCTGGATTTCACATACAAGTGAGAACCATGTGGTATTTGTATTTCTGTGACTGGCTTATTGTATTTCGCATTATGTCCTCCAGGCTCATCCATGTTGTTACAAACGACAGAATATCCTTCGTTTTCCATTACATATATATATACCCCATTTTCTGTATCCATTTAACATCAATGGGCACAGGTTGATTCCCCGTCCTGCCTGTTTTGAATAGTGCTGCAGTGAACATGGGGTTGCAGATATCTCTTCCACACACTGATTTCATTTCCTTTGCACATATACCCAGAAGTGGGATTGCTGGATCCTACGGTAGTTCTATTTTTCATTTTTCGAGGATATATTTATAAACTCTTATTCACTCTTCAAAACCCTATTCAGTCATCCCTTGTTTCTGAAATCTTCTCCAGGTCTCTCAGAAGTAAATCCTTTCCCTTCTATGTCATGCCATGTATCATAAGGTCTTGGGTTTTATTTATAGACTAGAAGATTCTCTTATTTATGTCTGCACCCCTTGCTCTAATATGATGGCACTCAAAGTTAGGTCCTCAAAGAGCATTTGCTGAAATGCACTGAGAATGAAGAGTAGCACACAAGCTATTTTCCAAGTGAGTTGACTCGGAGCCACCCACGTAAGGGTCTTATTCCTAAATCAGTACTTGTGCTAGAGGTTTGTCTCTCCCAGTAATCGGCTGAGAAAAACAGAAAATCATAGCTTCCTAAACTTGGCTTCTTCTACTTTTTTTTTTTTTTTTTTTTGAGATGGAGTCTAGCTCTGTCGCCCAGGCTAGAGTGCAGTGGCGCGATCTCAGCTCACTGCAAGCTCCGTCTCCCGGGTTCAAGCTATTCTCCTGCCTCAGGCTCCCGAGTAGCTGGGATTACAGGCATCCACCACCATGCCCAGCTAATTTTTGTATTTTTAGTAGAGACGGGGTTTCACCGTGTTGGCCAGGCTGGTCTCGAACTCCTGACCTTGTGATCCCCCCGCCTCAGCCTCCCAAAGTGCTGGGATTACAAGCATGAGCCACTACGCCCGGCCCTAAACTTGGCTTCTCAATCAGCCACCCGACCTTATCTGCTTCCTTATTAGGCTCAAGCCTAAAGCATATTCTTAAAAAGAAAGAAGGCTGGGCGTGGTGGCTCACGCCTCTAATCCCAGCACTTTGGGAGGCCCAGGCGGGCAGATAACGAGGTCAGGAGATGGAGACCATCCTGGCCAACATGATGAAACCCGTCTCCACTAAAAATACAAAAATTAGCTGGGCGTGGTGGCGCGTGCTCGTAATCCCAGCTACTCAAGAGGCTGAGGCAGGAGAATTGCTTGAACCAGGGGAGTCAGAGGTTGCGGTGAGCCGAGATCCCACCACTACACTACAGCCTGGCGACAGAGTGAGACTCCGTCTCAAAAAAAAAAATTAAAAATATAAATAAATAAATAAATAAATAAATAAATAGAAAGAGGAGGAGCTTGATTAACACACTCTTGGCCAGCATCAAGTTAAGTTTTTCCTTGTGTGCCATTTAGGGTGTATAGGAAAGAGTCCAGAAAGCACACTACCTGGGAACAGGTTCCATTCCATCTAAGTTAAGGATACCTGTAAAGTTCTGTTCACACACACTTGAAACGATGGATCGGTATGCATGCCAAAAATATCTTACAGACATGCCCAAGAGGGAGAAACAAATATAATGTGTTACTTTGACGTTCATATAATAATTGGTCCATACCTTAAGGAATGAAAGTTGATATTGTTCTTTAAAACATTTGCAGGCTGGGTGTGGTGGCTCACACCTGTAATCCCAGCATTTTGGGAGGCCAAGGTAGGTGGTGGGTCACCTGAGGTCAGGATTCGAGACTAGCCTCGCCAACATAGTGAAATCCCATCTCTACTAAAAATACAAAAATTAGCAGGGCATGGTGGTGGGCGCCTATAATCCCAGCTACTCGAGAGGCTGAGACAGGAGAACTGCTTGAACCCGGGAGGTGGAGGTTCAGTGAGCCAAGATCTCACCATTGTACTCCAGCCTGGGCAACAAGAGCCAGACTCTGTCTCAAAAAAAAAAAAAAAAAAAATTGCGTTATACCTGCAATATATCCGTAATGTGTATTAATGTTGTTAATGTGCTATTTTCCATTATTTGCATATTCTACTTAGCTATTTTATATAATTATTTTCTCAGCAAATACTAATTTTAAACAGAAAAGCAAACTTCCACTTCTCCAAGCTGTTAAGGTTTTACTTAGCAATATTTAATATACACAGTTATATAAATGTGACTAGTTATAACTTGGCAATATGTATGAAAAGCTTTAAAAATGCATATACCCTTTGATCCTGCAAGGTTATTTCTGGAAAATCCTAAAGGAAATGGGCTCCAAAGGTTTATGCAGAAGGCTGTTCATCATGATATTGTTTAAAACTGAGGGGAGAAATGGAAATAGGACGGGACCATTCATAACTTGCTGCAAAAGAACATTCAATGACAGAGGAAATATAGACCATCTATTTCTAACATATTGTAAAATAGGTTACGCAATTAAAAGTATAATATGATTGCAATTTTTAAAATATACACACAAACTACAGAGCAAGAGTCAGATACAGCAGTATCTCTGCATCCAAAGCATTTATCAAAGTGCTTAGCACATACTAAATACTCCATAAAAAATATATATTTTTATATATTATATATAATATATATTTATATAGGTATATAAATATATTTATTTTATGTATCTATATCTATAAATTTTATATATATATATATATATATATATATATATATTTTTTTTTTTTTTTTTTTTTTTTTTTTCGATACAGAGTCTCACTCTGTTGCCCGGACTGGAGTGCAGGGGCATGATCTCAGCTCACTGCAACGTTCACCTCCTGGGTTCAAGAGATTCTCCTGCCTCGGCCTCCCAAGTAGCTGGGATTACAGGCACTCGCCACCATGGTCAGCTAATTTTTTTTGTATTTTTAGTAGAGACGGGGCTTCACCATGCGGGCCAGGCTAATCTCGAAATCTTAACTTCAAGTGATCTGCCTGCCTCAGCCTTCAAAATGCTGGGATTACAGGTGTGAGGCACCGCGCCTGGACTATAGTTTTTTTTTTTTTTTTTTTTTGAAACGGAGTCTCGCTCTGTCGCCCAGGCTGGAGTGCAGTGGCAGGATCTCGGCTCACTGCAAGCTCCGCCTCCCGGGTTCACGCCACTCGCCTTCCTCAACCTCCCCAGTAGCTGGAACTACAGGCGCCCGCCAACACGCCCGGCTAAATTTTTGTATTTTTAGTAGAGACGGGGTTTCACCGTGTTAGCCAAGATGGTCTCGATCTCCTGACCTCGTGATCCGCCCGTCTCCACCACCCAAAGTGCTGGGATTACAGGCGTGAGCCACCGCGCCCGGCCGACTACAAATATTTTTTAAAAGAAGTTGCAAGCTTAATTGTAAAATTATATCTTTTTTGCAAACTTAATTTTGAATAAAAACATAAATAAAACCAAAAACACACACACAAACAGTGGTCGTTTCTGGGTGGCGAAACTGCAGGTGCCATATTTTCTTCTTTGTATTTTTACATAGTTTCCAAATCACCTCTATAAGTAATTTAAAAATCAATAAGAACTATATATTTTTAAATACAGTTTAATCAATAGAAGGCTGTCTAAGAAATGTGTAGTGTATGCACAGAATGAAATATCACACAGCCAGTTAATGACAGGGTAGGGCAACTCAATGTCTGCAACTGGTGCAGAGAAGGTCCCCAGATACTTTGCTAAGTGAAAACCTCACGGTGCACAGGGACAGCTCTTCTTACTGACAATGGTTCTGGTGCTTTTTACACATGATGCTACACAGAGAGACTTTAACCTTCAAAAACATAACCCTGAGGAATAAATACAGTTTAATTTCCATATGGACAACAACTAGGAATGAACAAGTAAAAGTTTAACCACATTTACTAAGAGTAAGCATGGCTTCAGTTCTCGATATTTATTAGATTGAGCAATGTAATTGATTTTTTTCCTCTGGGCAATAGGTTGGTTTTGCAGAGGGCTCCTCTCCTCCTTCAACTCTTAAAAGAAGCAAACCTAACTTCAGATGACTTTGTTTATTTGAAGCAGAGGTCAAGCATGGTAAAATTGAGAACTGTAAGTTTGAAGGAAAAAACAAAAATCCAGCAATCTGACTAGAGGAGAAATAAGTCCTTGCCCATCTGTTAGTAGAATACGAACTGGAATAACCTTTCCATATAGCATTTTGTCACTGTCAATCAAAACAAAAGTTACACAGCCCTTTGACCCACAGGCTTTCCTAGGAATTTATATTTCCAACATCCACATACAATGGTGTAAAGAAATGTAATCGAAAACACTTCAGCCTTGCTTGGAATAGCAAAAAAACAAGAGAGACTTTTAATAAGTATGGTGCATTGTCACAGTGGAATACCTCACAGCCAATAAAAAGAATGTAGCTTTGTGGATTTGGAAAAGTAGCTAAGATATGAGTTAAATATACAGACCTAATCCCACTTGTGGGAATAAAATGTTCCACATATGTGTGTAAAACCTTTAAAAAGAAATAACAGGGGCCGGCTGCACTTGGTGGCTCCCGCCTGTAATCCCAGCACTTTGGGAGGCCGAGGCGGGCAAACAACTTTAAGCCAGGAGATGGAGACCAGCCTGGCCAACACAGTGAAAGCCCGTTTCTACTAAAAACACAAAAAGTAGCTGGGCATGGTGGTGCACACCTGTTAATCCCAGCTATTCTGGAGGCTGAGGCACAAGAATTACTTAAGCCTGCTAGGCAGAGGCTGCAGTGAGCCAAGATCATGCCACTGCACTCCAGCCTGGGCCACAGAGTGAGACTCTGCCCACCCCCCCAAAAAAAAGAAAGAAAGAAAGAAAGAAAGAAAGAAAGAAAGAAAGAAAGAAAGAAAGAAAGAAAGAAAGAAAGAAAGAAAGAAAGAAAAAGAAAAAAATAATAAGTATCACTTTACAGAAAATGACACAACTTGACAACTTGTTGGGGGTGGGGTGGGGGAAGAGGGAGAACATCAGGAAGAATAGCTAATGGATTCTGGTCTTAATACCTAAGTGATGGGATGATCTGTACAGCAAACCACCATGGCACACGTTTACCTATGTAACAAATCTGCACATCCTGCACATGTACTGCTGAACTTAAAAGCTGAAGAAAAAAAGAAAAGAAAACAACACAACTCACTGTCAACAGAATCACTAAACTCAGGGCTGAGGCTTTGTGACTGCATGAAAGAGTTGCAACAGTCAGTGACAACCTTACAAAGGTTCCTACTGAGCTATCAGGGATTCCGAACTTCATCTTGGCCTATAAGGAAAGTTAAACTCTACACTTCTTTCACATTCAGAGACAAAGCTCAGACTGTGTTTCACTACACTTAAAACTGAATTCAAGGCTGGGTGCAGTGGCTCATGCCTTTAATCTCAGCACTTTAGGAGGCCAAGGTGGGTGGATTGGTTGAGTCCAGGAGTTCAAGACCAGCCTGGGCAACATGGCAAGACCTTGTCTCTAAAAATATACCAAAAAAATAGCCGGGCATGGTGGCACATGCCTGCAGTCCCACATGCCTGTACTTGGGAGGCTGAGGTGGGAGGGTTATTTCAGCCCATGAAATGGAGGTTGCAGTGAGCCAAGATTGTATCACTGCACTCCAGCCTGGGTAACAGAGTGAGACCCTGTGTCAAAAAAAAAGAAAAAAAAAATTCAAAGTCATATACTTGTTCAGCAGAAAATAACTCTCTAGAAATAATACTTTCAGAAACACTCTCCGCATATACAGAAAACAGTTCATTTAGATTGTTCAGGCACGGATGCAAAAATATGGAAGCACAAATATATTCTCCCAAGTTGGTATGCTATGATGTCTGTACAGAGACAAGCATTCTAAAAGGTGAAATAGAAAAATTAAAGACAATGTAAACATTTATTTATTGAAGACTTTAAATGATGGCACCTCTGCACAATGGATGAGACAGATCTATGTATGTGCCACTATGGGAGAAAGTTCCCAGATGTGTGGCTGAGCGGTGAAAAGGAAGATGCTGAATATATATTCAGCGGTGGGCTTCCATTTGTGTGTGTGTGTTTAAGATGGGGGAGGAGGTACATATAAATACATGCATGGGTGTACATGAACCTCCTCATATGCATGCTCTGTGTAGTGCCCTCTCACACTGAATAGTGCTGACCTGTGTAATCAGAAGGATATTGTGGGATTCATGTTGTATTGACTTCTGAGCCTGGGTCATGAAAAATAAGGCAAATTCCAACTTGCTTTTCTTTTGATGGTTCTCTCAGGGAGAAGCTGGCCATCACATCGTGAGGACACTCAAGAGGGCCATGGAGAGGACCATGTGGTAAGGAACTGAGACCTCCCACCAACGGCCTTGTGAGTGCACTATAATGGATGCACATCAGCAAGCCCCAGTCAAGCCACCAGATAAGACTGCAGCCTCATGGGAAACCCTGAGACAGACCACCCAGCTAAGCTGCTTTTGAATGCCCACAGGAACCATTAGATAACAAATGTACTGCGATAAGCAACTAAGTTGGGGCAGGGGGTAATTTGTTATGTAATAATAGATAATCAATACAGTACATATATTTCTAGGAGAATATCCACAAGAAAATGTTAACTGTGGTTACCTCTGGAAATGAGAAATAATACAGTGGGGATAAGAGGTGGGAGACAGGCTTACTTTTCATACTATACCACTCAGTTACATTTTACACCGGGGCAATTTTTCATGTATTACCTGAAAAAATAAAAAAGAACACATAGTAAGATGTGCCCATATATGAAGAGAGTGTTCAGAGAGGGCTCAACTTCCTGTGGAACAGGAGGCAGGAAAAAGAGCTGGAGCTTAAATAAGGTTTGATACAGTGTGGAAAAATGAAAAAATCACCTTCAGTAAAAAACCTCTAAAATTTTTGAAAGTGTGACACATTTTGCTGACCAAAATTTAATCCTGATGTGATGATGACTAGAGCAAATTTTGATCCTCCAATGACATGCTATTACTATCCCTTAAAATGGTGCAGCACAAATGATACCACTACTATGTCATTTAATTCATGTTTGAGGAAATCACTCAGGCCAGACAATAACAAAAATATCTGTCTTGCCTTTATTTGGTGGCTGCTATACTCTCAGTAAAGTCAGATGGGTCTTGTGAGTGTTAAGAAAAATTTTCCACAACCTGAAAATAAGGTCAAGAATAATAAGAATAAATAAGGTCCACATGCATTTTCTTGCAATGTTCTAGGAAGCCATAATTAAAAGGGTCCTCTAAAGACTCATTTTCTGAGAGAGTGTATTGTTGTTTGACTTCACTATTTACTATTAATTGAAAGCTCATACTCTGTGAAGTTACATTAAGCCATTTGTAGCTTTGTGTCAGGGAGAGACGTAAATCATTTCTGTCCAGTAGAAGAGATACTTCCAAAGCTTGGGGCCCATTGCCTTGTTGGATGTTAATCAGTTCTGCAACTAACCTCGTGAATTTACTCTGATATTCTTTATTAAATTGCTTATTTAAACTCCAGTTGCTCAAATGTGCTTTAAACTGGTTTTAACATCTTAGTAGTTTCCTCATAAATTGATGGGTTGAACAACATCTTTCATAAGTGCTCTATTTGTAAAAGAATTCTTTTGAAAAAAATATATTTTGAAAGATGAAATATGCATTGAAAAAATTCAGGGCCAGGCTCATGCCTGCAATCCCAGCACTTTGGGAGGCTGAGGAGGATGGATTGCTTGAGCCCAGGAATTCAAGACCAGCCTGGGCAACAAGGGTGAAACCCTATCCCTGAAAAAAAAAACAAAAATTTAAATTAGGGGACATGGTGGCATGCACCCATAGTTCCAGCTACTTGGGAGGCTGAAGTGGGAGGATTGCTTGAGCCCAGGAAGCGGAGGTTGCAGCGAGCCGAGATTGTATCACTGCACTCCAGCCTGGGTGAGAGTCAGAGAGACCCTGTCCCAAAAAAACAAATAAATAAACAAACAAAAATTAAGGATGATACTTTTAATATGGTAAAAACAGTTTCAATACACATCCATTCTTGACTGTTATAACATTTAAGAAAATTGTGCATTAAGAAAGCAAACCAAAGAGATTATTGCATGTCTCCCATTTCTGAACTGGATAAAAAGGAGACACTGTTTCCCGTGTTATTGGACATTACAGGCACTTCCGGTTTTCAGAATTTCTAGTGTTTTACTTTTGAAGAAAAAGAGGATTACCTTGCAAAAGCCTGCCTCCCCTATAGAGATGAAGAGCCAGGGCAGCCTCGCAGTTCTCAGCCAAGATGAGGTTTGCAATCTCAGATCGGCTTTCAAAGTCAAAGGCATCCTTCAAAACGCACACGTGCCCTGCAGCCTCTAGATGGGCCCTTTATCAAAAAATACAGAGAAAGGAGAAGATGAGGGGAAAATGTTAATATGTAACAGGTTGCTGCTACAGTTAAGACTTTTTTTTTTTTTGGTTGTTGTTGTTGTTGTTGTTGAGACAGAGTTTCACTCATGTTGCCCAGGCTGGGGAGCAATGGTGCAGTCTCAGCTCACTGCAACCTCCGCCTCCTGGGTCTCCAAGCGATTCTCCTGCCTCAGTCTCCCAAGTAGCTGAGACTACACGTGTGCACCACTACGCCTGGCTAATTTTTTGTATTTTTAGTAGAAACGGGGTTTCACCATGTTGGCCAAGCTGGTCTCAAACTCTTGACCTCAGGTAATCCACCTGCTTTGGCCTCCCAAAGTGCTGGGATTACAGGCATGAGCCACTGTGCTCAGCTACTATGATTAAGATTTTAAATGAATTCCACAAGATGACTTATTTACTGAATCACCCTTTGTAAGCACCCTGCCTTAAAATACAAAAGAAGGCCTAGAATCAATGACATTAGCCATTCATCTGCCAGTCTCAGATACCCAGGACTGTGGCTGGAACCGAGGCCATTGGAAGGAAGATTGACCCAGGAGGCCCTGACAGCCTTCAGACATGGGGCACACACTGCCACCTCCAGTGGCATTTGCCATACCAGACAGCAGCTCCTTTTCTATTTCCTTAATTCCACATTTTCTCTCCTGTCCCTGAATTGTGGTATCTAAAGATTGTTTTTGGGCCTCTGTTGCTCGGTTCTTTGAAAAGACTTCAAAAGTCACCTATTATCATAGCTTCAAAAAAAATACTTCCTGGTTTTTCCATTCTACCTGCTACACACACACACACACACACACACACACACACACACAATATTTATGTCTTTCAAACATGTCTCTTCTCTTTGTCTCCACCTTAGTTTCAGCTCCTGGTAACATAAATATAAAATACCTCATAAACAAAAAAGAAATTTTTTCAATAGTGACAACAACATGAACAAAATCAGAAGACAAATGAGAAACTGGGGAAAAAACTATTTACGACTGTTACTATAGAAAAAGGCTCATCTGCTTAATATATAAAGAGCATTCGTAAATCAATAAAGAAAAAAGGCTAACAACACAATAGGAAAACGGACATGAGGGCTGGGTGAGGTGGCTCACGCCTGTAATCCCAGCACTTTGAGAGTTCGAGGCAGACAGATTGCTTGAGCCCAGGAGTTTGAGACCAGCCTGGTCAATATGGTGAAACCCTGTCTCTATAAAAAATATTTTTTAATGCACTGGGCATGGTGACACATACCTGTAGTCCTAGCTACTTGGGAGACTGAGATGGGACTACTGCTTGAGCCTATGAGGTCGAGGCTGAGTGAGCTACGACTGTGCCACTGTACTCCAGCCTAGGTGACAGAGCAAGACCCTGTCTCAAAAAAAAAAAAAAAAAAAAGCCAGCCACAGTGGCTCAAGCCTGTAATCCCAGCACTCTGGGAGGCTGAGGCAGGCAGATCACTTGAGGTCAGGAGTTCAAGACCAGCCTGGCCAACAGGGTGAAATCCTGTCTCTACTAAAAATACAAAAATTAGCCAGGTGTGGTGGTGCATGCCTGTAATCCTAGCTACTGGGGAGGCTGAGGCACGAGAATTGCTTGAACCCGGGAGGCAAACGTTGCAGTGAGCCAAGATCGTGCCACTGCACTCCAGCCTGGGCAACAGAGTGAGGGAAAGAGAGAAAGAGAGAAAGAAAGAGAAAAAAAGAAAGAAAGAAAGAAAGAAAGAAAGAAAGAAAGAAAGAAAGAAAGAAAGAGAGAGAGAGAGAGAGAGAGAGAGAGAAAGAAAGAAAGAAAGAAAGAAAGAAAGAAAGAAAGAAAGGAGGGAGGGAGGGAGGCAGGGAGGGAGGGAGGGAGGAAGGGGAAGGGGAAGGGAAGGGAAGAAGGAAGGAAGGAAGGAGAAAAGAAAAGAAAAAGACAGAAACAGAAGGAAAGAAAGAAAGAAAAAGAAAGAAAGAAAAAGAAAGAGAGAAAGAAAGAGAAAGGGAGCAAGAGAGAGGAAGGAAGGAAGGAGGGAGGGAGGGAGGGAGGGAAGGAGGGAAGGAAGGAAGGGGGAAAGAAAGAAAAGAGAAAAAGAAAAATAAAGATGGGCACAAAATTGCAGTCCATAGAAAAAGAAATACAACTGGACTCTTGAACAAAGAAAATGATGCTCAATATCAGCCATCTTTTTAATCCAGAAAATCTGTAAAGATTAAAATGTTGACCTGAGGCCTCCTGAAATAAACACTCCTATACATTATCTGTGAGAGAGCAAATTGGTACAACCTCTCTAGTGGGCAATGCAACAGCAGCTAGAAAATTTTAAATGCACAAACCCTGTGACCAAATAACTCCACTTCTAGATATTTATTCCAAAGATGGACTTGGATATATGTGCAAAAGCATGCACCCAGGAATACGCACTGCAGCTGTGAAGTAGCAAAAAGACCAAAAAACTACCTCACCGTGCATCCGCAGGGCCCTCGTTATATTATGGTAGATGGACCTAATCATGTTCTTTTGCCATCAAAAGAATGCAATAGATCACTATGAAGTATTAAGAATGAATTCCAAGATTCACTATTAATGAAAACAGAGCACAGTGAAGAATACTTTTGGGTATATACACTGTGTGGGCATAGAATATCTCTAGAAGGATACATTAAAAAGAGATAACAATGATTGTGTCCAAAGAGGAGAGTCAGGCCAGGTGCAGTGGCTCCCACCTGTAATCACAGCACTTTGGGAGGCAGAGGTCGGAGGATCATTTGGGCTCAGGAGTTCGAGACCAGCCTAGACAACATGATGAAACTCTGTCTCTACAAAAAATTTAAAAAATTACCTGGGTGTGGTGACATGCACCCGTCATCCCAGCTGTTTGGGAGGCTGAGATGGGAGGATCGATGAGTCCAGGAATTCAAGGCTGCAGTGAGCCATGATCATGCGACTACACTTCAGCCTGGGTCTCAACAGAGCGAGACCCTGTCTCAAAATGAAAGAAAGAAACAGAGAGCAAGAGAGAGAGAGAGACAGAGAAAGAGAAAGAAAGAAAGAGACACACGAGCTTTTGTATTGTTGGATAGTTTTTACCACATGCATATATTATCTTTTTAAATTGTTTGAGGTGTGTATGTGTGTGAGTGTGAGCGTGCGTGTGTATGTAGATACACAACAAATGGGACCAGGTCTCTTTTCTGATTAAAACCTGCAAAGAGCTCACCGTATTCAGCTCAACTGTCAGTGGCATGAGAATGGGGACCATTTCTATCCTGCTTAGGGAATCAACTAATGGCTGAGCGTGTCTCTGGGATAAATGCCTCAGCCCAGAACACAGCTCACCCTGCATGGCAGAAGTGCACTCCACTCCAACCACCCTCCCACAGCAGGACCTCTGGCACATCACGCTTCCTTCTTGAGTCTCCACGCCGCTGACATGACACTTCCTAGTGCCAGCTCCTTCCAGAGAACTCTCCTGACAGCCCCAGTTCCTACACACCACAGTCTCTCAAAATTCCCATTTTGTTTTGAGCCTATCTCTGTTATAACCCCTCTGCACTGCATTTATAGGGAAGATGGAGTCACATCTTACTTGGGGCACTGATTACAAAATCAGCACATACATGAAAATCAAGTACACTTAAAAGTACCCTTGAATCGGCCAGGCGCGGTGGCTCACGCCTGTAATCCCAGCACTTTGGGAGGCCGAGGTAGGCGGATCAGGAGTTCGAGACCAGCCTGACCAACATGGTGAAACCCTGTCTCTACTAAAAATACAAAAAAATTAGCTGGGCATGGTGGCATATGCCTGTAATCCCAGCTACTTGGGAGGCTGAGGCAGGAGAATCGCTTGAACCCGGGAGGCGGAGACTGCAGTGAGCCGAGATCGCGCCACTGCACTCCAGCCTGGGCGACAGAGCGAGACTCCGTCTCAAAAATAAATAAATAAATAAAAATAAAAAATAAATTAAAAAAAAATTACCCTTGAAAATCTCTTAAATCATCCAGACAGTACTATAGAACAAAGTTCAAGTCCAACCTAGCCCTTTTTTCTTTTGTAATTCCAGCAATGAAATAGTTATTTATTCAGCTGAACACCAGGTGAATTAACTGGTGTGCATTTAGGAGCAATATTGCACAAAATCATGAGTAAAACAAAGAAGAGGAGGACAAAGATCAGAGGAGGAGGAAGTAGGGGGAGGTCTAGAGCCTTTAAACACTGTGTTCATAAAATGACCAAGTTGCTAGGACTGTGGGAGCCACAGAGAAACATGAGGTTCAAATCGTCTGACCCTGGGGCATATGGTGAGATTCTACACTGTACTAATATGTGGATGATATTTTTCTCTCTCTCTTTCTGTTTCTTTTTCATAACGTAAAGTGTCACAACATCACTGTGCAAATAAAGAATAACTAGGGTCTTGAGACTTAGGTTGGTTTAACTTACTGAAGTGCATCGTGTATCTTGAGCCTACCATTTTCACTGTTAATTTTGATCCAGTCATTGTGGGTCAGTAACATTCCTTCTCTCCCCACCAAACCTAGTATCCTTTGGAAATGCTGAAGGTAACTGACCAGCAGGATCAGGAAAGATGCCTGCAGCAGTCAAGCTATCAGCTCGCTTCAGCCTAAAAAAATATAAAATACATCACACAAAAATAAGGATTCAACATGCTTCTGACCATGGTTGAATAATTGCTATTTTATGTTCTTCGTAAAGCTCTAAGAAATGAGAAGCCAAAAATAAACACTGATAGATGGAAAAGGGGCTGAATTCTACTTGGAGAGTCCATTCCTGAGGGACTCATGACTTATGCAGAATCGATACAGCAGAGTGCGTGGAATGCAGGTGGTTACATAGAGACAATCGGTAGTTTCTGATTTATTAAGGTGTTTTTGTTTGTTTGTTTTTGAGATACGGTCTTGCTCTGTGGGCCAGGCTGGAGTGCAGTGGCATAATCTCAGCTCGTTGCAACCTCTGCCTCACGGGTTCAAGCGATTCTTGTGTCTCAGCCTCCAGAATAGCTGGGATTACAGGCACGTGCCACCACACATAGCTAATTTTTGTATTTTTAGTAGAGATGGAGTTTCACCATGTTGGCAGGCTGGTCTCGAACTCCCAACCTCAGGTGATCCGCCTGCCTCAGCCTCCCAAAGTGCTGAGATTACATGCGTGTGCCGCCGTGCCCAGCCTATTAAGCATATTTTTAAATGGCATTTTGACACTAACTTTGCAATCTCATAAATATTCTAAATAAATTTGTCTAATCTAAATTATTCATGAACTAAAATTGTACCCTTGTTTCTGGCTGACTTGCAACACCTTTAAATCGATCTATGTTCTCTCCTTCTGTCAAGTAATAATTCAATTCAACTAATAAATTCACTAAGCACCTATTATTCCCAAATAATTCTGATTTGATTTAAAAAGGCTTTCTTGAAAACAAAAGCATCTCCCATAGAGATTTTGGGCACTTGGCAGGTCCACAAAGAGAAGAAGCCTATGTGTGCGCGCCTGACTCAAGATTCACAGACGCTCTGTGGCTCCCCGGCCAGCAACCAGACTCTTTACTTGAGTGTACAGTAGAGTTTGGTCATTTCTGTGTTTTGGTTTTGTTTTTTTGTTGTTGTTGTTTTGAGACAGTCTCAAAAATATTTGCTGGAGTGCAAATTTATTTACTTTTTGAGATGGAGTCTCACTCTGTCGCCCAGGCTGGAGTGACCGTAATCCCAACAGGCTGAGGCAGGTGGATCACATGAGGTCAGGAGTTTGAGACCAGCCTGGCCAACATGGTGAAACCCCGTCTCTACTAAAAATACAAAAAGTAGCTGGGTATGGTGGTGCATGCCTGTAATGCCAGCTATTCAGGAGGCTGAGGCAGGAGAATTGCTTGAACCTGGGACACAGAGGTTGCAGTAAGCCATGACAGAGCAAGACTCTGCCTCAAAAAAAAAAAAAAAAATAGAATACACACAGGAACTCTTTTTTAAAAGACTGCAAAAATTCAATCACCTAACAGGCAAAGTGACTAGATCAGGAAGTGTCTTGAACTCAAATGTCAATTGAGATCAGGTGAAATTCAATGAACTGGAGGTGAGGATGGTGAAATCATAAGACAGGATGAGCTCTGCACCGAACAGGAGGGGACGCCCATCTGCAGGGTCAGGCCCCCATAGTCCAGTAAGATAAAGAAAGCCACCTGGGGCAGCTGAGCACTAAAACTGTGCCTAATCCAAATAGAAAGGCACTCAGTGTGAAAGACACACGCAGCTCGGTTAGACATGCACACGTATAATATATATTACTACTTATACGTAAATATATAAATTATATGTATACACATATTTATAATGTGTATTTCAAATATGTTTTATAAATATTCTATTTATATCATAAATATTTCAAATATATAATTTATTTCAAAATAGATGGGGCTGGGCATGGTGACTCACAACTATAATCCCAGCACTTTAGGAGGCCAAGACGGGTGAATGGGTTGAGCCCAGGAGTTTGAGACCAGCCCGGGCAACATGGCGAGACCCTGTCTCCACAAAAAATACAAAAAGTAGCCAGGCGTGGTGGTTCACGCCTGTAGTAGTCCCAGCTACTCGGGAAGCTGAGGTGGGAGGATGGCTTTAGCCCTGGAAGACAAGGCTGCAGTGAGTCAAGACGGTGCCACTGCACTCCAGCCTGGACGACCGAGTGAGACCCTGTCAAAGAAAAAAATAAACGAGGCTGGGTGCGGTGGCTCACGCCTGTATTCCCAGCACTCTGGGAGGCCAAGGCGGGCGGATCAACTGAGGTCAGGAGTTCGAGACCAGCCTAATCAACATGGAGAAACCCCGTCTCTACTAAAAATATAAAATTAGCTGGGCGTGGTAGTGCATGCCTATAATCCCAGCTACTCGGGAGGCTGAGGCAGGAGAATCACTTGAACCCGGCAGGCGGTGGTTGCAGTGAGCTAAGATCGTGCCATTGCACTCCAGCCTAGGCAACAGAGCGAGACTCCATCTCAAAAAAAAGAAAGAAAACAAACAAAATAGATCAAAATCATGTTTAGACATGTTGAGTGAAAGAGAATATAATATTAAAGTTGATTTTATCTGTTTCTTTTTGCTATGTTTAATGTGACTACTGGAAAATCTGACAGGACCCATGGGGCTCACATTATGCTTCTAGGCGAGAGTGCAAGGTCAGACCCCACTGGCTCTGGCAGTCGGCACCCAGCTGATCGAGGAGCTACTCACTGCTACAAGGTCACCAATCTACCCAGAGAAGCCAGGCATTTCAACATCTGTGAGAATCTCCCCAATTCCAACCTCCCTAATGGTATTTCTCACTCCTTCAAGATCCACAACACCTGTTAGTCCTCTACATCTTCAGAAGTTCCCGGAGGCCTGCGTTTCCCATTTCCCTTCTCCATACGGACGAGTGACGCTTTTGGGCGGGGTGTTGCCTCTAGTGTCTGTTCCCACACGCTCCTTCCTAATACCTCGACCCTCCCTGGCACTTACTTGAGGAGGACGAGCCCCATCTCCAGATCCAAGGGTGCTCCTGCAGGCTCATGCCAATCAAAACATCCGGCTCTCCACACACCCACCCCTAGACGTTCAATTCTGGGACCTGGGTCGTGTTTTCAGAGACTCAACCTCAGAGGTTCTCCATGGGCCTGACCTGGGATTCAGGGAGACCCAGGAGGGGCTGGCGAGAAGATTCTGCCAGGAGAGGGAAGCAGATGCAGGAGACGGAGATAAGTGGACTCCTGTCCCTGTCCTCTGCTGGAAAACCACCCTGAGGAGGCCCTGCCTCCAGCCTTCTTATGGCAAAAGCCATTACATTCCCTTTATTGTCCAAGACAATTTAGGTTGGGTTTTCAATTCAACTTAGCTTTCAATTCAATTACTCAAGGCTGAAGATCTCTAAGCCACACCACAGTAATAGCTTAGCGCCCTTATTGTTAGTTTATACACAATCCATCGCAGTCTCTCATCCCCTCAATCCTTCCATTATGAGTCCTTTGGCCTCCTCGGAATTCCAGACCATTGACCTCTGCCCCCTCGGACCCACAGTCCCTCCGAGCTTTTCTCCCAGTTCTGGGGAGATTCCATGCTCCGCCATTTCAATTACTTTCTTGTCAACACCTTAACCACTCCCGTCCCCCAGTCTTTCTGTAGTAAGCGTGTGAGCATCTGGAACAACGCCAGCCCTGGAGAGTCTCCAGGTCAGCTTTCTCCATGGCAGCCCCAGGCACTGGCGCCTGCTGGGGGACCCCCGAGGCAGAGGGTAAGTGGAGATCTGTGAGATGGGATCCCAAGTTGCTCACTACTGCGTCGGAACCTCTCATGCATTTTCAGTGACCAAGCGCACCTGCTGTATGCCCAGCACCGCTGGGGCAACGAGGGTTCAGTAAAGAACAAAACATGCACAAATCCCTGCCCTCCAGGTGCCAACTCTCTTTTTTTTCTTTTCCTTTTTTTTTTTTCTGTTTTTTTTTTTTTTTTTTTGAGAAGGAGTTTCACTCTTGTTGCCCAGGCTGGAGTGCAATGGTGCGATCTCGGCTCACTGCAACCTCTGCCTCCCGGGTTCAAGCATTTCTCCTGTGTCAGCCTCCCGAGTACATGCCTGGGATTACAGGCATTCGCCACCACGCCCGGCTAATTTTGTATTTTTAGTAGAGACGGGGTTTCACCATGTTGTTCAGGCTGGTCTCAAACTCCTGACCTCAGGTGATCCGCCCGCCTCGGCCTCCCAAAGTGCTGGGATTACAGGCGTGAGCCACTGCGCCCAAGGGCCAACTTTCTAGAGCAGGGAAAAGGTCAATGAGCCAGAAAATTGCAAATCTCCTCTATGTCAGAGGCAGGTTTTTGCTCGGGAGGAAAACCACCAGCCCCAGGGAGACGGGGAGACAGTGTGTGGTGGAAGGGGCTGCCATTTGAGAAGGGTGGGCAGGGGAGTTCCCGCTAAAGAAGGTGACCTGAAGGTGGCTGGCGCAGTGGCTCATGCCTGTAATCCCAGCACTTTGGGAGGCCGAATTGGGTGGATGACCTGAGGTCAGGAGTTCAAGACCAGCCTGGCCAACAAGGTGAAACCCTGTCTCTACTAAAAATATAAGAATTAGCCAGGTGTGGTGGCGCACGCCTGTAATTTCTGCTACACAGGAGGCTGAGGCAGGAGAATCGCTTGAACCAGGGAAATGGAGGTTGCAATGAGCTAAGATCGTGCCACTATACTCCAGCCTGGGTGACAGAGAGAGACTTGGTCTCAAGAAAAAAAAAAAAAAAAAGCCTGAAGGTGATGAGGCAGCGAACCACGTGGATACTGTGGGGGAAAAGATGAAGAGCTAACAAAGTCCAGCACACAGAAGTAGAGAGCAGAATGGTGGTTCCCAGAGGCTGTTGGGGGGCTTGGTGGGGGGCAGGAGGAGGAATAGCTTGTACAGCATGGTGACCATCATCAATAATAACATACTGTATATTTCAATTGCTTAAAAAAAGATTTTAAATGTTTTCACTACAAAAAATAATAAGTACAATTGCCGGGCGCAGTGCCTCACACCTGTAATCCCAGCACTTTGGGAGACTGAGGCGGGTGGATCACGAGGTCAGGAGATCGAGAGCATCCTGGCTAACATGGTGAAACCAGGTTGCTACTAAAAAATATAAAAAATTAGCCACGCATGGTGGCAGGCACCTGTAGTCCCAGCTACTCGGGAGGTTGAGGCAAGAGAATGGCATGAACCCGGCAGGCAGAGCTTGCAGTGAGCCAAGATCATGCCACTGCACTCCAGCCTGGGCAACAGAGCCAAGACTCTGTCTCAAAAAAAAAAAAAAAAAAGGTACAATCACCCCTGGGAATCTGTGGATAACAAAATCCAAGGATGCTTAAGTCCCAGATATAAAATGGCACAGCATTTGCATATCACCTTCACACATCCTCCTGTATACTTTAAATCATCTCTAGATTACTTATAATACCTAATACAATGGAAATGCTATTCAATAGTTGTTCTGCTGTATTGTTTGGGGTTTTGGGGGGGTTTTTGGTTTTTTGGGTTTTTTTGTTTTGTTTTGTTTTGTTTTCGTGGCAGAGTCTCGCCCTGTCACCCAGGCTGGCGTGCAGTGGTGCGATCTTGGCTCACTGAAACCTCTGTCTCCCAGGTTCAAGCGATTCTCCTGCCTCCGCCTCCCGAGTAGCTGGGATTATAGGCGCATGCCACCACGCCTGGCTAATTTTTGTATTTTTAATAGAGATGGATTTTGCCATGTTGGCCAGGCTGATCTCAAACTCCTGACCTCAGGTGATCTGCCCAATTCGGCCTCCCAAAGTGCTGGGATTACAGGCGTGAGCCACCGGGCCCGGCCTGTGTTGTTTTTTATTTCTATATATTTTTTAACATTTTGATCTGTAGTTGCTTGGAACTGCAGACATGGAACCCACAGATACGGAATACTGACTGTCTTCAAGGTGATAGACATGTTCATTACCGTGATATAATCATTCCACAATGTATTCATAGTCCAAAACATCACATGGTATCCCATAAATATATATAATTACTAGTTGTCAAACTAAAAGTAACAATGTAAATTTTAAAAATAAATTCAAATAAACAAAAAATAACATCAGTGGGTATTATATCAGAATATCAGAAAAGCAGGTGCTATGGGCCTGACGTGGGATGTGCTGGGCTTTGGGAGTTCACAGGGGTCTGGGAAGGTTATGTCACTGAGGGGCCCACAGCGCAGAGGATAGCAGGTCCTGGCAGAAGCCTCGGCGTGTGTTGGATGTGAAGCAGAGAAGAGATGCAATCTGGCTGAGCATTTCACCAGACTCAGCCTGACTGCTGTGTTGAAAGTGAAAAGAGACAAGCTAAGAGGCTTTGGCAATGAACCAGGGAGGGCTGGGGTGGTGACACCTTCCCTCTCCTCCAGCCTCTGAGGTCCTTATCTGTCCTGCTACCAGCAGCTCATGGCCTTGCCTCCTCTACAGAGAAAGTCACAGCTGCAAGACAGGCACACCGTCAAGTGCCCCCCACCATGCCCACCCCTCTGGCACATGCAGGCCTCTGGGCCTCTCCCTGAGGTCCCAGCAGAGGCCACACTCCTTCTCCAGCTCACCCCTCCCCAACAGCTCAGGAGTTAACCACCCCCACAGTCATGCCTCTCCCTGTTTCCTCTTCCCACTCACATTCAGGCAGCATCAAATATGCCCGAGCCCCTTAGAAGGTTTCCCCAGCAACCCAGCATCCTCCCCGAATCAGGCTCTACTCTCTCCTCCCCTGCTCATCGCAAAAGGACTTCTGGAAATGAAAGTGTGGCACACATTCACCGTCTCCATCTCCCATGGCTGCCCACTCCTGGGCTTCCACCTGCCACTACTCCTGCGGAACAAGATCAGACAAGATCTCCACGGACCTTCAGGTGCCAACCCTCACTGCCCCTTTGGCGTCTTGAGCAGATGGGCCTGTTAGCAACATCCAGCCTCGCTAACCAGCCCTTCTGCTTGGGAAATTCCTCTTCTTCGGCTTCCCTAAGTTTTCTGGATTTCCGGGGCCCTCTGCCTTCCCAGCCTGTCTCCTTTCTGATCATGTTATATCCCAGTTTGCCCCACCCCTAGTGCAGGACTAAGCAAACTTCATCCCACACTCAGCTTCTCATCTTCAGCCCGGAAGCCTCTCGGAGTGCCCGTGGGTTGCAACTGCCCTAATTCAACAAAAACTTACAGTGTGTCGTCTGACAGGCACCTCGCAGTCAGCATGTTAAGACTCTCCTGCCCCAGCCGAGCTGGCATCAGCCAGCATTCCACGTGCAGGGACCTGCCCACAGTGCACACAGCGGCACAAGCCAGGCCCCTGGAAGTCCCCCTAGTGCTCTTCTCTCCCCGCTGCCACAGCATCGCAGGGTCCTTCCAGATAGTATTCAGATCTATACACTTTTTTTTTTTTTTTTTTTTTTTTGAGATGGAGTCTTGCTCTGTCGCCCAGGCTGGAGTGCAGTGGCACGATATTGGCTCACTGCAAGTTCCACCTCCCGGGTTCACGCCATTCTCCTACCTCAGCCTCCCGAGTAGCTGGGATTGCAGGTGCCCGCCACCACGTGTGGCTACTTTTTTTGTATTTTTAGTAGAGACGGGGTTTCACTGCGTTAGCCAGTGAAACCCAAAATTATTACTCTAACTTTCCCCTGCCTTCCTGTGTAAAACCTGACCATAAAGAAATTATCCCAGGCCAGGTGCGGTGGCTCACGCCTGTAATCCCAGCACTTTGGAAGGCCGAGGCGAGTGAATCGCCTGAGGTCAGGAGTTCAAGACCAGCCTGACCAACATGGTGAAACCCCGTCTCTATTTACTAAAAAAATACCAAATTAGCTGGGTGCGGTGGCACATGCCTGTAATCCCAGCTACTTGGGAGGCTGAGGCAGGAGAATCACTTGAATCCAGGAGGCAGAGGTTGCAGTGAGCCGAGATCACGCCACTGCACTCCAGCCTGGGCAACAAGAGCAAAACTCCATTTCAAAAAAAAAAATAATAAATTATCCAAACTACCTTGTTTGATTGCAAGTCACAAAGCTCCCATTCCAGAGCGGGCCTGCCTTGTACCAGAAGGAAAGAAGGCTGCACAGAGGGGCGAAGATGAATCCAGACAGACTCGCCTTGCTGGGCCTCCCCAAGCAGTCTATCGGTGTTCGATCAGACCCTTTTCATCCCATCCTATTCCCATGTGGCTGTCCGTACCTTGTTGAACCTAAGCATAAACTGGCCAGTCTCTCGTGTCTCTGGGTCTTCATTCTGAAGGCTCCCATGTCATGTAAAACTATGACCAACACAGGTGTGTGCCGTGTCTCCTATGAGTCTGTCTTTGCCCAGCTGGTTTTCAGTGAACCCTCAGAGGGGGAAAGGGAAGCTCTTCCTTGGACCCTACGCCCTCTGGAACTAGGTCGGCTCTATTCAGAGTCCTCTCTCTGTCATCACCCTACACTTCTCTGTCATAGCACTGATCGTATCACAATCAGACAAATGTTTGGGTAATTACGTGCTTGTGTCTGTCTTCCATGCTAGAATGCTAGACTTGTCTTCCAAGTGACAATGCTTAGCATCGAGCTGATGTGCGCAAGCTGTCTGTGGTTGAGCGGCTGCCTCCTGAGGACAGGGACTGCTGACGCCGGCTCTGTGTGTAGCGCCTACACAGCACTGTACCCATGGGAGACGCTCAAAAAATATCTGCTGAATGAAGATATTAACAACTTTCTTTTTGTGTGATACAGGGTCTCATTCTGTTGCTGCCCAAGCTGGAGTGCAGTGGTGCCATCATGGCTCATCACAGCCTCAACTTCCCTGGGCTCAAGTGATCCTCCTGCCTCAGCCTTCTGAGTAGCTGGGACCACTATGCTCAGCTAATTGGTGTATGTTTTGTAGAGATGGGGTTTCACCATGTAGCCCAGGCTGGTCTCAAACTTCGGAACTCAAGCAATCTGCCTGCCTCAGCCTCCCAACGTGTTGGGATTACAAGAGTGAGCCACAGCGCCCAGCAACAACTTTCAATGGCTATCTTTGTGGTTTTTTTTTTTTTTTTTTTGAGACAGAGTCTCACTCTGTCACCCAGGCTGGACTGCAGTGGCGCAATCTTGGCTCATTGCAGCCTCCACCTCCCAGGCTCAAGCAGTTCTCCTGTGTCAGCCTCCTGAGTAGCTGAGATTACAGGCATGCACCACTATGCCCAGCTAATTTTTGTATTTTTAGTAGAGACAGGGTTTCACCATGTTAGCCAGGCTGGTCTCAAACTCCTGACCTCAAGTGACCTGCCTGCCTCAGCCTCCCAAAATGCTGGGATCAAAGGCGTGAGCCACCGCGGCTGGCCTCAATGGCTATCTTTGGACGTGGAAAAATTAGTAACAAGATCTTCAAAAAACAAACAAAACCAAGGAAGGCAGAAAAAATAAAATAGCCTCCTTGTCTGAACTTCATCTGCATTCACACTTTCCTTTGACTCCTCAAAAGAAAATCTAGAAAACCTGAAAACTTTTCCTCATACTTTTTTTTTCTTCCCAAATGCTTGACACAGAGAATTCAGAATGATGCGGCCAGAAAGTAGCCGGGCCTGGAAGGGAAAGTACTGCCTTGGATGCAAAGGATGTTTGCATTTCTTCCTTCGCTTTCTCTCCTTTCTGGTCCGTGTCCTGTAGTGCTCCGATCTGCCCCCATTATCTAAAATGCTTCCCATTCCGACAAACACACCTTTGCACTCTCCGTTCCAGATGGAGAAACACAACAAACACACAGTCACCACCCCGCTGCACCAAGTCCAGCTATGAGTGTGACAACATTTGCCATCATTCTGATGTCAACACACTCCTGGCTGGACTGAACTGCCCCTTGGGCTTCCCTGCTCTGGGCCGAGGAGGACCAAATGCTCTATTTTGTTCTCTTCCCGAGACCATCTTCACGCATTTCCCCAGTACCCTTGGCAGCTCTGCAGACAATACCCTAGGCATGCAACTCAGTTATCTAGTGAATATCTGATATCAAGATGTAGAGCACGGGTCAGAAGGCCTTTCCTGGAAGCAGACAGAGAGGAAATACCTTTGGGTTCGTGGGTCAGAGGGCCTCTGTTCTAACTACTCCATTCTGCCCCTGAGAAGCAAAAGCAGAAATGTGAACAACACGTAAGCGTATAATAGTATAGCTGGGGCCACTACAACTTTATTTACAAAACTGGCAGGGAGGCTGCGTTTCACCCCGGGCAGGCAGCAGTTTGTCGCCCTGGTTTTAGAAGATGATTTCAGTGTTTCCAAGGACTAGCCTCCTGTTTTAGCATAACGGGGGGCACCCTTTGAAACAACTCCACAACTTACTCTCGGCGTGAATATTTTTTACATCCACTCCTTGTGCAGTTTATCCCCCTCCACAGGTGACATGAACTTGGTTCTCTAGGTGTCAGACTCTATTTTTTCACTTACCAGAGCTGCTTTTAATTTTGAACTTCACCGTTAGAAACTGACCTAGACCAATTTCCCCGGTTCCGTGAGGACGGCCTGGCTCTCCTGGCAAATGTTCATTCTCAGGGGATCAGAGGGGGGTGGGGACCCTTCTGACCTCTTCCTTCCAACCTCACCACCAGGTGTGCCCTACAATGAGAGGAACTCTCACTCCAGATTCAGCCACACACACACAAAACGGTCTATTCTGCTGGGCTGCAGAACTCTCTGTGTTCTCCAAGCACCCTGCCCGAAGGATCGAGTCCACACTGGACCATACTGGCAGCCACACTAGCCAATCTAGTTAAGCCAGATGACAGAGGGTTATGGCAGGGATGCAAGACCAAATAGAGCTGGCAACCCCTCAAGGGCTGCCCAGCAGGTGAGGGCTCCCTGACTTCTTGGTCAAAAGCCTGTGTCGTCTTCCCAGTGAACCACATATCTTAGACACTACTAATTTCTTTTTGTTGAGACGGAGTCTCACTCTGTCACCCAGGCTGGAGTGCAGTGGTACAATCTCGGCTCACTGCAACCTCTGCCACCTGGGTTCAAGCGATTCTCCTGCCTCAGCCTCCCGAGTAGCTGGGACTACAGGTGCCAGCCAACACGCCTGGCTAATTTTTGTATTTTCAGTAGAGATGGGGTTTTACCATGTTGGCCAGGCTGGTCTTGAACTCCTGACCTCAGGTGATCTGCCCGCCTCGGCCTCCCAAAGTGTTGGGATTACAGGCGTGAGCCACCGCGCCAGCCTAATTTCTGAAATGCTTTATGCTAATGAACAAATCTTCTGACGTGGGTTGCTAATGTTACATTGCTTAGGAGACATCTCTAGAGTGTAGGTGCCACATTAGGGTATTCAGAATACTCGCTAGCAGCTCACAGGTTATACTTAAAGGAAACTTACACACCCTGAACACTTTATACTGAAGAATATTTAACGTGACACACAGACAATACGACATCAATTCTCAAGTTATTGATCCCCCAGATTTTTTGCCCAAGAAACACATTATTCCATTCTGTCACCTACATCTTCTAAAAAACTACTAGACAGCAGAAGCTTTAGATTTTCCTGTCTTTTTTTCCCAGTATTTTCCCTCTATCATGAAGGAAATCACAGGTTTTTCTCTCCTTCATTCCCCACACTCAACTGCCAAGTCCTGTTCATTTTACTTCTTAAATATGCCAAACCCAAATACATACATGATTTTCAACTACACACAAATCTCATGGCCTTTCATGGTGCAATCCTGTTTTTGGCACAAAACTGAAGGTGTCGCGTGGCCCTGTCTCCCTCTCCAGCCACATCTCCTGACCCCACCTAGAGAAGGGTTCATCAGCAAAGCCCTGTTCACATGTGGAGCAGGGTCACTCTTGGGGAGGGGCTGCCCTGTGCACTACAGGGTGTGGAGTGGCGTCCCACTCAATGCCAGTAGCCCCCAACACTAGTGGTGACAGCGAAGTATGTCTCCAGACCTTGCCCAACGGCCCTGGGGGCAAAATGGCTCCCCCTCCTCGGCACATCCTCTGTGCCCCATGCTCTTCCGGAGGCAGAGTCGCTGATCTACAGGATTCTGTGCTGTGAAGGCTGCGTGACTCTCAGCTCTGGAAGAGATGGTCTCTTCCCATCCCATTGGTTGACGCTCTGCCTAAGACGCCTCCCCCTCCGTTCTCCCACCTTGCTAACTAAGGCCCATTATGCTGATTAATAGCTCACAACTGTTGTTGATGAAAAGAGTCAAACTCTGTAAAATATTAAGAGATTTATTCTGAGCCAAATATGAGTGACCATGGCCTGTGACACAGCCCTCAGGAGGTCCTGAGAACATGTGCCCAAGGAGGTCGAGGTACAGCTTGGTTTTACACATTTTAGGGAGGCATGAGACATCAATCAAATACATTTAAGAAATACATTGGTTTGGTTCAGAAAGGCAGGACAACTCAAAGCATGGGGGTTGCGGGGAGGAAGGGCAGTTCCAAGCTATAGGTCAATTTAAACATTTTCTGGCTGACAATTGGTTGAGGCTTGTCTTAAGACCTGGGATCCATAGAAAGGAAATGTTCAAGTTAAGATAAAAGACTGTGGAGACCAACGTTCCTTTGAAGTCTTACGGTGGCTGCCCTTAGAAACAATAAATGACAAATTTTTCCTCTTCAGATCTTTAAAAGGTGCTAGACTTTTAGTTAATCTCTTCAGGATTGGGAGGGCATGGAAGAAAAAGATCTAGCTATGTTAATGGAGATTTTTTTTTTTTTTTTGAGACTGAGTCCCCCTCTGTTGCCCAGGCTGGAGTGCAATGGTGTGATCTCAGCTCACTGCAACCTCTGCTTCTGGGTTCAAGCAATTCTCCTTCCTCAGCCACCCAAGTAGCTGGGATTACAGGTGTGTGCCACCACGCCCAGCTAATTTTGGTATTTTTAGTAGAGACGGGGTTTCACCATGTTGGCCAGGATGGTCTCCAATGCCTGACCTCAAGTGATCCACCTGCCTTGGCCTCCCAAAGTGTTGTGATTACAGACGTGAGCCACCAGGCCCGGCAGAAATTCTTTACAGATGCAGATTTTCCTCCCACAAAGGATGGCTCTGCAGGGCCATTTCAAGATATGGCACAGAAGCATGTTTTGGGGTTAAATATTTTGATTTTTTTTCTTGTCTCATAATGTTATGCCAGAGTCAGACTGGAAGGTAAGTCACGATATACAGTGTCAAATAAAACCCATCTGATGGGATTTTATGGTTTGTAGGGCATGACTCCCAGACCCCTTAGACAGGAATTTGGGCAAGATAAAAAAATCAGAGCTTAGTCCTCACTATGTTCCAGACACTGCTTTAAAAACGCTGAAAGTGTATTAACTCTTTTAATTCCATTCACAACCCATATTGGCATCCTCATTATGAAAAAGAACACTGAGCCACAAAGCAAACTTGGTCTGGACCTTGCCATTTTTCAACAGGGAATGGGCTTGGAAGGCACGAGAAGGCTTTCCCTGACCTCTGATCTGGGATCGGTCCCCACCTATATGTCCCCAGAGGATTCTGTGCTTCCCAGGCCAATACATTCATGAGGATTTAGCACCCTTACTTATAGATGGGGTGTTGCTTTACAATGACCAACTTGTGCAAGAATAGAACCCCTTCTTTTTTTCTTTAAATTCAGTCTTACCTAATTCTGACCTCCTATTCTGCCAGGCTGATGGGAACTCCAGATTTACGTATTTGGGGAACTCCTTCACCAAGTGTCCAGGGTCAGTTGAAGGTGGTCTCCGGGGTCTTTGGCAGAGATTTTGGAGGAGAACATCCAGTCCTCACTGCTCATTGCTGATTAGATCACAGGGACTCTCAGTCACCAAGGGAACCTCCCTCCCCGCCCGTCCAGGACACCAGCATCATTTCCTCAAGGAGACTAAGCTTTCACAAGGCAGAAGATGTCTTCAAGCAACTTCTGCTTTTTTCTTTTTCTTCCCCCAGCAATCCTTCCTGAGGTGAAGGACAACAAACGCCTGGTCTGAATAAACATCAAAGCCTGAATAGCAGCCTTTATTCTGCTTCTGCACAGCCAGGAAAAGAAAGAACGAAGTGACTAAATGGCCCTCCACTCCAGTTTAGCTGAAGTCAACCTTCTGCATAAACCCTGCCCGCCTCCTTCCCCTTTGTAGCCCCAAGGCCTAGCAAGACAGGCACTTTCAAAAGTGCACCACCAACAGAATGATGGGGGAGTGAATCTCAGGACGGCAGCTAACATAGTTATTTTTTCTATTAATTCACCTCTGAGTTGGGACAAAAGTAACGTGACCTTGTGGGTGGATGTGAGTTTGGGCCCTTGGAAGATGTGGGTTTACAGCTCAAGTTAGGAGCAAAATATTAAATAACAGGTAATATTTCCTTTTTGCCTGAAGCTTCTAACTCTGTGCCCGTTCAGGTTCTTCGGTCACTCAACATTGTTTTTGATTTTCTTTTCTGTTTTTGAAACGGAGTCTTCTCTGTCTCCCAGGCTGTTGTGCAGTGGCGCCATCTTGGCTCATGCAACCTCCGCCTTGCAGGTCAAGCGATTCTTGAGCCTCTGCCTCCCGAGAAGCTGGGATTACAGGTCTGTGCCACCACAGCTGGCTAATTTTTTTATTTTTAGCAGAGATGGGGTTTCACCATCTTTTTTTGTTTTCTTGTTTTTTTTAGTGGTAATTACTTCTTAAGCACAAAGTGTTTTCCCCACCACATGTACAAGCCAGATTTGGCCTCTCTCTCTGACTCATTTCCTAGCACTGGCCCCAAACTCTCTATAGTCCAGTGACCCTGGCTGCCTTTCTGCTTCTCACACAGCTCAGGACCTGTGTTCTCACCATTATTCCTTCCTGGGACCATCCCTCCAGATCTCAGTGACAGCCTCTTTTCGGTCTTAGCTTCAATGTCATCTCCGGAGACAGCCTCCCAGACCACATTCTCTAAAGCATCTCAGCCATCATCATGCCTCTCAATCACTTTATCTAGTTTTGTCAGAGGCGTCTGAACCAGAGTAACTCAGTCTTGAATAAGGGCTGGGTAAAATGAGGTTAAGACCTACTGGGCTGCAATCACAGATGGTTAAGGCATTCTAAGTCACAGAATGAGATAGGAGGTCGGCACAAGATACAAGGTGATAAAGACCTTGCTGATAAAACAGGATGCAGTAAAGAAGCCAGCCAAGACCGACCAAAACCAAGATGGCAACGAGAGCGACCTCTGGCTGTCCTCACTGCTACACTCCCATCGGCACCATGACAGTTTGCAAATGCATGGAAATGCCAGGAAGTTACCCTATATGTTCTGGAAAGGGGAGGTGTGAATAATCCACTCCTTGTTTAGCATATCATCAAGAAATAACCATAAAAATGGACAACCAAGGCCAGGCGAAGTTGCTCATGCCTGTAATCCTAGCACTTTGGGAGGCCAAGACCAAAGGATCACGTGAGGTCAGGAGTTCGAGACCAGCCTGGCCAACATGGTGAAACCCTGTCTCTACTAAAAATACAAAAATCAGCTGGGTGTGGTGGCAGGCGCCTGTAATCCCAGCTACTCCGGAAGGTAAGGCAGGAGAATCGCTGGAACCGGGGGGCAGAGGTTGCAGTGAGCTGAGACCCCGCCATTGCACTCCAGCCTGGGCGAAAGAATGAAGCTTTGTCTCAAAAAAAAAAAAAAAAAAAAAAAAGGCAACCAGCAGCCCTTGGGGCTGCTCTGTCTATGGAGTAGCCAGTCTTTTATTTTTTTACTTTCTTAATAAACTTGCTTTCACTTTAAGGACTCGCCCTGAATTCTTGCTTGTGCAAGATCCAAGAACCCTCTATCGGGTTCTGGATCAGGACCTCTTTCCGTTAACAGTTTTGTTTTATTTTTTAGAGTTTTGATCTGCCACCCAGGCTGGAGTTCAGTGGTGCAATGTCACTTCGCTGCAGCCTCAACCTCCTGGGCTCAACTGATCCTCCTGCCTCAGCCTCCTGAGTAGCTAGGACCACAGGCATGCACACACCACATCAGCTAATTTTTAAATTTTTTTTTGTAGAGATGAGGGTTTCACCATGTTGCCCATGCTGGTCTTTAACTCCTGGGCTCAAGCAATCCTCCCATCTCAGCCTCCCAAAGTGCTGGGATTACAGGCTTGAGCCGCCATGAAAGCCTGCCCTAGGTTTTTTGTTTTTTTTGTTGTTGTTGTTGTTTTTTTTTTTTTTTTTTTTAGATGGAGTCTGGCTCTGTCACCCAGGCTAGAGTGCAGTGGCGTGATCCCAGATCAATTGGCTCACTGCAACAGCTGCCTCCCAGGTTCAAGCGATTCTCCTGCCTCAGCCTCCTAGTTTTGCTTTCTTAATAGCACTAATCCCTATGTGAAATCACCTCCTTCATTCCTCTCCCATACTGGGATGCTGGTTCATCCAACAGAGCCAGGAACACAAAGGGCTCCTCACTGCTAAACCCAAGCAGAGCATCACTGACCTATTTAATAGAAACCTGCACCATGAAACCTGAGTGTAAATTTTCCAGCAAATTTCAGAAAACTGATGGATCCTCTCTTGGTCATTTCTGCTTATGATCTTTAGGAGAAATTAGCTGAAAGGGACATGAAAGTGTTGGTGGAGTCTCAATTGCTCATTTTAATGATGAGGAGGCCGGGCACAGTGGCTCATACCTGTAAACCCAGCACTGTGGGAGGCCGAGGCAGGCGGATCACCTGAGGGCAGGAGTTCGAGACCAACCTGGCCAACATGGTGAAACCCTGTCTCTATTAAAAATACAAAAATCAGCCGGGCGTGGTGGTGCACACCTGTAATCCCAACTACTTGGGAGGCTGAGGCAGGAGAATGCTTGAATCCAGGAGGCGGAGGTTGCAGTGAGCCCAGATTGCGCCACTGCACTCCAGCCTGGGTGACACAGCGAGACTCCATTTCAAAAAAATAAATTGATGGGGAAACAGGCCCACAGAAGGGAAGTAAATCGGGAAATTTCATGAAGCAAGTCCGCTTTTACACACACACACACACACACACACACACACACACACACACACACGGCTTCTGTTAAGCTGCAGGCTCTAATCCTGGCACTTCCCAGGCTTCGCCTCAAGGAATATGTTTATCCGGCTAATACAGGCCGAGCGCCCGCTGTGCGGGTGGGAGGCGGCGGGATTAACGCGGCGGCCCCTCCCCGGGCCCCCGCCGGGCTTGCGTTCCAGCGACCAGAACACAGACCAACAAGTAAACAAATAAGACAAAGGCAGAAAAAGATGAGTGTGAAGGAGCTAACCAGCCAGGAAGACGAGAATAGACAGGGCAGAGGGGAGGTGGGAAAGGGACTTCGGGGACAGGACCCCGGACGCCGGCACACAGCCGAGACCCGATCCGCGAGGGCAGGGCTGGCACCGCGGTCCCCGGCCTGGAAACGCGCCCCCGCCGGGAGCTCCGCGGACCCCGCTGCGCATCCCTGCGGATCCTGCTCCCATCCTGCTTCTGCAGCGAGGCCTTCCCGGGCCCCTCCACGACAGGCTCCGGGCCTGTTCACCTGCTCAGTCCCCTCCGGAGAGCGCGAGGCCAATGCGCCGGCCGCACGGAGACCCGGGGACACGCGCGCCACGCAGAAGGCACCGACCCCCGCGCGCCCGGCAGGCGGCACCGGCCCATCCGTTTGTGCGCGCGGCTCGGGACGGCCCCGGCGCGGCTGGAGGGGGCCTGGCTGAGCGCCCCGCGTCCCCGGGTCCCGCGTCCCCGCCCCCCGGCCCCCGGCCCAGGCTTCGTAGGCCCCGGCGCCCTGCACCTACCGAACGCGCTGGGCCGTGACCGCGTTGCCGGTGTGTGGCCGCAGCACCGCCAGGAACAGGAGCCGCATGCCGCCGCCGCCGCCCGGGCCATCGACCGGCCCCGCCGCCGCCGACCAGGCCCCGGGGCCGGCGCAGACGCGGACGGCGGGGGAGCCGGGGCGGCTGGGTCTGTCCCGCCCGCCCCTCCCCGAGGCCGCGCCCCAGCTCGCAGGTTCCGGCGCCAGGCGGGGAGGGGGACAGGAACCGGGGGCCTCGGGCGGCGCGAGCCCTGGGTGCGGGGTGGCGCGGGTGTGCCCCGTGGGGTCCATCACCAGGGTAGCCGCGGTCTGTTTCCACCTGGACCAGGACCAGCGGTGACCACAGTCCCTTCCACGGGGACCAGGACCATCGGTGACCACAGTCCCTCACACGGGGACCAGGACCAGCGGTGACCACAGTCCCTCCCAAGAGGACTAGGACCAGCAGTGACCACGTTCCCTTCCACAGGGAACAGGCAGCGGTGACCACAGACCATTCTCACGGGGACCAGGACCAGCGGTGACCACAGTCCCTCCCAAGGGGACCAGGACCAGCGGTGACCACAGTCCCTTCCCACAGTGACCAGGACCAGGGGCGGCCTTGGTCCTTTCCCACAGGGAACAGGAGCAGGGGTGGCCATGGTCCGCTCCCATGGAAACCAGTGATGGCTTCCATGGGCTTCATTGGGAAATCAGGGCTTCACGGAACACCGGGTTGGCTGCAGGTCTGTGCCCACCGGGACCAGCAGAGACCTCGGGTTCCGTCCCACAGGGTGCTGCAGAGAGGGGCTCTCAGCCTCATTTTCCATGACAACCTGAGTGGGGCCTTGGTCCGCACGAAGCCCAGGATTCCTTTCTAGTCCCATTCCAGGGAACGTGGCATGATCAGTCCCAAATTCCTTCCCAGGCTAGACTACCCTAAAACTAACCCGAGGAGGGGAACATGGGGACTGTGTGAGGAGACAGTAGAAACCCATTTCAGGGCCGCACCTGTCGGGTGAGAAAGATGTTGGAGAGGGGAACCTGGGGTTCATCAGGGTACATGGGCTGCACCTGGTCTGGATCTCCAAACTAGGATACCTTGAGTGAGAGAAATAGGGAACTGAAGGAGGCCTCTGGCAAAATGCCATCTGTGGATTTAAACAAGCACTCCCCAAAACAGCTGTTAAGTGTTTACAAAGATGCACATGTATTTACAGATGTGGGACATTCTAGTGGGTGCCCAATATTTCCATTGACCTTCAAACTTGATTTTCTGTCATCCCCTAAATACCTTCCAGCCTCAAAAAGGTAAAGTGGGAATGAAGAAAGCCATGACATGGGATAACCACCGTCAGTGGCAGGTCTCCGGCCTCCCTACGCAGCATGGTGACCCCCAGGCTTATCAAGATATAAAAGTCCATCCTGGAGGGCACATTCGGCTCCGCAGGCTTCTCCCAGGTACGTCCACCACTCTGCCTCTCAGTGTGGCATGGAGTAGGGAAGAGTTGTATATCATTGTAGAACAATCAAAATCCTGTCCTCCTCTCACTCTCAAAAAAACACCCAGGATTTTGCTCTTCTTCCTGGTATTTCAGCTTCCCAGGCACCAGGCAGGCAGGCCACATCCTTTTTAAAGGACAAAAGCGATCTGAAAATATTATCATTCTGCTAAACAACTTAATACTTTCCAACAGAATTACATAAGCAAACAGGAAAGGGGACAAGTTGCACAGAGCTGTCACAACCCCCTTCTAACGACATTTTAGAAAAAGAGTTTTGACCCCGGGCACGGCGGCTGACTCCTATAATTCCAGCACTTTGGGAGGCCGAGGTGGGTGGATCACTTGAGGCCAGGAGTTCAAGACCAGTCTGGCCAACATGGCAAAACCCCGTCTCTACCAAAAATAGAAAAATAGATGGGCATGGTGGTACAAGCCTGTAGTCCTAGGTACTTGGGAGGCTGAGGCATGAGAATCATTTGAACCCAGGAGGCGGAGGTTGCAGTGAGCCGCGATCATGCCACTGCGCTCCAGCCTAGGCAGTAAAGCAAGACTCAGTGTTAAATAAATAAATAAGTTTTGAGTGGACTCCTGATATATTTGCTACACACCAAGAAGAGGCAATAAAACGCAGTGTCTGGTGTGGTATACAGAAGTAGAGGGGGGCACTTGCCCATGATCTTCCCCTATTTCACCTTGCCCATGGGATATTAAAAGCTAAATGTGAACAGATACATTTCTGATTTTACAAAGGCGACTTCAGCATGAGCCCAGAAAGGAACCTCCCTAAGGAGAGTTGAACTGGCAGCCTTGTGGGCTCAATATCATCCTTAGATGTATTTAGGCTACACCGTGTTTTTCATAAAAGCTGAGCTATTATTTTTTGTTTGTTTTGAGACAGTGTCACTCTGTCATCCAGGCTGGGGGTGCCGTGGTGTGATTATGGATCACTCCAGCTTCCACCTCCTGGGCTCAAGTGATCCTCCCATCTCAGCCTTCCAAAAAAGTAGCTGGAACCATAGATGTGCACCACCATGCTGGGCTAATTTTTTGTATTTTTTGTAGAAGTGGGGTCTCACTATGTTGTCCAGGCTGGTCTTGAGCTCCTGGGCTCAAGCAGTCAACTCACCTCAGCCTCCCAGAGTACTGGAATTACAGGCGTGAGCCACTATACCTGGCCAAGCCACCATTTTTTAATTGGGAGCTTTCATATAGAAGTTGGAATTTCTGATATCTGTTAAAAAATGAGAGATCTGATTAAATGAAGCCACCATCCTGTGGCTGACTGAAGCTGGGAAGCAGCTGCCTGCTTAAGATGAAATCTGAATGTGCCATTTCACACAGTGCTTGAAGGCTCACTTCAATTCCTTGATAACCTCGATCTGTATTCTTGTGTTTAGAAAAAATTTGAAGTTTATTTTTACGTAAATTAAGTTCAGAAGAAGGTGGCCCAAGCCTAATATAGTGGCTGTACCATCACCAGGAACCCAGACTTTCCTCTGTCTACTCCATCATGCTAGTGTTTAGCTTCTAGTCTCAAGATCACCTTATCAAGGAATTGATAAGGAGTAGGACTGCTACAGCTCCACCCATCACATCAACATTCCAGGCAGCAGGAAGGAAGGAAAGGCAAAAGTGGTGCACTCCAGATGGTGTATTTTATTTTAAAGTGTCTTCCTAAAAATGCAAACAGCCCTATGCCTTTATTGTGTTGGCCACGTGGCCATTTCTTGCATCCAAGGAGGCTAAGACATGCGGTCTATTAACTGGGTACACTGCCACCTAAATACAATCGTGGTTACTAAAGAAAAGTGGCAGAATAGGTTTGCAGTAAGTCACCTCTGCCATAGCAATCTAAATTAATAGATTAAAAGAGGAAATGGCAGAGGCATTTGAATCAGAGCAACTCCCTCTTGAATAGGGGCTGGGTAAAATGAGGCTGAGACCCGCTGGGCTGCCTCCCAGGAGGTTAAGGCATTCTAAGTGACAGGATGAGATAGGAGGTCGGTACAAGATACAGGCCACAAAGATCTTGCTGATAAAACAGTTTGCAGTAAAGAAGCCGGCCAAAACCCACCAAAACCAAGATGGCAATGAAAGTGACCTCTGGTTGTCCTCAACTGCTACACTCTCACTAGCGCCATGACAGTTTAGGAATGCCATGGCAACGTCAGGAAGTTACCCTATATGGTCTAAACAGGGGAGGCATGAATAATCCACCCCTTGTTTAGCATATCATCAAGAAATCACCATAAAAATGGGCAACCAGCAGCCCTCGGGCTGCTCTGTCTATGGAATAGCCATTCTTTATTCCTTTACTTTCTTAATAAACTTGCTTTCCCTTTACTGTATGGACTCGCCCTGAATTCTTTCTTGTGTGAGATCCAAGAACCTTCTCTTGGGGTCTGAAATAGGACCCCTTTCCGGTAACAGAAATACATATGACCCTCTCAATGGGTGGAATAAGAACATTCAGTAGGATTCAACACTCATTCTTGATGATACAAAAGAAGTAATAAAAGTAAGAAGAAAGAAAGGAACAAAGGAAGGAAGGAGGGATGGGGAGGGAGGCAGGGATGAAAGGAAGGAAGGAATTCAGTAATATAAGAAACTACGAAGAACTTTAAAAACTCTGTTTTTTAAAATCTTGCAGGTAAAAATTGCCTGACTCTGTGATTATCTCTTTTCTAGTCTCTCTACAGCTTATGAGTGGTTGAACCAGATTCAGAACTGCTCTCCAGAGGACTTTTGGAAATTTGGGGATGGAGAAGGAAATTTGTTGTCAGAATGATTAAGGAATGTCGTCAATATTTCACAACTAGGCCCAGAAGTTTTAACACCTTGCAACGTATAGGACATCCCTGCCTAAAGAAAAAATGCTTTTCCCCAAATGCCAGTAGATACCTGTATTAGTCAGGGTTCTCCAAGGAAACAGAACTAATGGGAAATTCATATTCGTAAATGGAGATTTATTATGAGGCATTGGCTCATGTAATCATGAAGGCTGAGAAGAACCCTGATCTGCTGTCTGCCATACGGAGAACCAGGAAAGCTGGTGGTGTAATTCAGTTCCAGTCTGAAGGCCTGAGCAATGGTGTAAATCCCAGTTTGAGGGAGGAGGGGGAATGGTGGGGGTGGTTGCTGAGAAGATGACATGAAATGTGCCCGCTCAAGCAGTGAGGCAGTGGGGAAAATGGAGGGGGGTGGGGAAGGGGGGGCAAATTCCTCTTTCCTCCTCCTTTTTTTCTTGAGAACAGGGTCTTACTCTGTCCCCCAGGTTGGAGTGCAGTGGTAGGATCTCCGCTCACTGCAAACTCCGCCTCCTGGGTTCAAGCAATTCTCTTGCCTCAGCCTCCTGAGTAGCTGGGATAACAGGCACACACCACTATACCCAGATAATTTTTCATTTTTAGTAGACACGGGGCTTCGCCATTTTGGCCAGGGCAGTCTCGAACTCCTGACCTCAAGTGATCCGCAGACCCTCCTCGCCTCCCAAGTGCTGGGATTACAGGCGTGAGCCACCGCACCCAGCCTCCTCCACCTTTTTCGCTCTACTCAGACCTTCAACAGATTGGATGAAGCCCAGCCACACCGGGGAGCGCACTTGCTCAACTCAGTTCACGGACGCAAATCTCATCTGGAAACACCTGCCCAGGTCCACCTTGAAACTACGTCCAATGTGGGCCCCTGATATGGGTTTGGATCTGTGTCCTCGCCCAAATCTCATGTGAAATTGTAGCCCCCAGTGTTGGAGGTGGGGCCTGGTGGGAGGTGGCTGGATCATGGGGGTGGATTTCTCATGAGTGGTTTAGTGCCATCCCCTTCGTTCTGTCTTCATGAGAGTAAGCAAGTTCTCACCAGCTCTGGTAGTTTACAAGTGTGAACTCGCCGCACTCTCTTGCTCCTGCTCCCACCATGTGAGACGCCTCACTGCCCATCTGCCTTCTGCCATGATTGGAAGCTTCCTGAGGCCTCCCCAGAAGCAGAAGCTGCAGTGCTTCCTGTACAGCCTGCAGAATCGCAAGCCAATTCAACCTCTTTTCTTTAAAAACTACCCAGTCTTAGGTATTTTTTTTCTTTTCTTTTTTTTTTTTTTCCTTTTGAGACAAGATCTCACTCAGATGCCCAGGCTGGAATGCAGTGGTACAGTCTCAGCTCACTGCAACCTCCACCTCCTGGGTTCAAGCGATTCTCCTGCCTCAGCGTCCTGAGTAGCTGTGCCACCATGCCCTGCTAATTTTTGTATTTTTAGTAGAGATCACATTTCACTGTGTTGGCCAGGCTGGTCTCGAACTCCCGCCTCAGCCTCCCAAAGTGCTGAGATTACAGGCGTGAGCCACGGCACACAGCTTTCAGGTATTTCTGGTTTTTTTGTTTGTTTGTTTGTTTGTTTGTTTTTGAGATGAGGTCTCGTTTTGTCGCACAGTCTGGAATGCAGTGGTGTGATCTCGGCTCACTGCAGCCTCCGCCTCCCAGGTACAAGTGATTCTCCTGCCTCAGCCTCCCAAGTAGCTGGGATTACAGGCGTGCACCACCACACCCAGCTAATTTAGTATTTTTAGTAGAGACAGGATTTTTTTTTTTTTTTTTTTTTTGAGACGGAGTCTCACTCTGTCGCCCAGGCTGGACTGCAGTGGCGCGATCTCGGCTCACTGCAAGCTCTGCCTCCCAGGTTCACACCATTCTCCTGCCTCAGCCTCCGGAGCAGGTGGGACTACAGGCACCCGCCACCACGCCCAGCTCATTTTTTGTATTTTTAGTAGAGATGGGGTTTCGCCGTGTTAGCCAGGATGATCTCTATCTCCTGACCTCGTGATCCGCCCATCTCAGCCTCCCAAAGTGCTGGGACTACAGGCACCCACCACCACGTCTGGCTATTTTTTAAATATTTTAGTACAGACGGGGTTTCACCATGTTAGCCAGGATGTCTCAATCTCCTGACCTCGTGATCCATCCACCTCGGCCTCCCAGAGTGCTTGGATTACAGGCGTGAGCCACTGTGTCCGGCCACTTTTTTGTTTTCTAAAATGGAAGTAGTTCTTCACCGCTGGGCATGGCCTCCTTCTTCTCCACACTGACCTTTCCCTCCCTCAAGGCTTCCTGGGGCTGCAAAGCAAAGAACCACGAACTTCTCTGTGGCCTAAGCCACGGAAGCTCTGGAAGACAGATGTCTGGGCTCCCGGTGTCACAGAGTGGCCCTTCCTCCGGCTCCGGAGGACAGACGTCCGGGCTCACGGTGTCACAGAGTGGCCCTTCCTCCGGCTCCGGAGGACAGACGTCCGGGCTCACGGTGTCACAAGTGGCCCTTCCTCCGGCTCCAGAGGACAGACGTCCGGCTCACGGTGTCACAGAGTGGCCCTTCCTCCGGCTCTGGAGGACAGACGTCCGGGCTCACGGTGTCACAAGTGGCCCTTCCTCCGGCTCCGGAGGACAGACGTCCGGCTCACGGTGTCACAGAGTGGCCCTTCCTCCGGCTCTGGAGGACAGACGTCCGGGCTCGCGGTGTCACAGAGGGGCCCTTCCTCCGGCTCTGGAGGACAGACGTCCGGGCTCGCGGTGTCACAGAGGGGCCCTTCCTCCGGCTCTGGAGGACAGACGTCCGGGCTCGCGGTGTCACAGAGTGGCCCTTCCTCCGGCTCTGGAGGACAGACGTCCGGGCTCGCGGTGTCAGCAGAGGGTCCCTTCCTCCGGCTCTGGAGGACAGACGTCCGGGCTCGCGGTGTCACAGAGGGGCCCTTCCTCCGGCTCTGGAGGACAGACGTCCGAGCTCGCGGTGTCAGCAGAGTGGCCCTTCCTCCGCCTCTGGAGGACAGACGTCCGAGCTCGCGGTGTCAGCAGAGTGGCCCTTCCTCCGCCTCTGGAGGACAGACGTCCGGGCTCGCGGTGTCAGCAGAGTGGCCCTTCCTCCGCCTCTGGAGGACAGACGTCCGGGCTCGCGGTGTCAGCAGAGTGGCCCTTCCTCCGGCTCTGGAGGACAGACGTCCGGGCTCGCGGTGTCAGCAGAGTGGCCCTTCCTCCGGCTCTGGAGGACAGACGTCCGGGCTCGCGGTGTCACAGAGGGGCCCTTCCTCCGGCTCTGGAGGACAGACGTCCGGGCTCGCGGTGTCACAGAGGGGCCCTTCCTCCGGCTCTGGAGGACAGACGTCCGGGCTCGCGGTGTCAGCAGAGGGGCCCTTCCTCCGGCTCTGGAGGACAGACGTCCGGGCTCGCGGTGTCAGCAGAGTGGCCCTTCCTCCGGCTCTGGAGGACACACGTCCGGGCTCGTGGTGTCACAGAGTGGCCCTTCCTCTGCCTCTGGAGGACAGACGTCCGGGATCGCGGTGTCACAGAGTGGCCCTTCCTCCGCCTCTGGAGGACAGACGTCCGGGATCCCGGTGTCAGCAGAGTGGCCCTTCCTCCGGCTCTGGAGGACAGACGTCCGGGCTCGCGGTGTCACAGAGGGGCCCTTCCTCCGGCTCTGGAGGACAGACGTCCGGGCTCACGGTGTCAGCAGAGGGGCCCTTCCTCCGGCTCTGGAGGACAGACGTCCGGGATCGCGGTGTCAGCAGAGTGGCCCTTCCTCCGGCTCTGGAGGACAGACGTCCGGGCTCGCTGTGTCACAGAGTGGCCCTTCCTCCGGCTCTGGAGGACAGACGTCCGGGCTCCCGGTGTCAGCAGAGTGGCCCTTCCTCCGCCTCTGGAGGACAGATGTCCGGGCTCACGGTGTCACAGAGTGGCCCTTCCTCCGGCTCTGGAGGACAGACTTCCGGGCTCGCGGTGTCACAGAGTGGCCCTTCCTCCGGCTCTGGAAGACAGACGTCCGGGCTCACGGTGTCAGCAGAGTGGCCCTTCCTCCGGCTCTGGAGGACAGACGTCTGGGCTCGCGGTGTCACAGAGTGGCCCTTCCTCCGGCTCTGGAGCACAGACGTCTGGGATCGCAGTGTCAGCAGAGTGGCCCTTCCTCCGGCTCTGGAGGACAGACGTCCGGGCTCGCGGTGTCACAGAGTGGCCCTTCCTCCGGCTCTGGAGGACAGACGTCCGGGCTCGCGGTGTCACAGAGTGGCCCTTCCTCCGGCTCTGGAGGACAGACGTCCGGGATCGCGGTGTCAGCAGAGTGGCCCTTCCTCCGGCTCTGGAGGACAGACGTCCGGGCTCGCGGTGTCACAGAGTGGCCCTTCCTCCGGCTCTGGAGGACAGACGTCCGGGATCGCGGTGTCAGCAGAGTGGCCCTTCCTCCGGCTCTGGAGGACAGACGTCCGGGCTCGCGGTGTCACAGAGTGGCCCTTCCTCCGGCTCTGGAGGACAGACGTCCGGGCTCGCGGTGTCAGCAGAGTGGCCCTTCCTCCGGCTCTGGAGGACAGACGTCCGGGCTCGCGGTGTCACAGAGTGGCCCTTCCTCCGGCTCTGGAGGACAGACGTCCGGGCTCGCGGTGTCAGCAGAGTGGCCCTTCCTCCAGCTCTGGAGGACAGAAGTCTGGGCTCGCGGTGTCACAGAGTGGCCCTTCCTCCGGCTCTGGAGGACAGAAGTCTGGGCTCGCGGTGTCAGCAGAGTGGCCCTTCCTCCGGCTCTGGAGGACAGACGTCTGGGCTCGCGGTGTCACAGAGTGGCCCTTCCTCCGGCTCTGGAAGACAGACATCTGGGATCACGGTGTCAGCAGAGTGGCCCTTCCTCTGGCTCTGGAGGACAGACGTCTGGGATCACGGTGTCAGTAGAGGGGCCCTTCCTCTGGAGCCTCTAGTGGGGAACCTGTTAGTTGCATCTTTTGGCTTCTGGTGGCTGGTGTTTCTTTTTTCTTTTTTCATCTTTTTTTTTTTTTAATTTAATTAGAGACAGGGTCTGCCTGTGTAGCCCAGGCTGGTCTCAAACTCCTGGCCTCAAGCAGTCCTCCTGCTCTGTCCTCACAAAGTGCTGTGGTTACAGGCGTGAGTCATGGGGCCCAGCCTGTTGGTGTTTCCTGACTTGTGGCCCCATCACTGCAGTCTCTGCCTTCAGGGTCACATGGCCTTCTCCTCTGCTGGAGCATCCCCTCCTGTAAGTTTCTTTTTTTTTTTTTTTTTTTTGAGATGGAGCCTAGCTCTGTCACCCAGGCTGGAATGCTGTGGCGGGATCTTGGCTCACTGCAACCTCCACCTCCAGGGTTCAAGCAACTCTCGTGCCTCAGCCCCCCAAGTAGCTGGGACTACCAGTGAGCACCACTACACCTGGCTAATTTTTGTATTTTTAGTAGAGATGAGGTTTCACCATGTTGGCCAGGCTGATCTCAAACTCCTAACCTTAGGTGATCTGCTTGCTTCAGCCTCTCAAAATGCTGGGATTACAGGCGTGGGCCAGCACGCCCAGCCTCCTGTAAGTTTATTGTAAAGGCACTCATCATGTGATTTCGGGCATGCTGGGCAATCTAGGATGATTTCCTCATCTTAAGATCCCTATTTTAGTTACAACAAAAATCACTTTTTCTCATAATGTCACTGTTGTGGTTTGAATGATGGTGTCCTCTCTAAAACTGATGCTGAAACTGAATCCTCAATGCAACAGCATTAAGAGGTGGGGCCTTTAGGTGGTGATTAGGCTATTAGAGCTCTGCCCTCATGGATATGGTTAGTGTCTTATCAAATGTCTTCGGGGGTGAGTTCATTCCTTCTACCTCCTCTGCTATGGAGGATGCAGCGTTCATCCCCTCAAAGGTCTTCGGGGGTGAGCTCATTCCTTCTACCTCCTCTGCTATGGAGGACACAGTGTTCCTCCCCTCTGGAAGATGCTGCAATAAGGCAACATTGTGGAAGCAGAGAGCAGCCTCACCTGCCCCCAGGTCTGCTGCTGCCTTGATCTTGAACTTCCCAGCCTCTAGAACTGTGAGAAATAAATTCCCATTGTTTGAAAATCACCCAGTCTACGGTATTTTGTTACAGCAGCACACATGGACTGAGCACATCCGATTTACAGGTTCTGGGGATTACAGTATGTACATTTCTTTCTTGGGGCCACCCTTCAGACCACCACAAAATCCCTCTTCAAAGATGACTGCATTTTGTTGTTGTTGTTGTTGTTTGTTTTGTTTGTTTGTTTTTTGAGATGACATCTTGCTCAGTCACCCAGTCTGGAGCGCAGTGGTGCAATCTTGGCTCACTGCAACTGTGCCTCCTAGTTTCAAGCAATTCTCCTGCCTCAGCTCCCCAGGTAGCTGGGACTACAGGTGCGCACCACCAGACCCGGCTAATTTTTGTATTTTTAGTAGAGATGAGGTGTCGCTATATTGGCCAGGCTAGTCTCGAACTCCTGGCCTCAAGTGATCCACCCACCTTCCTTGGCCTCCCAAGGTGCTGGGATTACAGGGATGAATCGCCACGCCCAGCCACATCACTGCATTGATGAAGGCCCCCAATCGCCTCATCTGGGACTATTCTTCACCTTCCCTAACCCTGAGGCTCTTTGGCCCTGTCTGCTGTCCTGATCCCGTTCTGCATTTAGCCACGGAGCAGTCAGCCCCTTCCCCTCAACTGGATAGTGACCTCCTCGACAGCCAAGTCATTTGTGCCTATAACCTCGGCTTGCCTGGGACAGTGACATGCCTGGGTAAAGGCAGTCAATCAATGTTTGTTGAGTTTCATCAAATCTTTAAATGTGCACTGTTACAAGATTTTATTCCTATAAGAATGTATTTCTGACTTTTTTGAGATGGCGTCTCACTCTCTCACCCAGGCTGGAGTGCAATGGCTCGATCTCGGCTCTCTGCAACCTCCCCCTCCCAGGTTCAAGCGATTCTCCTGCCTCAGCCTCCCAAGTAGCTGGGATTACAGGCACATGCCACCGTGCACAGCTAATTTTTTGTATTTTTAGTAGAGATGAGGTGTTACCATGTTGGCCAGGCTGGTCTCAAAGTCCTGACCTCAAGTGATCCACCTGTCTCAGCCTCTCAAAGTGCTGGGATTACAGGTGTGAGCCACTGCGCCTGGCCCATTTCTGACTTTTTAATGGGAGTCAGTGTTACAAGGGGATTTGCTGAACTGAAATTCACTTATATTTGGTTGTTCTGGAATACACCTGTTCCACAAGGTAAGATATTCTCACATCTCCTTTGGGACCCATTACTTTACACATTCATGGCTTCAGTTTACCCATTTGTAAAACAAGAAAAAACGATAAACAATATCATAGTTAATTAGTTCTTTTGATGGAGTCTTTTATGATTCTCTCAAGTAGGTAACATAAAAGGGTACAAATGCAATGTGTTATTATGGGATAATGTAGAAATAATTACCGAGGAGGAGAGCAGTAGAACAGAAAAAGTTGTAGACATCTCTCATAAGATTTCTCCAGATGCTTCTAACATAAGGGTCTTACAATAAATGTAAAGCAAAACCTGTTTTTTTCTTTGATCATAGTGTTTGCTCAGACTATTTTTCCAGTTCCTAGCACCAGGGAAAATAAAACTTTATTATCTACCCTGTACAAAAATGATAGCATTTTCAAGAGAAAGCATGGTGGGCATACTGACTTTAGAAGTGGCTCTGTGACAAAAATCAACACAACTTCTCTCCTTTTTTCCTTTAGAGCATTAACAGGAAAGGCACTCTGTTTCTTTGTTTCTATCAGAGTTTTTAGTTTTTGTACCATCATTTCTCCCCATGGTACAGCAAACTATGAATGCTGTGTGTGTGTGTGTGTGTGTGAGAGAGAGAGAGAGAGTGAGAGAGAGAGAGAGAGAGAGAGAGAGAGAGAAAGAGAGAGACAGAGAGAGACACACAGAGAGACAGAGACAGGGACAAGAGACAGAGAGGGGTAAGAAGAGAGGGAGAGAGAGAGAGAGGGAGAGAGAGATACAGGAGACAGACAATGACAGAGAGACAGAGAGGGGGAAAGAGAGGGAGGGTGAGAGATGGAGAGAGAGATAGAGATAGAGAGAGAGAAGAGGAAAAAGAGAGGGAGGAAAGAGAAATCCGCATTTGAATAAAGCAGGTGCATGTGGAATTGTGGTTTCTTTGCCCTAGTTATGTTTCCTTTTCCTGACTTTTATTAATAGCACTTGAAAGTGACCAACTGCAAAAAAAAAAAAATTCTGTTATTCTGGAAGTATCTAGTTCCTGCGAGGGTTGTTTAATGAACATGACGAAGTCAGTCAACCAGAATAAGTGGTTTCTTCCCTTTGAGCTTTTGGCAAGAAGTCGGGGTTTCAATTCCCACTGCTGTTCTGATGACAGTGCAGACCCAATTCTTAACTTTGCAGCACAAAGCCGCTCATCCCAAAGACGGTCGTCCCTGCAAAGGAGACAGTGAGCTTAACAGTGCATGGCACAGCCGTAAGGATCAGAGGTTTACTCAAGGGATGATGGGCTGCATTTGAACAGCTTTCAGTAGCAACCTGTTGTGGGCAGAGACTCGTATTTATTCTTTTAACATTTTAACTTATTTTTATTAAATAATAAGATATGTTTAAGAAATTCAGATAAGCAAAAAACAATTGTAAAAATCACAAGGTTGGGTGCAGTGGCTGACGCCTGTATTCCCAGCAATTTGGGAGGCTGAGGTGGGCGGATCACCTGAGGTTAGGAGTTTAAGACCAGCCTGAACATAGGGAAACCCCGTCTCTACTAAAAATACAAAATTACCTGGATGTGGTGGTGCATGCCTGTAATCCCAGCTACTTGGGAAGCTGAGGCAGGAGAATCATTTGAACCCAGGAGGCGGAGGCTGCAGTGAGCCGAGATCATGCCATTGCACTGCACTCTAGCCTGGGCGACAAGAGCAAAACTCCATTAAAAAAAAAAACTCACACAATTTCGTTTCCCTGAGATAACTACTATGAATATTTTGGCATCAAGTTTTTCCTGACTTGACATACAATCATCGTAATAGTCCACTTTACTGGGTGTGCACCGGGAGCCTAATATTTTTCTAAGCACTGTTCAGTGTCCTTCAATGAATCCTCCCGAATCCTAAACTCTGGGGACTGTTCTCACCATTTCACAGTCGAAGAGCTGGAGACACAGGAAGGTGCGATGCCTCCCAGAGGTAATACAAGCAGTGGAAACGCTACAGTGCTTCTTCAGCGGGGCTGTATGGACACAGCAGGTAATACAGGCAGTGGAAATGCTACGGTGTTTCCTTGGCTCTGCTGTATGGACACAGTAGGTAATACAGGCAGTGGAAACGCTACGGTGTTTCCTTGGCTCTGCTGTATGGACACAGTAGGTAATACAGGCAGTGGAAATGCTACGGTGTTTCCTTGGCTCTGCTGTATGGACACAGCAGGTAATACAGGCGGTGGAAACGCTACGGTGTTTCCTTGGCTCTGCTGTATGGACACAGTATTCTTGTCAGCTCTTGTTCTGTTTTGTTTGTGTTTTTCATTTTTGCTACAAGAAATAGAAACACCCTGTACATTTTGGTATTATGCTCTTTATTACTTAATAATTGTGGTAGGCAAAATTCTAACAGGGCCCGCTAGAGTTCCCAACAATGGTGTACACACACACCTCCTCCCAAATCCATCACATGTCAGTCCAGGGGCTGGCAGGGAGAGAACTTGCAGATGAGACTTGAATCCCCAAATGGGTTGACCTTAAAATAGGAAGGTTACGCAGGATGAGCCTCACTTAATAATTGTCTTCTTGAAAGGACTGAGCATTTCCTCAGGTCAGAAAGATTCAAAGGGTGACTTGATGTCAGGGAGATTCTCTACTGCTCCTCCAAAGATGAAGAGGACAGCGTGATGAGGGAGGCAGGCCGACTCCAGGAACTGAGAGCGGCCCCCAGCCATCAGGCAGCAAGGAAATGGCCCTTCAACCCATCTCCTCGAGGAACTACCTTCTACCACAACCACATGAGCACGAAAGAGAGCCCTGACCTCCCGATGAGATCTCAGCTGGCCAACACTTTGATTGCAGCTTTGTGAGACCCTGGACAGAGAGGCCAGCCATATCAACGCCTAGACTTCCAGCCTCCTGAAGCCTGTGAACTCATCAGTGGGCATTGTTTTAAGCTGCTAAAGTAGTGGTTATTTGCTACGCAGCAATAGAAAATGAATACAATAATATGTCATGAACACTTTTCCAACTCATAATCCTACCTCTGCAGTATCATTTGAATAACGACGTAGCATTCCAGTATATGCATACACTAGAACTGATTTGATCTCTGCCTTGTTGTTGTACGTCTTTGCCATTTCCAATCATTTTGTGATTTTTATGCAACATTGTAATGAACATTTTATTGGTAAGTCTGGGCACACATTCTTTAATTTCTAGAAGTGGAATTGCACATTCAAAGTGTAAGCCAGTAAGTTTTTGATACAAGTGACTAATTGCCCTCCAGAAGAGCTGTGCCGGTTTACTTTCCGTTGGTCATTTATGAGCATATTTATTTCCCAGAACATAGCCAACACGGGCTATTTTTCAGGTCAAGTGACAAACCATGTCTCCTCTTTTTGCATTTTAAAATTATTGGTGTAATTTGCCTTTTTTTTTTCATGAAAGGCATCTGTATTTTTTTCTGTGAGTGTGTATGCTTATATTGGTTCAAACTGTTTTTAAAATTTTTAAATTTTTTATTTTTAACTTGTATGGTACATAGTAGGTATACATATTTAAGGGGCATGTGAAATATTTTGATACAGGCAAGCAATGTGTAGTAATTACATGAGGGTAAATGGGGTCTCCATCACCTTAGGCATTTATCATTTCTTTGTGTTATTAACAATCCAATTATACTCTTTTAATTATTTTAAAATGTAAAATAAATTGTTGTTTATTGCTGTGCTATCAAATACTAGATTTGTTCATGAGTTATTTTCTTTTCTTTTCATTTCTTTTCTTTTTTGAGACGGAGTCTCACTCTGTCTCCCAGACTGGAGTATAGTGGCTCGATCTCGGCTCACTGCAACTTCTGCCTCCTGGGTTTAAGTGATTCTCCTGCCACAGCCTCCTGAGTAGCCGGGATTGCAGGCCCCTGCCACCATGCCCGGATAATTTTTCTATTTTCAGTAGAGACGGGGTTTCACCATGTTAGCCAGGCTGGTCTCAAACTCCTGACCTCAGGTGACCCACCTGCCTCGGCCTCCCACAGTGCTGGGATTACAGGTGTGAGCCATCCTGCCCAGCCAGATTCCTTTATTATCATACACTGAGATTTTTCTTTTTTGCTTTTATTTTTCTTTATTTTATTTTTTTTGAGACTGAGTCTCGCTCTGTCACCCAGGCTAGAGTGCAGTGGCATGATCTCGGCTCACTGCCAGCTCCACTTCTTGGGTTCAAGCCATTCTCCTGCCTCAGCCTCCCCAGTAGCTGGGACTACAGGTGCCCGCCACCACGCCCAGCTAATTTTTTTTTGTATTTTTAGTAGAGACGGGGGTTTCACCGTGTTAGCCAGGATGGTCTCATCTCCTGACCTCATGATCCACCTGCCTCGGCCTCCCAAAGTGCTGGGATTACAGGCGTGAGCCACCGCGCCCGGCCTATTTCTTTATTTTTTTAATTAATTATTATTTTTCTTTTGAGATGGAGTCTCACTCTGTTTCCCAGACTGGAGTACAGTGGCACAATCTTGGCTCACTACTACCTCTATCTCCCAGGCTCAAGCAATTCTCCTGCCTCAGCCTCCTAAGTAGCTGGGACTACAGATGCCTGCCACCCTGCTGTGCAATCAAATACTAGATCATATTCATTCTATCTAACTATATTTTTGTACCCATTAACCATCTCCATTCCTTCCTTTCCCCCTACTACCCTTCCCAGCCTTTGGTAACCATCTTTCTACTGTCTATCTCCATGAGTTCAATTGTTTTAATTTGTAGCCCCCACGAATGAGTGAGAACATGCAAAGTTTATCTTTCTGTGTCTGTCTTATTTCACTTAATATAATGTCCTCCAGTTCTATCCATGTTGTTGCAAATGACAAGATATCATTCTTTTTATGGCTGAACAGTACTCCAGTGTGTATATGTACCACATTATCTTTATACATTCATTTGTTGATGGACACTTAGGTTGATTCCAAATCTTGGCTATTGTGAGCAGTGCTGCAATAGATATGGGAGTGCAAATATCTCTTCGATATACTGATTGTCTTTCATTTGGCTATATATCTAGCAGTGGGATTGCTGGATTATATGATAGCTCTATTTTTAGTTTTGGGAGGAACCTCCAAACTGTTCTCCACACTGGCTGTACGTATCTACATTCCCACCAATGACATACAAGGGTTTCTTTTCCTCCACATTCTCACCAGCATTTGTTATTGCCTGACTTTTGGATAAAAGAAATTTTTTTTTCAAGAAGGAGTCTCACTCTGTCACCCAGGCTGGAATACAGTGGCGTGATCTCAGCTCACTGCAACCTCCACCTCCCGGGTTCAAGCGATTCTCCTGCCTCAGCCTCCTGAGTAGCTGGGACTACAGGCGTGCTCCACCACACCCAGCTAATTTTTTTTTTTTTTTTTTAGTAGAGACGGAGTTTCACCATATTGGCTGCCGAGACCAGCTTGGTTGGGGAGACCCTAACCCAGCAGCACTAGAGGAATTAAAGACACACACACAGGCATGTAGAGGTGTGAAGTGGGAAATCAGGGGTCTCACAGCCTTCAGAGCTGAGAGCCTCGAACAGACATTTACCCACGTATTTATTAACAGCAAGCCAGCCATTAGCATTGTTTCTATAGATATTAAATTCACTAAAAGTATCCCTTATGGGAAACGAAGGGATGGGCCGAATTAAAGGAATAGGTTAGGCTAGTTGACTGCAGCAGGAGCACGTTCTTAAGGCACAGATCGCTCATCCTATTGTTTGTGGCTTAAGAATGCCTTTAAGCGGTTTTCTGCCCTGGGCGGGCCAGGTTTTCCTTGCCCTCATTCCCATAAACCCACAACCTTCCAGCGTGGGCGTTAGGGCCATTGAGAACATGTTACAGTGCTGCAGAGATTTTGTTTATGGCCAGTTTTGGGGCCAGTTTATGGCCAGATTTTGGGGGGCTTGTTCCCAACAATTGGCCAGGCTGCTCTCGAACTCCTGACCTCGTGATCTACCCACCTCGGCCTCCCAAAGTGCTGTGATTACAGGTGTGAGCCACTGCGCTGGCCAAGATGAAAGCCATTTTAACTAGGGTGAGATGATATCTCATTGTAGTTTTGTTTTGTTTGAGACAGGGTCTCACTCTGTCGCCCAGGCTGGAGTGCAGTGGCACGATCTCAACTCACTACAACCTCGGTCTCCCAGGTTCAATCGATCCTCCCACCTCAGCCACCTGAGTGGCTAAAATGACAGGCGCCTGCCACCACGGCCAGCTAATTTTTGTATTTTTAGTAGAGACGGGGTTTCGCCATGTTGGCCAGGCTGGTCTCAAACTCCTGACCTCAAGTGATCTGGCTGCATCCGCCTCCCAAAGTGCCAGGATTACAGGCATGAGCTACCACACCCGGCCTCATTGTAGTTTTGATTTGCAGTTCTCTGAGGATCGATGATGTTGGGCACCTTTTTGTAACCTCTTCGCCATTTGTGTGTCTTCTCTTGAGAAGTGTCTATTCAGATCTTTTGCCCATTTTAAAAATGGGATTATTAGAATTTTTCCTATTGAGTCATTTGCGTTGTTTATATATTCTGGTTATTAATCTCTTGTCAGATGGGTGGTTTGTAAATATTTTCTCCCATTCTGTGGGTTGTCTCTTCACTTTGTTGATTGTTTCCTTTTCTGGGAAGAAGGCTTTTAATTTGATGTCATCCCATGTGTCTATTTTTGCTTTGGTTGCCTTTGCCTGTGGTGGAGTTTTACTCAAGAAATCGTTGCCCTGACCAATGTCCTGGAGCGTTCCCCCCACTTTTGGTATTTGTTCTGTTTTGTTTTTGAGACAGAGTCTCCCTCTGTCCCCTAGATTGGAGTGCAGTGGTGCGATCTTGGTTCACTGCAGTCTCTGCCTCCAGGGTTCAAGAGATTCTCTTGCCTAAACCTCCGGAGTAGCTGGGATTACAGGCACCCGCCACCATGGCCAGCTAATTTTTGTATTAGTAGAGATGGGGTTTCACCATGTTGGCCAGGCTGGTCTCGAACTTCTGACCTCAAGTGATTCGCCCGCCTCAGCCTCCCAAAGTGCTGGGATTATAGGCATGAGCCACCACACCTGGCCTGTCCTGTCTTTTCTTTTCTTTTTTTTTGAGATGGAGTTTCGCTCTTGTTGCCCAGGCTGGAGTACAATGGTGTGATCTCGGTTCACCGCAACCTCTGCCTCCCGGGTCCAAGCGATTCTCTTGCCTCAGCCTCCCAAGCAGCTGGGATTACAGGCATGCGCCACCACGCCCGGCTAATTTTGTATTTTTAGTAGAGACGAGGTTTCTCCATGTTGGTCAGGCTGGTCTTGAACTCCCGAACTTAGGTGATGTGCCGCCTCAGCCTCCCATACTGCTGGGATTACAGGCGTAAGCCACCGCGCCTGGCCCTCCCCAGTGTTTTCTTGTCATAGCTTCAGAGTTTTAGGTCTTAGATTTAAGTCTTTAATCCATTTTGATTTGATTTTTGTACAAAGCTGGTTGGGACTTTTTCTATTGCAATTGACAGAATGTCACATTTGCTTAACCAAAAGGAGAATTTATGGACTCACAATTAAAATGTCTAATTTTAAAGAAAAAGCTACTTTTAGCTATGATCAGAACCAAGATCTATAAACAGTCCTTTTTTCTTTTTTTTTTTTTCTTTTGCTCTGTTGTCCAGGTTGGAGCACACTGGCACCATCTCAGCTCACTGCAACCTTTACCTCCCGGGTTCAAGCGATTCTCCTGCTTCAGCCTCTCAAGTGGTTGAGACTACAGGCAGACCCCACAATTAGCCTGGCTAATTTTTGTATTTTAGTAGAGACGGGGTTTCACCATGTTGGCTAGGTTGGTCTTGAACTCCTGACCTCAGGTGATCCCCACCTGCCTCAGCCTCCAAAATTCTGGGATTTAAACTGTCTTTTTCAAACAAGTGTCTCTCTCATCTCTATCTCCTTCTGGGATGCTTACTTCTCTGGTTTCACAAGATGGCCTCTGGCAACTCCAAGCTTATATTTCCATGATCTCAAACTCAACAGAAAAGAGAATCACTTCTTCCTGCTCATTCGAGAGTAAATTCTGGGATTAGCTTTGACCAACTAGGATCACATGTCCATCTGTGAATCAATACTTTATTTTTGTTTATTCATTTATTTTTTTGAGACAGAATCTCACTCTGTTGCCCAGGCTGGAGTGCAGTGGCATGAACTCGGCTTACTGCAACCTCCGCCTCCAGCGTTCAAGCGATTCTCCTGCCTCAGTCTCTCAGGTAGCTGGGATTACAGGCGCGTGCCACCGTGGCCGGCTAATTTTTATATTTTTAGTAGAGACGGGGTTTTACCATGTTGGCCACGCTGGTCTCGAACTCCTGACCTCAGGTGATCTGCCTGCCTCGGCCTCCGAAAGTGCTGGGATTACAAGCGTGAGCCACCGTGCCCGGCCTGAACCAAGTACTTTAGCTCAATAGATGGGATACTGCTAATTGGATAGGCATAGGTCAACTGCCCACTCTTGGACTGGAGGGGTCAAGCCGCCAGACCTAAATCACAGCCGCCAGACCTAAATCACAGCGAGCATTGATTAGTTAAGGAAAATCAAGGTGCAGTTACCAGAAGGGAGAATGGATGCTGAATAGGACCCAACAATAGCTATCCTCTAAAGAGCCTGGCCACTCACTGTGCCAATTTTATGTGTTGGGTGTTTATCCTTTGATAATATTCTTTCTTTATTTATTTATTTATTTATTTATTTATATTTATTTATTTATTTATTTTGAGACGGAGTCTTGCTCTGTCACCCAGGCTGGAGTGCAGTGGCACAATCTCAGCTCACTGCAAGCTCCACCTCCCAGGTTCACGCCATTCTCCTGCCTCAGCCTCCTGAGTTGTTGGGACTACAGGCACCCGCCACCATGCCCGGCTAATTTTTTGTATTTTTAGTAGAGGCGGGGTTTCACCATGTTAGTCAGGATGGTCTCGATCTCCTGACCTCGTGATCCGCCCGCCTCGGCCTCCCAAAGGTGTGAGCCACCGCGCCCGGCCCATAATATTCTTTATAACTCTTTATAAAATAAGAACATTAACTTTTGGGAGGCTGAGGCAGGAGAATCACTTGAACCCGGGAGGTAGAGGTTGCAGCGAGCCGAGATTGCGCCACTGCACTCCAGCCTGGGTGGCAGAGCAAGACTCCATCTCAAAAATAAAATTAAATAAATAAAATAAAATAAAGGCATATTATAGAAAGATTGTCATTCTGTACATACTTATAATAGGATAAATAGGACTCAGGAATATGGAGATATAAAAAGTTCTGCTGAAAACAGAGTTTATAGAATGGGTGGCAAGACTCTGTCTCAAAAAAAAAAAAAGAACATTGTCTTATGTACTTCAATTTTTTTCTTAGTTTGTGTGCTCTCAACAGCAATTATTATTTTTTATACACATAAGTTTTAAATCTTCATGTAGTCAAACTAATTTTTTACTGCATGCCTTCTGCCTTTAGTGTTAGGCTTAGGAAGGCATTTTCTCTCGATTATCTATTTGCCAATATTTTCTCCTAGTGCTTTTATAGTTTTGGTTTCTTAATATTTAATCCATCTGAAATTTATGTTGGTGCAAAATATGAAGACTGTTTTCCCCTATGTTTCAACATTCATTCCAACATAATTTGTTTAACAATCCATCCTTTCCCCATGAATTGATGAATTACTGATTCTTTTTTTTTTTTTTTTTTTTTTTTGAGATGGAATCTCGCTCTGTCGCCCAGGCTGGGGTGCAGTGGCGCAATTTTGGCTCACTGCAAGTTCGGCCTCCAGGGTTCATGCCATTCTCCTGCCTCAGCCTCCCCAGTAGCTGGGACTACAGGCGCCCACCACCACGCCCGGCTAATTTTTAGTATTTTTAGTAGATACGGGGTTTCACCGTGTTAGCCAGGATGGCCTCGATCTCCTGGCCTCCTGATCTGCCCGTCTCGGCCTCCCAAAGTGCTGGGATTACAGGCGTGAGCCACAGCACCCGGCCCCACCTTTTTTTTTTTGGAGATGGAGTCTTGCTCGGTTGCCCAGGCTAGAGTGCAGTGGCGTGATCTTGGCTCACTGCAACCTCTGCCTCCCGAGTTCAAATGATTCTCTCACCTCAGCCTCCTGAATAGTAGCTGGGATTACAGGCTTGCGTTACCATGCCAGGCTAATTTTTGTATTTTTAGCAGAGGTTGGGTTTCACCATGTTGGCCAAGCTGGTCTCAAATTCCTGACCTCAGGTGATCTGCCTGCCTCGGCCTCCCAAAGTGTTGGGATTACAGGCATGAGCCACTGCACCCGACCAGATCCCTTTATTATCATACACTGAGATTTTTCTTTTTTGCTTTTATTATTATTATTTATTTATTTATTTGAGATGGAGTCTTGCTCTCTTGCCCAGGCTGTAGTGCAGTGGCACAATCTCAGCTCACTGCAACCTCCACAGGTTCAAGCATTTCTCCGGCCTCAGCCTACTCAGTAGCTGGGATTACAAGCACCTGCCACCATGCCCGGCTGAGTTTTGTATTTTTCATAGAGACAGGCTTTCACCACTTTGGTCAGGCTGGTCTGGAACTCCTGACCTCAAGTGATCTGCCCAGCTTGGCCTTCCAAAGTGCTGGGATTATAGGCATGAGCCACCATACCAGGCAGCCTTTCATTATTATTATTATTATTTTTGAGACTGAGTTGCACTCTTGTTGCCCAGACTGGGGTGCAATAGTGCAATGACGGCTTACTGCAACCTTGGCCTCCCGGGTTCAAGAGATTCTCCTGCCTCAGCCTCCGGAGTAGCTGGGATTACAGGCACCCGCCACCACGCCTGGCTAATTTTTTATATTTTTAGTAGAGACAGGGTTTCACCACGTTGTCCAGGCTGGTCGTAAACTCCTGACCTCAGGTGATCTACTGGCCTTGGTCTCCCAAAGTGCTGGGATTACAGACGTGAGCCACCACGCCTGGCCTCATTATTTTTAATTGATATAATAATTGTTCATAATTATGGGGCATAAGGTAGGATTTTGAAACATGTACTTCTATGAGATCAACTTTTTTAGCTTCTATATATGAGTGAGAGCACATGGTATGTATCTCTCTGTGCCTGGCTGATTTCACTTCATACAATCAGTTATTTTGTATTAGTGCTTCTGTTCTTGTTCTTTGTATTCATCTTCCTTGATCTTTCCTGTAAGGCCTAATCTAGAAAACAAATACACTTATAATTACCAACGAACTATTATATGATTACAGTTTAGGCTAAGGTTGCTTACAAGGAATTGTGAAAGTGGTGGTTAAAATAGGATCTTAGGTGTGGTCACACCATCTTGCGCTTCTTGCAATAGAAGGAAGCAGAAGTTCATTTTCTTTCACTTACTCTCTCTCTCTCTCTTCACCTCCCTGCTTCTATTGGCGAAGCCCAACTTTTGCACGTCTTGGGGGTTTTTTAAACACAGGTGGAAAAGTACGCAAGAAACAGACGTTGCTACTCGCAAGGGTCAAATAAAATGAGTGCCTGAAACAAGTCAAATCAAAATCAGCTTCCTGACCGTACACTCTCACATCCTCTGTTAAAATAAATGCAAGTCATTCTGGGAGCTGAATTAGTTCATACTAAAAGTAGATTAGTGTGGCTTTGGTTTAGGATCAAGGATTTAACACCTGATTCTATTCCGTTGGTTGCCTGTGTTTTTATTGATTTCACTTTTTATACCTTCTGCTTCTATCAAGAGTATTTGTAGCCAGAAAGAGTGGTTGCAACAGTGACTCCTTGAAGTAAATAGAATTTATGGCAACTCTCTGTACCCAAGGAGATTCAAAAGATGTGTGGCATGGCCTGTGGCTGTACTATGGCTAATGACTTATGCTATGGCCTGATGCACAAAGGTGAGGGGGCCTATCCGAGTCCCTCCCTAGGGATCTGGGAAATTGGAGAAGCTGAAGCACTGGCCGTGAGTGCTGAGGCTGAGCTGAGCTGAGGCTGAGCTGTCATGACTCAGGGGGCAGGTGTTCAACAGTTGTTTGTTGAGTGAGTTAGTGATGTACAGATGGCACAGAAAGGCTATGACAGCTGCTTCTAACCCGAAGTTTTGAGGAAGCTGAAACTGTCAGTAAGGAGAGGCAACTGTCTGGCGGTGAGGAGTGAGCAACTCAACAGAGATGTGAAACTACGGCAGAAATGTCATGAAACAGCCAGAGGAGTCAGGCAGTCCCCTGAATGTCCTGTCTGTGACGGTTTCTCAGTTCACTGCCTTAAATCACACCCACTCGAGCTCTGCACTGGGTGAGGCTCAGGAGACAAAGTGGTACCAGAGAAGGGAGAACCCTGTGTTTCCAAGTCTAGTCCACACCACAGGCACCTTTGCAAAGAGTGTCCTTGCCCCTTTTCTAGAGGGCCCTTGAGGTGAAGAGCCAATAGACAAAAATGTTATTTTGGAAGACACGGTTACCTATCCCTTAGATGCCTACTGTATGGGTTGGGTCATTTATTAATTTTAGCTGCAAAGGAGAGACTCATAGGATCACTTTTTGGGGCAGAAGTATATTGCGAGCATATCCAATAAAGTGGGAGGAATCACCTTACATCAATTCTTTAGCTATACCATCACTGGGGGCTCAGTACAGGGGCTGCAAACCCAATCATTACAGAAGCCCAGCAGAAAACTCATGGGTCAGGCATGAGAAAAAAATCAGGCTGGCCTCTCTTGTTCCTTAATTTTTTTATTTTTTATTTTTTGAGACGGAGTCTCACCCTGTCGCCCATGCTGAATGCAGTGGTGCGATCTCGGCTCTCTGCAACCTCTGCCTCCTGGGTTCAAGCAATTCTCCTGCCCTAGCCTTCCAGTTCTTTTATTTTTTCCATTTTTGATAGAATTATGATAGGTGGCTTGGGGCCACAAGTAATACAAATAACAGAAAACCCAACACAGTGGCTTAAACAATGTTAAGACTTATTATCTCACTTCTCCCTGAGTCTCCTGTGCCATCCCCCAAGTCAGTCTCATCCTAAGCTGGTTCATCTCATGGTTGTCAATAGCCATCAGGAGCTATTAGAGCTGCAGGTTTCCTAACTCACATCCAGTTTGGGAGCATGTGCCTCGCCCACAGTCAGCCAATAAGTGGCCTTGCCTCTAGTCTGACTGGGTCAACTTACCTCATTTGTCCACTGCTGGGTCAGTAACCGCAGGCACCAGGGAAATTTCGTGTCCTGAAAGGTTAGAGTCTGCGTTCCTGAACTGGTCACCATGAAGAGGCATGAGACTAGTACTGGTGTGGGCTAGTTCTATCTGGGAACAAGGATGAAGTCAGGTTCTCCTGAGCTACATGGGAAGCTGGTGGGGACAGGGGTGGGTTAAGGAAGACAAATATGTGAAGAGAATCAGGATTGTTTGGAAAAAGAAAGAGTATGGATGTTGGCTAATTAGTCAATCATATCCATTACATTTTAGTACGGAATGGAGTTGCTGGCCGGGCGTGGTGGCTCTAGCCTGTAATCCCAGCACTTTGGGAAGCCAAGGCAGGCAGATCACCTGACTTCAGGAGTTCAACACCAGCCTGGCCAACATGGTAAAACCCCACCTCTATAAAAAATATAAAAATTAGCTGGGTATGATGGCAGATGCCTGTAATCCCAGCTACTTGGGGGGCTGAGGCGGGAGAAGCACTTGAACCTGGGAGGTGGAGGTAATGGTGAGCCGAGATGGCACTATCGCACTTTAGCCTGGGCAACAGAGCAAGACTCCGTCTCAAAAAAAAAAAAAAAAAAAAAAAGAATGGGGTTGCTGATAGAAGTTACTGCAATGATGGTGTGAAATAGACTATGCTGTCCAATACGGTAGCCACTAGCCACAAACCACTTGCAATATGGCTAGTGTAACTGAGGAACAGAATTTTTCATTTTATTTAATTTTAACTAGTTTCAATAGCCACACATAGCTAGTGGCTCCTGCGCTGGACTATGCAGATATGGAGAATTTTCTCTATGATAACAAAAATAAGACAATAGTGAGTGGGGAGGGTTTAGGAAAGCTAGAAAGTGTCTGCCATCTAAAGACAGTGGCTGCTGCTGAGTGTCAGCAGATTGTGGCTACAGGGGGAAGCAAATGTGTTTCCATTACCTGTTGCTACATAATAAACTGCCCCAGAATTTAGTGGCTTAAAAGAACAACCATGTTATTTGTTTACAATTCTGCTATCTGGGTTGAGGCTCAGCTGTGTGGTTCTTCTGCTGGTCTTCACATGGCTGCATTCAGTAGGCAGGTCATCTGGAATGCTGAGAATCCCCTCTCCACATAGTTGCAGACTCCTCCTCAACATATGATGGAAGGCAGGTGGACGTCTAATATGATGGCTCCGGACACCCCAGTCATGAAAGTGGAAGGTGTCAGACTTTAAGCCTGTGCCCAGACCAGGCCCAGAGACACTTTTGATGTATTCTCTTGGTCAAAACAGGTCACAGGACAGGCCCTGTGGTGTGATCTCTGAGGAATACATAAAGGCTTGAATACTATGGGGCATGGTTCAAAGTGATGGGATCATACTAATGTAACAGGTAATCACAAGTCCAGCATTGCCAGAGCTCACATTTATTTTCCCCAAATAGCAAGGCATCCAAATTTATATGTGAAACCTTTCAAACTGTAACTATTAGTTCACTTTCTTTTGGTACCAGCTTTATGGAGACATATTCGCATACCATATAATTCACTTATATAAACTGTAGAATTCAGTGGTTTTTTAGTACATTCACAGAGATGTGCACCAATCTTCCCCTCCCCTCCCCCAGTATCAGGAAACTGTACTAATCTGCATTGTCTGTATGGATTTGCCTATTGCCTATTCTGGCCATTGCATATAAATGTGATCTTGCCAGATGTGGTCTTGGCTCACTTTTTTGTTTTTTTAAACTTAGCTTTAGTTTTCTCAAATGAGGCAATGCAATCGGATTAGTTTACTATCATTCAAAAATGGCAGAGTGTATTGAGCACTGTTTGGACACTGGGTTATCACATGATTCAAATCATTTGCTTTGCTTTCATTCCATGTTTAATGTTAATTTTACTCTAGACTTTGCCTGAGCGTCAAACCTATCAGTCTTAGAAAAAATACTCAAAGATTCTGTCTCCTCTACCAACTGCAAAGTGGAAGCAGCACTGGACTCATAATTAGATATAAGCCTTTCATTGAAGTCTGAGTTCTATTGCTTTCTTTTTTATTTTTTATTTTGAGACAGTTTCGCTCTATCACCCAGGCTGGAGTGCAGTGGCGTGATCTCGGCTCACTGCAACTCCACCTCCCAGGCTCAAGCGATTCTCCTGCCTGAGCCTCTTGAGTAGCTGGGATTACAGGTGCGCAACACTACCGCCTGGCTAATTTTTGTAATTTTAGTAGAGATGGGGTTTCACCATGTTGGCCCGGCTGGTCTTTAACTCCTGACTTCAAGTGATCTGCCTGCCTTGGCCTCCCAAAGTGCTGAGATTACAGGCATGAGCCACTGTGCCACTGCACTCCAGCCTGGGTTACAAGAGCGAAACTCCATCTCAAAAAGAAAAAAAAAAAATGGCACATATGTGTGTGTGTGTGTCTATATGTACATGTTCAAGGACATATATTAGTATCCAATAATAAGTTAAAATACTAATATATGCCCTTGAACATGTATAGACACATATATATACACATGTATACATGCACACATATACACACACTTATATACACACATATATACATATATACACACAGATATACATATGTGTATACACACACATATATGAGAACATAAGGTGACTTGCATCATTTACATTCAACAAATGGTCAGTCATTCACTCATCCAGTTCAATCTAATACCTATTTATCATTGGCAAGTGCTGTGCCAGCCTCTAGAACTACAATCGTGGTTAAAACAAAGATCCCGGCCATCCCAGCTTTGAAGACAGGCATTCAATAGTTGCACAAAATAAGTATAAATTATAACCGGTGCTGTGGGAAAAAAGTATAGGGAGTTCCAAGGCCATAAAAACGGGGAGCTAACCTAGTGTGGCAGGGTTAGGAAAGTGATATTTGAGCTGACAGCTGGAAATGACAAGCATCAACAGACAGGTGGCAAAGGTCCAATTCGGGCATTCAATTATTCTCTCCTTAGACATTGATTAAATATATATTGCCTGCTGTGTGGCAGCACTGTGCTGACCATCAGTCTATCTGTCGGACATTTAAAAAAGTTTTTTAAAAAGAGAATGCATGCAACTTCAAGACTTACTGGCAGGATTACTTCTCCAGATGACCTACTGGCAAGCCAACTTCCCAGCTACTGGCTCCACCCTCATCTTAGCTGGAGGGAATGATGAAGGAAGAGGAGGTGGTCTTACACTAATTGAATCATTGCAGCAGCTGTGGATCACGATTCCTTTCTTTCTTGCCTTTTTTTTTTTTTTTTTTTGAGACAGGGTCTCACTATGTCACCCAGGCTGGAGTGCAGTGATGCCCTCACTGCTGAATGCAGCCTCTACCTCCCGGGCTCAAGCAATCCTCTTGCCTCAGCCTCCCAAAGTGCTGAGATTATAGGCGTGAGCCATCATCCCAGGCCGGGGTCTCAATTTCTTTTTTTTTTGTCTTTTTTTTTTTTTTTGAGACGAAGTCTCACTCTGTCACCAGGCCGGAATGCAGTGGCACAATCTCGGCTCACTGCAACCTCTGCCTCCCTGGTTCAAGCGATTCTCCTGCCTCAGCCTCCTGAGTAGCTGGGACTACAGGCGCCTGCCACCACGCCCAGCTAATTTTTGTATTTTTAGTAGAGACGGGGTTTCACCATGTTGGCCAGGATGGTATCGATCTCTTGACCTCGTGATCCGTCCGCCTCGGCCTCCCAAAGTGCTGGGATTGTAGACGTGAGCCACCATCCCAGGCCGGGGTCTCAATTTCTGAAGCCATGCTGAGGGCCATTTTTGGGCGGCACTCTTTCACTCCACTATGTGCCAGGCGCTGTCCCAGAGGCAGGGGGCACAGTGAGGAACAAAACACAAGAGAATCCTGCCATCAGGAAGCTTACACCTGTTAACACATGCAGGTTGGGGAGATAAACGAATAAATTAAAAAATGTAACAGGTAATAAGGAGAAAAGAGTAACATGATGGAATGGGATACTCGGGCCTTGGACAGGCTAGTGAAAAAAATGTTTCTCTGAAGTCAACACTTCGGTGGAAGGTTGAAGGATGAGAAGCCAGCCATGCAACCATAGATGGTGTAGGGGCAGTCTCTGGGAAAGCCTGAAACAGGCTGGAGCTTGCCTTGTTCTAAGCCAGTGAGTCTCAATGGGGGCGTATTTGCCCCCAGGAGTCCTTCGGCAAAGTCTAGAAGACATTTTCGGTTGTTAACCTGAGGTGCTAGGGGGTGGAACTGGCCCCTAGTGGATAGCAGAGGCCAAAGCTGCTGCTGAACATCGTGCAACGCACAGGACAGTCCCGTCGCTCAAAGTGCCAACGATGCACGGGTTGAGAAACCGGGTCCTCTCCAGGACTGAAGCCCAGGGCAGGGAGCACGGGGGCAGCCTGAGCAAACCCGCCTGGAGAGCAGCCGCCGTCTCAGTGTGAGTTTTGGCTGCCTACTGGGCCCCACCGAAGCCCGAAGAGGGCCAGGCTCCGGCTTCTTTGTTTAAACTCCCTTAGTCCGACTGCCTGCAGTGGCTCATGCACGTAATTCCAACACTATGGGAGGCTGAGACGTGAGGAACGCTTGATGCCAGGAGTTCGAGACCAACCTGAGCAACAAAGCGAGACCCCATTTCAAAAAACTGTTTAAAAATTAGCCACAGGCAGCGGCGAGCGCCTGCGGTCCCAGCTACCCGGGAGGCTGAGGTGGGAGGGCCGCTTGATCCTGGGAAGCTGAGGCTGCAGTGAGGCGTAACCGCATGACTGCGCTCCAGCCTGGGCGAGAGAGGGAAACCCTGTCTCAAAAAGGCAAACAAAGGCTCTCGGCCGCCAAGCTGCGGAATCCCAAGCTCCCCAAGACACGCAGTGATCCAGAATACCGGCCACCTCCTCGCCTAGTGCCCGGGGCGGGGCCGGAAGTTCCGGCGAGTGGGGCGTTGAGCAGCGGCGAGCCCGCCCAATAGGGACATCTCAGGCCCGGCAGTCTCGCGAGAAGGGCGGCGGCCCTGGGTTCTGGGACAGGTGACCCGGCGGCGGGGCGAGGCAGCTGGCGGCGTCGCATGGAGGGCTCTGGGGGCGGTGCGGGCGAGCGGGCGCCGCTGCTGGGCGCGCGGCGGGCGGCGGCGGCCGCGGCGGCGGCTGGGGCGTTCGCGGGCCGGCGCGCGGCGTGCGGGGCCGTGCTGCTGACGGAGCTGCTGGAGCGCGCCGCTTTCTACGGCATCACGTCCAACCTGGTGCTATTCCTGAACGGGGCGCCGTTCTGCTGGGAGGGCGCGCAGGCCAGCGAGGCGCTGCTGCTCTTCATGGGCCTCACCTACCTGGGCTCGCCGTTCGGAGGCTGGCTGGCCGACGCGCGGCTGGGCCGGGCGCGCGCCATCCTGCTGAGCCTGGCGCTCTACCTGCTGGGCATGCTGGCCTTCCCGCTGCTGGCCGCGCCCGCCACGCGAGCCGCGCTCTGCGGTTCCGCGCGCCTGCTCAACTGCACGGCGCCTGGTCCCGACGCCGCCGCCCGCTGCTGCTCACCGGCCACCTTCGCGGGGCTGGTGCTGGTGGGCCTGGGCGTGGCCACCGTCAAGGCCAACATCACGCCCTTCGGCGCCGACCAGGTGAGCCGCGCCCCCGCGCGCTGTCCCTGTCCCTGTCCAGCCCCTGCCCAGCCCCAGCCTCTTCCCCTGCCCCAGTCCCTGCCTCTGACCGCGGAGGGAGCCCCTTGCCCCGGGGGGCTTCTGTCTAGTGCCGAGGAATCCCGCCAGCAGGTGGGCCAAGACTGGAGGTACCGGTGTGATGGGTGCTGGAAGGGGTTTGCCTGGGGCGGGGTGAGGTCTACACACACAGTGATGGCCACAGTGGCTTTAAAGAAAAGAGAGGCCGGGCGCGGTGGCTCACGCCTGTAATTCCAGCACTTTGGGAGGCCGAGGCGGGAGGATCTCTTGAGCCCAGGACTTTGAGACCAGGTTGGGCAACACAGTGAGACCTCATCTCTACCAAAATTTAAAAATTTGCCCTCCGTGGAGGCGCACACCTGTAGTCCTAGCAGAGAAAGGAGGATTCCTTGAGCCTACGAGTTTCGGAGGCTGCAGTGAGCTAGGGTCACACCAGTGCACTCTAGCTTGGGTAACAGAGTGAGACCCCACCTCAAAAAAATAAATAAATAAAATTTAAAAAATACGCTGAGCGCAGTGGCTCACGCCTGTAATCCCAACACTTTGGGAGGCCGAGGTGGGTGGATCACCTAAGGTCAGGAGTTCGAGACCAGCCTGACCAGCCTGGCTAAAAATACAAAAATTAGCCGAGCGTGGTGGCGGGCACCTGTTCTCTCAGCTAGTCGGGAGGCTGAGGCAGGAGAATCGCTTGCACCCGGGAGGCAGAGGTGCGATGAGCCGAGATCGCGCCACTCCACTCCTCCAGCCTGAGCGACAGAGCGAGACTCTGTCTCCAAATAAAAATAAATAAATAAATAAAAAATAAATGAACGGGACCCTTCTATGTTCAGGCCCTGTAAGTTCAGACCAGAAGGCTAGGAAAGAGCAGTTGTTTGAGGAGCTTTCCAGACATGGGGATTCGCAGGTGCAGGGCCCTGGGCCAGGAAGCTGAGGGAAGGGGAAGCCCCCGTTGTTGCCTTAGCTTCCTTTACAAAGAAGTGGGAAAACACTCATATTGCGTCTTCGTGGCTTTAAAGGAGTTACGGGCTAGGTTGGGTCGGAAAGCTCAGATGAAAATGAGTTTGAATCAAGTTAGCATCAAGCTGCTCCCCTGCAACTGTAACTGCCAAGAAGTGAGGGAGGAACCACTGCAGCTCTTCAGGAGGGGCAAGGACGTGGCCACCAAGTATTATATGCAGAATAGGCCGCCTTTAAGAGCAATAGCAAAGTCAGATCGTTTCAGAAAATATAAAAAAAAGTGGGAAGTGAGGTGGAAGGCTGGGGCCGGATCATGTGAGGAGTGTTAAAGCGTTGGGGATACAGTCGAGAGCTTTACTGGGTTCCAGCAGGGAGTGATTTGTGCAGAGCAGGCACTACAGCTGGGGTAGCAGGTCAGGTCTGCTTCTTATTTTCTGAGGATTCACAAGCTAAGAATGGTTCTTAATATTTTCTTTCTTTCTTTTTTTTTTTTTTTTTTGAGGCGGAGTCTCGCTCTGTTGCCAGGTTGGAGTGCAGTGGCGCGATCTCAGCTCACTGCAACCTTCACCTCCTGAGTTCAAGCGATTCTCCTGCCTCGGCCTCCTGAGTAGTTGAGACTACACGTGCACGCCACTGTGCCCAGCTAACTTTTGTATTTCTAGTAGAGACGGGGTTTCACCGTGTTGGCCAGGATGGTCTTGATCTCTTGACCTTGTGATCTGCCTGCCTCGGCCTCCCAAAGTGCTGGGGTTACAGGCATGAGCCACGGCGCCCAGCTAGTTCTTACATTTTTAAGTGGTCGGAAACGGGATCATTTGTGACCAGTGAAAATTTTATGAAAATCAAATTTCAATCTCCATAAATAAAGCGTTATTGGAACATAGCCCCACCTGTTTCTGCAACACAGCCACTACACTGGGGCTGCTTTCACTAAGCAGTGGCAGAATTGAGTAACTGTGATGGAGACGAGATGTCTCATAGAACTCAAAATGTGAACTGCCTGCCCCTTCACAGAAGTGTGCGGATGCTTGTAGAGAATGGGTTGTGTAGGAAGTGGTGACATTAGGGACATGAGGTGGGAGTCTCTCCTAACTAGAGTGGAGGCAGTGGAGGTGGGTGAAGTGGATGGATGGAGTTCAGCTATGGAAGTAGAATGGGCAGGAAGTACTGGCAGGTTGTCTCCCTGTTTGTGTTCCTATGTAGGAATACCTGAGGCTCAGTCATCTATAATGGAAAGATGTTTCTTTGGTTTAGGGTTCTGCAGGCTGTACAAGAAGCAGGGCGCCAGCATCTGCACTGCTGAGGGCCTTGTGAATGGGAGCCAGCTGTGTAGAGATCACATGCACTAGAGGAAGTGAGAGAGGGGAGGGAGGTGCCAGGCTTGTAAACGACCTCTCTCATAGGAGAGTTCACTCCTGTGACAGCCCCAAGCCTTTCTTCAGGGATCCGTCCCCATGACCCAAACACTAGGCCCCACGAGAAGCACTGGGGATCACATTTCTTCATGAGGTTTGGAGGGTCAGATATGGAAACCATGGCATGTGAGCAGTAGGGAAGGCGACTCTTAGGCTTTTGCCTAAGTATCTGTGAGTGCCTGTTTTTTAGGAACATTTACTGAGAGCTTACTGTGCACCAGGCACAGTGCTTGCTAAGTACCTAAGTACAGTATCTGGTTAGTCCACATGACACGTATGCTACATGTCTACATGTCTACACGACTACTTAGTCTACATGACACGTACGGTGCCCATTTTACTGATGAGGAAACTGAGGCTTGAGAGGTTTAATCATTGGCCCAAAGTTACACAGCTTGTATGTGACTGAGCCAGGATTCAAAAGCCTGTCCTTTGAATGTGAGCTTTCACTCTGCCTGTGTAAGGCTATCCGTTACAGTCAGGAGACACCTTAGAATGACGTTAGAAATGATAGTTTCTAATGTACTGAATTGGAACTGGGTTTTTTGTACAGTGGCGTATGCTTTACATATGTGACGAAATCTGAACCTCACAGGAGTCTTAGATCCACTTTACTGATGAGGAAACAGGCACAAAAACAGATCACTTTCTTACTGCCTGTAGGTAGTGAGTGGTCAAGCTGGACTTCTATCCCAGCTCTGGTTCTTTTTTAGCTACCACACTAAGATGGGCCCAGTGTGCGTGCGTTCCGTAATGGTTCTGCAGGGCTGGATCTCAAGGCCCAGGCTCTTGGCCTTGGGGTGCCATTGGCTCATGAAGGAACGGGGCTGGTAGCACAGTCAGCCTCTATCTTTTAAAGACTTGGCCACCCCACACAGGTGTACTGGAAAGCTTCTATTATGCCTCTTACTTGTGCCTTTCCCACGTGATCTTATTTAAGCCTCGCCACAGTTGCTGGTGTGTGTGCTGCAGTTAAGCCTGTTGTCCAGGGAACAGAGGCCTAGAGGGTTAGCTCCCAAGGCTGCACAGCAGGTGCCTAGGGGAGCTGGTTTGGGGCCCTGGCAGCCTGACTTAAAAGCTGGTGCTCTCCAGGATATAACAGGCGAGTAATTGATACTTCTTAAAATGAGGAGGAAATGGTGCTCGGTTATCTCAGATGAATCTGACAGAATATGCGCTCTTTCATCCATAATTAAATGTGGATGTTGAAAGGAGATGTGCCTTCTTCCGAAAGATAGCTGGCCTGATCTCTTCCGACGTAATGCTGTCATGTTAAAAGAGGACCTTGTGGATGAAAGGCTACTCGGGAGACCTGGCCGCCCCCTGCAGCGCGTGCTGAGTGATTGGATCCCAGCTGCTTTCATGGCCGTTCTTCTTGGATGCTTGGGATAGTTTGTAGACCGCCTATTAGCTAATAATGGACCAATGTTGCCTTTCTTAGGTGTGGTAATTTCACTGCCGTTAAAAGAATGTCCTTATTTCCAGGAGATTCATGATGAAATTTTGGGGGTGAAATTGGTTGCTGGAGCTTATTTGTATGTAGATCACCCAGAAGTATTTTTTTTTAAGACCAAGTCTTATTCTCTTGTCCAGGCTGGGGTGCAGCGGTATGATCTCAGCTCACTGCAACCTCTGCCTCCTGGTTCAAGCTATTTTCCTGCCTCAGCCTCCTGAGTAGCTGGGACTACAGGTGTGAGCCACCACGCCTGGCTAATTTTTGTATTTTTAATAGAGACGGGGTTTCACCATGTTGGCCAGGTTGGTCTCGAACTCCTGACCTCAGGTGATCCACCTGCCTCGGCCTCCCAAAGTTCTGGGATTACAGGCGTGAGCCACCGCGCTCGGCCAGTATTTTTTATGTATAGAAAAAAGTGCTGAGGCTCCAAGTGAAGGGTAGAGAGGTGTGCATTTTGCAATTCAACTTTTCTATACATTTGGAATTTTTTTAAATGAAAGATAAGAAAATGTTCACTGATGAATGTATAAACTAAATATAGTATATCCATACAATGGCATATTTTTCAGCCATTAAAAAAGAAATGAAGTACTGATGAGCCTTGAAAACATTCGGCTGCATGAAGGAAGCCAGACACATAAGGCCCCAGTTGTGTGATTCCATTGATGTGGAATGCCCGGAAGAGGCGAGTCCACAGAGACTGGAAGTAGATTAAGGGTTGCCACGGGCCAGGAGAGGGGCGTGGGACTGACTTAAAGGGAACAGGAGTTCCTGTTGGTGTGATGAGAATGTGGACTTGGATGGCAGTGATGGCTGTACATCTCTGAATATACTAGACACTACTGAATTGTACACTTTTGAAGGGTGAATTTTATGGTATGTGAATCATAGTGAAAAAACATTTGAAGGGAAAAGTACCCTTATGCCAGGGTGCTTGCCCGTGACCAGGTGGCAGGTCCCCCTCCAGGTGCGGCTGCTTCATGGCAGGAGGCCTGGCTGGGGACCCTGAGGTGTGCAGGCCTGAAGTACACTCTGTTGTGCCCCAGGCGAGGGTTAATTTGTCCTGGTTTGGTCCTTTTCATTTAGAGGAAACCTGTTTGTATTTTTAAGGTGCTTTTTATGGTTCTTTGTCACTTACCTCTTCATCTCCCAGGTAGAGCCTCTGGGAAACATTCTGATAGGAGAGACAATGGGGTGAGGCTGCATAGCTTTGAGAAGGAGGCCTAGTTGGCTTCTGAAAGAGGATGTGTGAGCTGTGAGTCCAAGGGAGACGTATGTTCGTGTAAATCATGTCAGGCCGTATCTTCCCCCAGTGTTTCACCTTTTTCAAAGGTCACAATCGTTCTTGGTGGATGGATTATTTGAAATAGTGACCTGAAAGACGAAAATCTTATGTTACAGATGAAAAGAGCAAATGATGCATTTTTTTTTTTTCTAGAGGAAAAACTGACACCCCATTTTAAGGAATTCTTCTGTCAGCCAACTGTTTGGTATGCTGTACACAATTCTATTCTTTTAGCTTTTCTTCTCCAAATTGATTTTGGTGGTATCTTTTGGCCAGTCATGTGAAAACCTTGTTTACCCTTGGTAGGGCACGTAGCTGCAGCTCACACAGTGATGTCATGCAAACGATGGGCAGGAGGTTGTGGCCTGCTCGCCAGGGGCTGGGAAGCATGTGATGTCCCTTCACAGCAGCCAGGTTCCCTTGGTACAGAAATGCCTGCTGTGTGGTTATTTAGGGCTTAGTAATTTTGGCTTATAAAGTAATTTTGATGGATTACTCTTGGAGTTGGAATAAATTGACCACCACAATTACACAGGAAATGAGGATGAATGGCATTTTAAGGTTAGGATTTTCCCAGAGTAATCAAATGCTGATATTTTCATGCTTCATCTGAAGAGGACATAAGTCTGAGACTGTGGGAAGATATGTGCAGTGTCACTGTGGGTAACGGGAAGGCCCGAGTGAGACCGTGGGAAGGTGTGTGCAGTGTCACTGTGGGTAATGGGAAGGTCCGAGTACATTTCAGTTAGGAAATCATTTGTGCCTCTATTAAGTTTATATACTATGTTTACTGGCCTCTTTTATGCTTGTCAAAAAATTACTTTTTGTTTGTTATTTTTTCGCACTTCTAGTTTTGTTTTCTCAGTAACCATTTCTCTGCTCACATTTTTCATTTTTCTTCCTGGTCCATGTCTAGTATAGCATGAGAATTGGTGTCCACTGTTGAGCAATATTTAAATGCATTGTGTCCTAGTGAAGAAGTGTCTTAGATGTCTGTGAAGTTCTCACCTCAAACTCTTTATTCAGTAGAGATGTCTGCATTTGGTCTAGGACCTCTGTTCAGTATTGTAATAGATAAGAGAAAAGTTTAAACTCTTGAGAATAAGTGATTTTCTTTTAAATTTAGATTTTTCGTTTGAAGTGGTGTTACTATATATAATTAATTACCTGCCACCATAGTGGCCATGCTTAATCATTTGGACTTCAAACAAATCTCTTTTTGAGGAGCACACAATTTTTTTTCTTTTGCTCTATTTCCTTTAGAGAGGAACACACAATTTTAACTATAAATTTTACTCCTCTGATTTAATCTTTAAAAAATAGAGTTTAAAATACCATATCAAATATATGACTGCTAAAAAGATGCATGTGCTTATTACATACCATATCTTTTTTTTTCTTTTGAGACAGGGCCTCTGTCGCTTAGGCAGGAGTGCAGTGGTGCCATCACAGCTCACTGCCACCTCCTCCCCAGTTCAAGGGATCCTCCCACCTCAGTCTCGCAGGTAGCTGGGACTGTAGGCGCACACCACCGCACCTGGCTGATGTTTGTAATTTTTTGTAGAGATGGGGGTCTGTCTGTGTTCCCAGGCTGCTCTCAAACTCCTAGACCCAAGCGGTCTGCCTGCCCTGGCTTCCCAAAGTGCTGGGATTCCAGACCTGAGCCACCATGCCCAACCGTAATTGGTTGTTTTGGCCCCATTGAGAATGTGTTATTCAGTAGAGCAGATTGTTCTATGGATCCAGAAACTAGATCTATTATTAGAATAAGAATTTTCTAACTCTTTCATAACCTGTGACTTAAGAATGAGACAGTAGAAGTTTTTAAGACAGCAAGAGAGTCTTTTTATGAGATCCAGTATCAGCCTCTCATAAGTTTGTTAAAAATAAATTTATGAAATGAAACTCACTAGAAATGTCTCTGTCTAGTACAGGGTTCATTTGCACAGTATCTTATTTAGACGTAAAAATCCAGGTGGGCAGAGAAGGCTTCTGGTGTGTCTGCCCCCAAATGACCTGTTCCCACCGCTTGGGCTCCATTGAAGTAGCCTCGTGAACTCCATAAGCCTAGATGTTGCGTTATTACCTCAGTGCTTTTGTTTGAGTCCAGGAAGTCAGTGATTTTTGAGCCTTTTGGAAATCCCACCCTTATCAGAATTTCTCCGATTCCATTGATAGCCTGTCTAATCTAAAAATAGCATGTGGTTTTATCTTTAGTCTATAATTTCCTCTTTGCTTCAAGTTTACTGAGATCTCTGATTCTCAGGAGACCAGATACAATTGGTGTGGGTGGTGACTTGGCCTCACTGAACAAATGTCTCTCTTTGGGGCCTAAGCATATTTGTGGGGTGCCTCATGGTACTTGCATGTAGCTCAGTAAGGCATGGAGCTTTATAACATTGGTTCTAAAACTTACCTGTGAGTAGAAGTCACCTGGGAAGTTGCTTGAAATGCAGATTCCTGGGCCTGGGCCCCAGAGACCGTGATTCAGTAGGTCTGGAGCGTGGGTCCTGTGACTGTGTTTGTTTTTTGTTTGTTTGTTTGTTTGAGATGGAGTTTCACTCTTGTCAACCAGGTACAGTGGCACAGTCTCGGTTCACTGCAACCTCCATGTCCTGGATTCAAGCGATTCTCCTGCCTCAGCCTCCCAAGTAGCTGGGATTACAGGTGCCCACCACCATGCCTGGCTAATTTTTGTATTTTTAGTAGAGACGGTGTTTCACCATGTTGGCCAGGCTGGTCTCGAACTCCATACCTCAAGTGATCCACACGCCTCAGCCTCCCAAAGTGCTAGGATTATAGGCGTGAGCCACCATGCCCAGCGGACTCTGTTTTTAAAGAGCATTCCAGGTAATTCCAAGGCAAGTGGTTCAGGTACTTAGAAAATTCTACAGCAGAATATACTTGGAAAAACTCTCTAGCATTTGTTGGAATTTAGTGTAATTAAGTGAAACCTACCTAGCAACTGTAGTAATTAAAAGCGTGGGGTGTGCTTTTTGTTGAGATCCGTGAATGTTTCTGTAAACACAATTTTGATTGTGTTGCGCTTCTTAAAGGTTGTGATGACAACGGTAATTTTAACCACTTGACCGTATATGGTTTTCATCCTTGAAGACTGTCATATATTTTCAAGTGTCTTTCCTCCCTGTTATTTTAGGTTAAAGATCGAGGTCCGGAAGCCACTAGGAGATTTTTTAATTGGTTTTATTGGAGCATTAACCTGGGAGCGATCCTGTCGTTAGGTGGCATTGCCTATATTCAGCAGAACGTCAGCTTTGTCACTGGTTATGCGATCCCCACTGTCTGCGTCGGCCTTGCTTTTGTGGTCTTCCTCTGTGGCCAGAGCGTTTTCATCACCAAGCCTCCTGATGGCAGTGCCTTCACCGACATGTTCAAGATACTGACGTATTCCTGCTGTTCCCAGAAGCGAAGTGGAGAGCGCCAGAGTAATGGGTAAGCACTTAGTTCTCATCTTGGGCTGTTTGAAAGGACTTTATCGATCTCTTTATTAACATCCTAGCTTCGGTTTGTTGTGTGCTTATTGTGTGCTGGGCCTGGGCTGAGTGGTTTACATGTCTTCTCTCCTTTAACACTGCATTTCCCCAAGGAGGCGGGTGCGGTCTTATTATCCCATCTTAAAGACAGGCCAGTGGCCTGATTCCAGAGCTCATGCTTTAACCCCACGTTGCACTTTCTCTCACTGCTAGTGTAGACGGAAGCTCCTTTGGTGCCAGATTATAAAGGTAGAAATTTGTGGAGGACATCGAGGAGACAGAAGACATGCTTTATACATGTTTCTTTTTATTTTAAAAAGCTTTGAAATACATTTGAATGAAAAACTAAGCAGTTGCTTATGCTGTCAGTACCTGTCTCTGCTCTTTAAAAAGTAAGCCACTGCCTCTTACCTAAAGGTCAGCATGGGCTCCATCATACAGCGGTCAGGTCCATCATACGGCGGTCAGGTCCATCATACAGCGGTCAGGTCCATCATACGGCGGTCAGGTCCATCATACGGCGGTCAGGTCCATCATACGGCGGTCAGGTCTGTAACTCTTGACAGGAAGGTGCAGTAGCAGAATGGCGAGATGCACTGAGGGTAACCAGATGATCTCATGGGACTTACCCAGTGTTAGCACCAAAGTCCCATGAACTGAGGTGTTAAAACAGAAAGGCCTGTGTCCTCAGAACCCCTCCAAGTCACTGGCCAACTATGACTCATGTTTGGTGATGTTGGATGCCAGTTAATAAAGTCCAGAACTTAAGCCCAAGAAGAGAGCTCAGAAGTGTTTGTGTTACTCTTTATTGAGGAATAATTTACAGATAGTAAAATTTACCCCTTATATCTGTACAGTTTTGTGAATTATGACAAACTTACTCAGGTTGTGTAACCACCAGTGCAGTCAAGGCATAGATTATTTCCATCCTTCCAGAGAAGTCTCTGGGACCTTTTGTAGTCAGTCCCCTCATGGAATGTTTTGATCAACGTAGAAATGCCTGGAGGCTGCTGGGTGGGAGGCTGATCACTCAGCCATCAGAGCGTCCTGTGTCTCTGAGCCGTGCACCCCATTGTGGCATGGCACTGGTTGCTGGACATTCTTCTGCGGGCCCACTCACACATCTGCCTGCCTGCGGCCTGTCTGTGTTTGTCTTACTCATGCTCTTGGAGCCGTAGCGAATGTGTCTAATATTCCTTCCACGTGGTAGATTGAAACTTCACCAAAATAGCCCTGTGCGCCTACTTTGCTCCTGAACATCTCTGATTTCTCCGGCTGTCCCTGTGTGGAGTTCTGGCAGATCTCACCAGTCTACATGACCTATTGGAAATGCCAGTGGGTCATTGTGGCATTCAGACACATAATTCAAAACTGCAAATGGTGGGACCGCACTAAAGAATTTTTAGTAATTAAAGTACAGGAGGCTGAGGTGGGAGGATCACTTCAGCCCAGGAGGTCAGGTCAAGGCTTCAGTGAGCCATGGTTGCACCACTACACTGTAGCCTGGGTGACAAAGTGAGACCCTGTCTCAAAAAAAAAAAAAAAAAATATAGCCCCATCTTAGCTGACACTAGTCTTTTGCCAGGGCCTTATTTGATCAGACAAAAGCAGTGTTTCGGATCCTAGAGGTCTTTTTCAGGAACAACCCTTAAAGTTTTAGTATCCGTGTGGGTGGTAGCCCATAGACATTTCTGCAAGAGAACAGCATTGTTCTGTGGACATATTTGGGTTTTAAAGCACAAATGGCAGTGTGGAGAGGGTTTGGAGTTACTTTTACTTAGGAAGCCGATTTCCTCTTAGGATAGTCTTTGAAAGTCTTCTTGGGCAAAAATAAGGGAAAAAAAAGCAGGGGCTAGCTTGCAGAAAAGTTGATGGTCTGAGGAATTCTCAGATTCTGCTGTTTGTATGAACTGGCTCTGTAACCTTGGGCAGGTTACTGATCTTGCGAAGCCCAGCTTTCCTTTTTTTACAGCGGAGATGGATTCATCTCATGGGCTCACGGTGGGGCCTGAGCACAGTGATGTGTGCAAGGCCCTCAGCAGGATGCCAGGTACATGATAAGGGCCCTGTCAGTGGTGACCACTGTGACGAGGGTGCCTTAAAAAAGGTGGGCCTCCAGGCTGGGCGTGGTGGCTCAAGCCCGTAATCCCAGCACTTTGGGAGGCCGAGGCGGGCGGATCACGAGGTCAGGAGATCGAGACCATCCTGGCGAATACGTGAAACCCCGTCTACTAAAAATACAAAAAATTAGCCGGGCGTGGTGGCGGGTGCCTGTAGTGCCAGTTACATGGGGGGCTGAGGCAGGAGAATGGCGTGAACCCGGGAGGCGGAGCTTGCAGTGAGCCGCGATCACACCACTGCACTCCAGCCTGGAAGGTAGCGAGACTCCGTCTCAAAAACGAAAAAATAAAATAAAAAAAAAAAGTTGGGCCTCCAAAGCCTGAGGAAGCATGACATACCCAACATTTTTACAGTTGTGACACTTAATTTCATCTGGCCCAATCTCAGTTTCAATCCAGGTTGATCTGTGTTTTGAAGATAATATAGTGCTTGATATTAAATGAGAAATGAAGGCGTATTTGTTCAACTCATCAGACCAGAGTAGAAATGGTTCTACAGCTTTTTGAGATACATACTTCTTTGGGAATCCGTGAGAACCAGTGGACTCTTTTCCTGGAGAATACACACACCTACATGCGGCCTTCACAGAGACTCAGGCACAGGCGTCCTGAAACTGGAGCTCGTCAACTTGTGTGGGAGGAGCAGAGGGCTCTTGTGGGTGTTCGGGTGTCACTTGTGACCGTGGCTTCGTGTTGGACCCTTGTATGTTGCAAAATAGTGCACCTAACAATATGTGTAACCCAGTAAAGCTTCAGATGCATGTTGATTTCACAGCTTTTAAATATTTTAATTACATAAAGCGAAAGTAATATAACCAGTAACCTGTGTGAATGATTCTTTGTGTGAAAATGGGTTTATTTGTTATTTAAATGTTTTTAGTGAAAGGTATTTAATATGATGTGGTAAACCACTGATAGTATCTGCATTAGGTACAAAAGGACTTTAATTTCCTTTTTGAAAAAAAGTAGTACTTGAAGAAGTTAATGTTTTCGAGTGAAAGTATTTATAATGTCTTTGGAATTTATTTTCACTTTTGGGTGTTTTTGTTTTTGATTATTTTCCCCCACTAGACTAAGTCCGTAAGGACAGGAGCCCTCCCCTTTAGCCCCCAGGTAGAGCAATGCAGGGCCTACAGCAGGTACTCGATCAGTATTTGTTGAATCGAACTTAGTTTTCTTGTCCAAAATTTGGCTAAAATATTCAGTTATAGTTTTCAGCGCTTCTATTTTTCCCCACTCTGAATGTCCAGACTTAAAATGTTGACTTTATAAGATAAAGAATTTAAAATACTGGCACCATAGTAAAATGGGACATGAGTTAATAAACTAGAAGGCTGACAGGTGCCATTTCTGTTGGCTTCCCACAGTTAAACACAATCTTATTGGGAATTAACTCTCTCCTGGTACTTCTGGCTTTAGAGAATAGTGTGCACTTTGTTTTCCCATTTTACCCCTGAGATCCTTGGAGCCCGTTCCCCATTAGAGTGTTTTGGAGCTGGGAGAGAGTGCGGAGCTGTCTAGTGGGGCCTGTTCATTTTCTAAATAATGAAGCAGGCCCAGAGCAAGGAAGTGAAACTCGTTAGTACAAGAGCTGGGGATGCCAGGTCCATGTTCCTGCTGTGACCGGCAGATGTGAGGGCAGTGGCAGGGAGTGGAGGGACAGTGGTGTCCTGCAGGGGTCAGGGCCTCAGGCTGTAAAGCCAAGACTGCCTGGGTCCAAGTCCTGGCCATACCTCAGGCACCCTTCACACTCTCTGTGCCCCGGCATCTTCCTCTGTGCAATAGGGCCCTGAAGAGTTTTAACACCACATGGTTAATGAGGGAGCACATGGGACGCGGTGCACTGGGCACTCCCTGTTTCCTACTGTCAGGGGACAGAGCCAGGGACATCCTCCTCTCATCACCACCAGCACCGCCCTCCCCCAACAGCTCTTCCTTAATCCAAGAGCTGACAGCTTTCCTCCGAGAATAGAAGCCTGCCTCAGTCCTGCCAGTGACTCAGTTTAAACCAGCAGGGTTTTATTAACAGCATGGGTATTGGCTGTCAGGTCTTGATGTTTGATAAATTAGCTGATTAAAAATTCACACAATCCAGTGCATTTTTTCATATGCTATCCAGTGGCATAGCTAGTGTCCCTCCCAGTGTCACGTAGAGCTGCAGACTCTCCCCACACGGAGATTGCCGAGCTGGCAGCTGCGCTGGGGCTCTCAGCTCAGCCGTGGTTCACACTGTCATCACAGATCTTCCAGCCACGCCAAAATTACAGTAGCCCAGTTTCACTTTGACTAGAAAGTCCCTTTGTCAGCTGTTTCAGTACATTCTGTGACATTTAGAAATAATTTAGGTAGCTGTGTTGGGTGTGTACAATTAGTAAGTGATGGAATGAGTTGAAGCAGATTCAATACAGTGAGCTGGTTTCTTACCTCCAAACTTAATTTGTGACCAAATAATTGATTGCTGGGAGGGGAAGAAAACTAATTCCTTCATTTTATTTCCCAAAGTGAAGGCATTGGAGTCTTTCAGCAATCTTCTAAACAAAGTCTGTTTGATTCATGTAAGATGTCTCATGGTGGGCCATTTACAGAAGAGAAAGTGGAAGATGTGAAAGCTCTGGTCAAGATTGTCCCTGTTTTCTTGGCTTTGATACCTTACTGGACAGTGTATTTCCAAGTGAGTGGTGACAAACAGGTTTAATTTCCTTTATCTTCCTATGAAGTCTTACCCTAGCACTTGTTTTGGCCATTTCTAAAGTAGGTAGGACTAGGTGATTTTTTTTCCCATGAGTCTACAGAATCTTGGAATTTTTGGTTTTAGTTATGGAGTCATTTTGGCTGCTTTAACTATGTCTAAAGCCTCTCTGAAAAAGAAGCTGAGAACAGGTACGCTTCTGGTTTTTCAGGCCCCTCTTGTTAATGTAATTTCTCCTTTGGATAACTGGCCATTCTTTTTCAAAATTGATCTCCAGAGGACTTTACGATGACCAAATCATTGACCTGTCTGTTTTCAAACTTGAGCCATTGTCTATTTCTGGGAGTCACTGTGTGTCGCATCTGAGTCTAGCTTAGGGGAGGGGCAGGATGCTTAGAGTGTTTGAGAGCACAGTTGGTCCACATATAATGATACTGTTTTTTATACCTAGATGCAGACAACATATGTTTTACAGAGTCTTCATTTGAGGATTCCAGAAATTTCAAATATTACAACCACTCCTCACACGGTAAGAACAATTGTAATGATCTGAACATTGTTATTTTGGACTTATGTAATAAATGGATTCCTTCTACCAACTGTAAATCTTTTATAAATGTTAACAGCACCGACACAAAAGCATTGTTATTGAAATAGAGTTTTTACTTATTTTAGAGAATATTTTTTCATTGGTTGTATCATTTGCTAGATTAGGTTGACTAACATCAATTCAACATTACTTAGTATTTTTCACCTGATTATTTTCCCCTCAAAACACAGAAAAGCAAATGCAGATTCATTTGGAAAGAAATCTTTTCCCAGTTCCGTTGTCTCTAAACTGAAGAGGTTGTACCTTGTGGAGAGGAACTGTTCTTTACGTGCATTTCTCCCATTGAGACGTTGGTTCTCTAGACAGGTGATGGCCTGTATTGCGGGGAGTAAACGCCTCCTCCTGTGTTTCACCCCAGCTCCCTGCAGCCTGGCTGACCATGTTTGATGCTGTGCTCATCCTCCTGCTCATCCCTCTGAAGGACAAACTGGTCGATCCCATTTTGAGAAGACATGGCCTGCTCCCATCCTCCCTGAAGAGGATCGCCGTGGGCATGTTCTTTGTCATGTGCTCGGCCTTTGCTGCAGGTAAGAGGCATTCTGCTCCGTTCCTCCTCAGGCCCGACTGCAGCAGTTGTGGATTCAGAATATAGTGCTCACACGCAGTCGTGCCCCAGGTTGTTCAGGAAGTGCATGTCTGTAAAAGAGGATGTGTATCAGTTATTTTACAGCACTAATCCTTTATTTTAAAGTTTAAGATTATTTTCCTAAGGATACGTCATTTTTCTGCTGGTACTAAAACCATTGGGTTGCTCTGAAAAGTGACATTTGGACTGAGTTAAAGGGAGGTTTTTCTCTACCTACTGATTTAGAATTAGGCTATTGAATGCTGAATAGATGAATTTTTGTAAATTAAAGGTACTGTATCATCCTCAAGGATGAGAATTCCACCTTCAGATTACTAACCTTAGGTTTATTAACAAGTGTCAGGGTGCCTGCGAGTCCTTTGAATTTTTTATGTAAAATTCTGTGTGCATTTTTCTGGTGACAAAAATGTTTCTAGATTGTTACAGGCTCCTGGGCAGCATCTCCTCCCGCTACAGATAAACCTGATAAGAACAAATGCCTAAGTCTCTAAACTCTGATGAGGAGAGTTATCCTTTTGAGGATTTCCATTCTGTTTTCATAATTTTTATGTGCTGAAATGAGTTGTTTATCTTTTGCTGATAAAGCTGGGTATTGCTGACTTTCTGAATTATTTTGGAGTTCTCCCTTCATTAATATTTGAAAATTATTGACTGATGAAACAGCTTAGTTACATAATAATAAAAGTTGATATTCTTGAACCAACTATGTATTATCTGCTGTCATGAGGAATTCAGTGTTAAGCATTGCTGAAATGGAATTTAATATTCTCAAACAATGCTGCCTTCATAGCAGCTTTCATCTACTTTTGCCAGACTGAATGTATTGATATAGTACTTAATAGATTTAAAGAAATTAGTCCCTGGGCTTAAGAAATCTCTGTTCTAGAGACTGGGACATTTTAGAAGACTATTGCATTTTCTTTTGTTCAAATAGATAATTAAAGTGAGGTCGTGTCTGAATGAAGTTTTTGCTGTGCCTTCTTTATAATTCAGCTTCTCTTCCAGAGCTGTGGCACATGGGGAAATAAGCATGGGCAGAGAAGAACTGAATCACCGCAGGGCTCTAGCTGCAGGCTGCGGTTCAGCAGAGTGCGCCTGCAGAAGGGCTGTCTGCAGGAAGTCTTTGCACTGGAGGCTGTGTCTGCCTGCCTGTCCTACCTCCCCAAAGCGCAGGCTCAGCTTTGGCCTCAGACCTCTCTCTCCCCCCGGGGCTGGAGTGCCTTCTCTGTGCCCCGTCACCACACTGGTTGATGCCAAGGAAGGGAGTCCTCGTTCCCTCCCTGTGGGAAAGGAGACGTCCTTGGTTTCCGGAGGCTTTTCCAGTAGATACTTGGTTTGGGCTCCTTTCCTAACATCCTCTCTTTCAGTTTCATAAATGGCTGAATCACTTCTGTGGGCTGCCTTGAGAGCCATGCAGTCCATTCTGGTGGTTTCGATATGTGTTTGTGCAGGATACAAGTGCCAGACCAGTCACTGTTGAGATTTCCCCATTGCACTCCGTCAGTTCTGTCTTTAAAAAGCGCTAGCAGGCCGGGCACGGTGGCTCACACCTGTCATCCCAGTACTTTGGGAGGCCAAGGCAGGTGGATCACAAGGTCAGGAGTTTGAGACCAGCCTGGCCAATGTGGTGAAACCCTGTCTTTACTAAAAATACAAAAATTAGCTGGCCATGGTGGCGGGCGCCTGTAGTCCCAGCTACTCGGGAGGTTGAGGCAGGAGAGTCGCTTGAACCGGGAGGTGGAGGTTGCAGTGAGCCGAGATCGCGCCACTGCACTCCAGCCTGGTGACAGAGCAAGATACCGTCTCAAAAAAAAAAAAAAAAAAAAGCGCTAGCAAAATCCACAGCACATCAAGTCCAGTATGTACTGACTGGAGTCAGGCAGCCTCTGCACAGTGCTTGCCTTCTTACTGAGTGTTGGCGCCTATGGGGAGGCATGCGCTCTGACCTAGTGTGACAGCAGCAGCTCCAGAGCCTCTGAATTGGTGACATGGAAGTGGAAAGTTCACAGCATGTGTGCGTCCTGAAACAGGCGTTCTTTCCTAAGTGACCCAGTGTTGGGAAGAAGCTTTACCCGCCAGTAGTTGGGAAGAGTTACATATATCTTATAACTTGACATGAGTACAATCTATTAAATTTAATAAAACACCTGCCCATGTTTGATGAGGTTTCATTCCTAGCTCTAGTGAGTATTATTTAGAGACATTAATGGTCTTTGAGTAGAGATTTGAAACCATCATAGCAAACCAAAATTTTAATGGGAAAGAAACTTGATTTTGCTTATAGCTTACCACCTACACCCATAATAAATCTACACCCATAATAAATGATTTTTTTTTCTGTTAATCTTTTCTTAGCTGAAGGGTTGAAAAATGGTATATTATTGTTTTAACACGTTATTAGTGACGTTTAAGATTCTTTCCCAAAATTTATCAAACTTGTCATCTTAGGTGGGTCATGGTTTACCTGGATCCCCATAGAATGTAACTGTACATGGTTATATTCTGTGTACAGTTTGTGTTGTACCCATTTTTGTAATAGGTTTTTCTTTTTTTTTTTTTTTTTGAGACAGAGTCTCTGTCGCCCAGGCTGGAGTGCAGTGGTGCAATCTCAGCTCACTGCAAGCTCTGCCTACCGGGTTCACGCCATTCTCCTGCCTCAGCCTCTCCGAGTAGCTGGGACTACAGGTGCCCACCACCATGCCCGGCTAATTTTTTGTATTTTTAGTAGAGACAGGGTTTCATCGTGGTCTCGATCTCCTGACCTCGTGATCTGCCCACCTCAGCCTCCCAAAGTGCTGGGATTATAAGCATGAGCCACCACACCCGGCCAGGTTTTTCTTTTTTTGTGTTGTTACGTAATAGATCATGATTATTTAAGGATTTCAAATTTTTATCTCTTAGCTTATGGATTTTTTCCCATTTAAAAGATTTTCCCTTGGGAGACCAAGGCGAGTAGATCACCTGAGGTTGGGAGTTTGAGACCAGCCTGGCCAACATGGTGAAACCCCATCTCTACCAAAAATACTAAAATTAGCCATGCGTGGTGGCGCATGCCTTTAATCCCAGCTACTCGGAGGCTGAGATATGAGAATCGCTTGAACTCAGGAGGTGGAGGTTGCAGTGAGCTGAGATCATGCCATTGCACTCCAGCCTGGGCAACAGAGTGAGACTCTGTCTCAAAAAGAAAAAAAATTTCCTATAATTTTATTTATGGAATCTTGGAAAGTTTTATACATTTCTTTAGGTTCTCTACCTTTTATGTTAGGTTTATTGGTAACTACTTTATGTATTTTCAGTTCCTCATATATGGGATTTTATAAAATTCTGTGAGTTTCAGTGAACTATTTTCAAATGGTCATTCTTTGTCTTCAAATAATATAGTTTCTTTTTCTGTCTTTGTAATAATTATATCTCTTTTTCTCTTTTTCTTTGATTCAACGTTAGTCTCATCCTTGATTTTAATGGGACTGCCACTAGTAGCTCACAGTTAAGTTGAAAGTTTATCATTGCTTGTTAAAGTAGGTATTTGTGATGACATTAAACATCTAGCCAGCATGAATGTTGGATTTTTTTGGGGGGGGTATCCAAGGATAATTGCATCTCCCCCCGGCTGCCTTTGGCTTCTCATGTATTTTATTTATATTATTGTATTAGCTTCCTGACATTTAACTATTCCTGCGTTTTAGAAGACAAACCCTGTCTGTTAAAAGAGGCTGATGTTGGTCCTCTGACCTGACTTTGCAGCTGTGTCATTGAGCACGTGTGCGTCTGTGTCTAGAATCGGCCTTCGTCTGCGGTTGTTTTTGGCGGTTTCAGTGAGGTGATACAGCTTCTTAAAAAGAGTTGGTGTACTCTCTTTTTCTCTGTAGGCAGGAGAATATTTTAAGGGGACAATAATTATCTTTCTGTTCTCAAGGAGTTCCAAGCATTTGCCTAGCTTGAAGTCATCTGGAGTCCATTACCTCTCTGAGAAGAAATTTGATAACTTTTTCATTTTCAAGACAGGGTCTCCCTCCCATCACCCAGGCTGGAGTGCAGTGGCGTGATCTCAGCTCACTGCAACGTCCGCCTCCCTGGTTCAAGCGATTCTCCTGCCTCAGCCTCCACAGTAGCTGGGATTACAGGCGCCTGCCACCATGCCCGGCTAATTTTTGTATTTTTAGTAGAGACGGGGTTTCACCATATTGGCCAAGTTGGTCTCGAACTCCTGACCTTGTGATCTGCCCACCTTGGCCTCCCAAAGTGCTGGGATTACAGGCGTGAGCCACTGGGCCTGGCTTTCATTCACTTTTACTTATTCTATTCTATTTAATAATGAAAAGATAATTTAATGCTATGAATTTGCTTGTTATTACTACTTTGGTCAGTTCTTGTGTGCTTTGATTTGTTTTAATGTTCTCTTTCTTGTTTTCTGTGAATATTGAAACTGGTTTTGGTTTTCTTTTTGATCTAAGACTAATTTCAGAGAATTTTTAAGTTTTACAATATTGATGTTTTTGTTTATACTTTTGTTAATGATGGCAAATTTTGTTGAGTCAGGAGAGATTATGGCTTTTATAATTCTTGCATTGGGGATTTCAAGGCTTCCGTTATGGCCAAATATCACTCTCTCAAAATGTTGTAGGTGAATAGCATGATTCATGTATTGTAATACTACCAACGGTATTAATTAGGTCTTTTACAGCAGGAGTCTTAAACTCCAGTACTGGCAGTGGGCCTGAGGCCATGGGGATGAGTGCATGGTCCAAGAATAACACAGTGGGTCTGTGGTGAATGGGAAGGCACAGACAGGTCCTGCCCGAACACTTTCTAAAACACCATGTGGGCTTAAAACATAAGTCTGTCAGAAGGGAGCCCCACGAGGACCCGGATCTTTGTGTCTGTCCAATTCGTCGTGTCGTCCCGGACATGTTGTAGGCCTCAAGAATTATTTGTTGTCATGAAGTCGGTCTGGGGCCTCGCTTTCTATTTGTGTCTGTAGTTTGTAAACTTTATGCCAAATAAAGCTGTATTTTTTTTTTCGTCTACCTGTTCTGACAAGGACAAAAAGAAGTGTATTCCTGTGAGATTCTAGCAGCCAGATGGTATTTTAATTCACAGTAAAGTTCATGATTTGTGTTGTGTCTGGATACTATGTGTCATCCATAGTGAAACAGCCGTTGGGTTGGAAGGTAGCGCATGTGGCATCGTTGAGAGCCGGGTGTGAAGCCTGGCCTCAGCTCTGCCAGTTGTCTCCAAGTCTCATTTTCCTCATCTTCAAATGAGCTTGGGTTATTTCTCCCCCCAGCTTACTGTGAATAATAAATGAGGTGCTGTCTGTGAATCCATCAACAAAAGCGGCTCATCACACAAGGAACAATTCATACATGGCACCTATTGGTTATTTTGGTTTTTGATTCTTTTTCTCTCTTCTTGGTATTTTTGTTGACACCTCTTCCCTTTATGATTGTTTGTCTGATACATCCTGGCCTGTCCTCTCCTTTATTTACAATCTTTGGGTTATATTATGCTTTAGTTCTGTGTATTAACCGTAATACTCAGTTTTGTTTATTTTTTGAACTGATACAAGTGGATGACTTTTATCTGAAGGATTTGGCTCATTTATCCTGACTGCTGTGTTGATTATCCAGCGTCGCATCCCATGCTTGTTTTTACTGGGTGCCCGCTTGCCATGTCACTGTCACTCAGCCTGAACCCTGCTGCTTTTCGGCCTGTCCCAGCCTCTCCAGGGCTCTCAGTTGTTCACAGGCAGGGTCATTTTCCCCATTGGCTTTGCCTCTCCGCCTCGCTCGTGACTGGGGGCACCCGTCCCGATCCTGGTTTCCGCAGTGTTGGCTGTGTGTGCGCCTTTGCCGCTGCTCATCTCTCTGCCAACAGCCTCACCAATAATCAGGCCTATTTATTTTCTCATTTTCTCTTCTCCTAATTCTTGATCTCATCATTTGTGTCTCTCTTAAGCCAACGTCCCCTTAATTTCTTTGTTACCTTTTTCATCCTTAGTCTTCAGAGTCTGTGTTTTCTTGAATAATAAGACAAGTTCTCTGGTAGAACTATGCCAGTAGCAATAGTAGTATCTTTCCCATTCAGGTTATAAAATCTACTTATTGTCCTCCGCATGAGTAACCTTCCCTTGTCCCGCCCCCTGCAGACACTTTGGTGTCATCCTTAGGCTCTCCTCCTCTCCTGTGAAGGAGAAAAGTGGTATTCAGCTTTCGTGTTTATTTCCAAAATAGACCTGAATTTCTGCTTGAGTTGCATAGGTTCTGTTCCCATTCAAGGAGTGGGGACCAGTGTAGTCAGCTATGGTCCCAGGGGAGCAGGTGGGAGCTGAGGACCTTGGGTGTCTAGGGGAAGCCATTGTCACACAGTTCATTCTTCGTGTTTGAAGGCGCTGATGCCAGGGCTAGGGGTGCAGTGCTATGGTTGCTGTCAGCTGCCCTGTCGGGAGGAAGGCTGTCATTTGGGGACAGTCCCTATTGTCACTACCAGCCTTGCCTGATTAAGATGCCCTCAGATGCCCTTTCCAGAACAACTAAGGGCTCTAAATAGTTTGCTGTCCTTGCCTGGGTCTGCGTTTATGTTTCTCCCGTGGAGGGCGGAGTGGAAGGATTGGGTTTCCCTTGACACTCTTCCAGGGTGGGGCTGCAGGTTTTCTGATGGAAGTAAGCTGTGGGTTGGCTCGAAGGTCTCTCTCTACTTTGATCCTGGAGAATGTTTTCACTTTGCTTGGCATTTCAGTTGAGATTTGAGGTGGAAATTCCAGAGTTTGTGTTCTCATCGCCCTATGGATCATATCCTGGTCCTTTCTCATGCTCAGGTTTTAGAAGGAACATTTTTAATATTTTCATTCCATTGCCCTCTGACCAGACCTTTCTTCATACTCATGTTTTAAAATAAACATATTTTACATACGCTTTAAATATTAGGGCCTGTGACCTAATTTGCAATAAGAATTCTTTATAAAATAAAACTTGGTGGTATCTTTAACCTAAGGACTTGGACCTGCGAATAGATGCTTTTACACTTTATTTCCAGTGGCTGATTTTTGTTTATAGAGTAGGAGCTGCTGCCCTTGCTTGTTTTTCTCATGTCTTTCTGTTACACTTGATAGGTGACCAGTAACTTAGCCTGCACCTGCAGTGAGATCTCAATGCTGCTGAGAGCACAGGTTGATTTGTGAAGTCAGCTTACTTTGTTGCAAAGATTAAGCCTACCCTATGCAGGGAAACCAACATCATCATCATCATTATTATCATCATTTGTTGTTATAATAATAAATCAGTAGATCACCTTCGATCCATCACTATGATTGGAAGAACATCTCAGTATTACCTGCTGTTGGGTAAAATAGCACTACTGTTAATTCTACAGTAGGACTTTTTAACTTTCTCCTACTCCCCTTTGTAAGAGACAAACGAGGTATGGGTGAGCAATCCAGATATTTGAGGATTAAATGAAACATGTTGAACATCTGATTTTATATAAGATGCTGTAAAAAGCCGAAGTGAAATAGGTGTGCTATGCCATGACCTCCACTCAGCCTGCTTAGGAGGCTGAAGGCTGGGGGCCTATTAGTCCTGGGGGAAGCTGTGATTAGACGTGGTCCTTTCACGCATCAGAATCACGTTTGCTACGAAGTCTCGTAGCCAACATCAGATTTTTAGATTAACTGTAAATGTTAATAAATGAATATTACACTAACCTACTTTTGAATTCTAGGAATTTTGGAGAGTAAAAGGCTGAACCTTGTTAAAGAGAAAACCATTAATCAGACCATCGGCAACGTCGTCTACCATGCTGCCGATCTGTCGCTGTGGTGGCAGGTGCCGCAGTACTTGCTGATTGGGATCAGCGAGATCTTTGCAAGTATCGCAGGTGAGGACCTTTAGTGCCGGAGGTGTCTGAGTCCAGGCACAAGCGTGAGCGCTCGGGCATTCTGACTGTGCTGTTGGAATATGTTGAGACAAGGATAGCACAGCACTTCTGTAGTTTTTGGCAGTGTGTGGTTTAGAATATGAATCGCTAGGTAAACACACCAGTGCTGAGGTTCTCCATTCTTTGTGTAAAAACAGTATCGCAAAATATTTTCATGAAAGTTTGTTAACTACCTTGTAAGTGCCACAGGACAGAGAAGAAGAAAGCAATCGTGGTTGGATAGTTCCCAGCGGAGCCCTCGGCCATGCTGCCGTGGTGGCTGGGCTGAGCTCACAGCTCTCAGTGCGCTTCGTTTAGATGTACGTAAAGAAGCAGATCTAATTTTTAGAAACGTGTTCTCACAGGCCTCCCTTTTCCTATTAGTGAGATCCTGCAGTGGTTGAACAAGTGTATTCTGGGCAGATCTGTCCGGCTGCTGAGAGTGAGAGAGAAGAGAAGATGAGTGATATGCAGAGGTGGATGGATGTGTGGGTAGTAGTCAGTGGTGGTTTTCACTGTAGAAAACTCATCCAGAATTGGCTAATGAATTTGTAAAGGGAATAAATCACAACGGAATGGACTTCTATTTAGAATACACTACAAATCTCCGTGTCTAGTTATAAAAATCTAAATTTATAGATGGGCCTGCCAAAATAGTTTTGAAGTCTATTGCCCTTGTCACGGTGGCTCATACCTGTAACCCCAGCACTTTAGGAATCCGAGGCGGGTGGATCACCTGAGGTCAGGAGTTCGAGACCAGCCTGGCCAACATGGTGAATCCCTGTCTCTACTAAAAATACAAAAAATTAGCCAGGCATGGTGGCACGCACCTGTAATCCCAGCTACTCGGGAGGCTGAGGCAGGAGAATCGCTTGAACCAGGGAGGCGGAAGTTGCGGTGAGCCAAGATCCTGCCATTGCACTCCAGCCTGGGCAACAAGAGCAAAACTCCGTCTCAACAAAAAAAAGATAAAGTATATTGCCTCTGAAATAGAATCCTTATGTAGATTTCCCAGTTTAGTGTGTGTACTTTGTTTTCAAACTCCCATTCCTTGACAATATAGGAAAATTTTTTCTCTAATCTCTTTAAGGAACACAAAAGTCTAAGAGCCAACAAATCACATTACCTTTAAGCTTGAGAGCAAGGAGTTTAACTTTCTGCTCATTGAATTTATTAGGAATTATCCTAATGGCTAGGAGAATGAACAGTTGGCCCATAGCCATTGATTCTTGGTCGCTAGTAAGCATCGTCCTCCTAATAGAAAAGAGGTTGTGCCTGTCTGCAGGACTCAGTCCCTAGGAGACCCCACGCTTCCTCTGCTATATTAGGTGAAAGCTTTGATCCCATGTGTTAAAGTGCCCCTTTCACAAAAACGACCCTCCCTTTTCTTTCCTCAGGCCTGGAATTTGCATACTCAGCTGCCCCCAAGTCCATGCAGAGTGCCATAATGGGCTTGTTCTTTTTCTTCTCTGGCGTCGGGTCGTTCGTGGGTTCTGGACTGCTGGCACTGGTGTCTATCAAAGCCATCGGATGGATGAGCAGTCACACAGACTTTGGTAAGAGCCAGCATCCTGTCCCTTTTGAAAATAGCCAGTGAGGGGGAGGCGCAGGCACTCAGGAGATGGCTGAGTGAGCGGAGGTGTTTTCACGTGGATGGCCTGTCCCGAGCTGCCTGTCCACCGCTCCTTCCACAGCACTGCTCTGTGCTGCTTGCATCACTGTGTTTCCTTACATCATGAACGGTTTTCAGGAGACAAGCAGGCCTCTCTTCTCATCCCAGGGGCCAAGCCTGCCCTGGCCACAGCCCAGCGAGCAGCTGCTGCAGCCACCGCTCCTTACGGGGACGTCCTTGACAGACAAGCACCTTCTCCACGCCCGTCCAGCTCAGTCTTCGTGAGGCAGCTGAATCTGTACCCCAAGCTTCCCTTTCTTTAACTTGGTGGTGTACTTTCGTTTTCTTTTCCTAACAGCACCTTTTCTGATACGAAAAAGACAAGATAGATAGTAAGTTACTTTTAAAAATAAACATATTACTTGTGATCAATCATAATGGGTTTTTACAATTAATACCAGTAGGTGGCATCTTGAGTGTTGAACAGAACCACTCATAAAAGCTGAGTTTTGCTTTCTCCAGGTTTACGATGCCTTTAAATGGACCCAGCAAGCGAAGGTTTCTTCTTTCTTTTCCTTTGTAAAAATATTTTATCTACAGAAACAACCTTGTTACTTTTTCTTGTATAATCATGTGGCATTTGCTCTGGTCCGGTAGTACTTAGCCACTTTTAGGTTACAAATCCCCTTGAGAATCTGGTGAACGTTTAGGGACTTTTCTGCAGAAATTGCAGAATTCCCAGAGCCCTTCCATGAGTATAGGCCTGTGGAGTCCTAATGTAAAGCCCAGAACTCCAAGCCACCAATGTCCCATGGACACTTGTCACTGATGTTTTCTGGCTGTGGGTGCCACCTCCATGGCCAGCTCAGGGCTGCTTGCTCTGAGGAGGACATGTGGATTTGGGGCTGGTGTTTCATTCCCACCTTCTCCTGAAGATGAACAGCCCGAGGAATAAGATCCTCTTGTGGTACATGGGACAGACTTCCTTCAAAGAAAGACCAAAGTCCATAGTTCTGAAGACGAAGATTCTGGTTCTTGGTTTTTGTTTTATCTTTAAATGTGTCATAAAGGATTGGCTGGTCATTCTCGTTGCTTTCTAGTCATTTAATCCTCATTCTTAATTTAATTTCACATCTCAGAGTTGACCTTTCATTCATCATTTCTGTCTGACAGGTTGTTTGTGGACTTCCCCTGCATTGGTGCTCTCAGGGCGTGTGTGCTGGGGATGGGCCAGGATCTGTCTGTTGTTTTCAAGAATGGGAAATGTTTCATGAAGGAGGCGTGTTTGCCAGCAGCCCCCAGGCTGTGCCCCCTGGCTGCATGGCAGCCTCCTTGGTTCACACCAGTAAGGAGAGTTGGAGCTCATCTGTCGAGCAGCCCTTGGCGTCCTGGGTAGAGAAATAAAGGCTGTGACATGGGAAATCCACAGGAAGCCCGCTCCTCAGAGAGAGTTCTCCCTGAATTTGTGTGGCCTTGGAAGGAGCAGCAGCTCTCAGGCCAGGTTCCGGGGGTGTCTGTGCCACCCTTATCCCTGGCCCTACCTCACCATCTCGTGACCGACACAGGAAATAGCTTTCTGTAAAGTCACAGCACTGTGAAGGGAGAGTCCCCAGAGTTTTGTTACATTGTGTTTTTCTTACCGACCTCCCAGCAGGCTCCTTTTATTAGTGTTATTTAAGCTGGGGAGAACGTGCATACCATAGTAAAGGTCTCTAATCTTAAGCACAGCTTGCTGTGTTTGCAGTCTGGATCTCAGTGGAGGAACTTTTGGAAGCCCTCCTTGCCTCTCTCCTTAGTTTACTGCCCCCCTCAGAAGGTAAACCTGTTCTATTCCAGCGTTGGTCCCCACAGGTTACCCTCGCCTGTCCTGTGCTGGGCTGTGGCTGTCTCCTTTCACTTAGCACTTCTGTCTGTGAGCATCTCCCCTGTACTTCTGAGTACTGCTCCTTCGTACGAGCCGTCACGAGGCATTTATCCATGCTGTTGTCGGTGGGTGCCCAGATGTTGGCAGTGTGGGGCTGTTGTGAATACCTGCCCTGCCTGTGAGCCTGGGGGGCGGGTGCGCTCATTCCTTGGGGACCCAAGAGTCTGTCTTGTCAAATGTCAAAACCCTAGTGTTTGCCATCTTCCTGTGTAATTATCCTTCTGTCTGTGAAGAGGCCCAGGAATGCACGGCAGGTTTTCTCCCAGGCGACTTAGGCGTTTCCGAATACCCTGTGTAATGCCACCCTGAGACAGACCCTGACGAGGCGTGGTGTGTCTGCCTGCGGGCTTGGACCGCACCTCCACTCCCGCAGGGCCGCGCAGCCTTCAGTTCATGTGGCCTCAGCCTTCAGTTCACGTGGCCTGCCAGCTTTAGCTCGGGAAGTTTTCAGTGACTGGTACATTTGGGGAGACTCGTATTTCAAAATAGGCACATAAAATGATGTCGTTTATATTTTGATGACAACCTCGTCTCAGTAGCGTCAAATGCCAGTGTTGGGACAGCAGTGACAGCTAGTGCCAGGCTCCAGGAAGCTGGGGTTTGCATTTCCACTGAGTGCCCAGGACAGAGCCTGGTAGGTCGTAAGGGTTGAACGAATAGTGTAAAACATCTGTTGAAAAAATAAAGCTTTAGTCTGGTAGAATTCAGGGTATTAGCAGCTGTCTTTCTAAATCAGTAGACACAGGAAATGATCTTCTTTAATTGGTGTGAATGAGCACTCTTTAAAAATGTGTGAGATCTCACCATACAGATGTGTGGGTTTTTTTTTTTTTTTTTTTTTTTTTTTTTGAGATGGAGTTTCACGTTTGTTGCCCGGGCTGGAGTGCAGTGGTACCATCTTGGCTCACTGCAGCCTTTCACCTCCCGGGTTCAAGTGACAATTCTCTGGCCTCAGCCTCCCAAGCAGCTGAGATTACAGGCGCCAGCCACCACGCCTGGCTAATTATTTGTATTTTTAGTAGAGACGGGGTTTCATCGTGTTGGCCAGGCTGATTCTGAATTCCTGACCTCAGTTGATCACCCACCTTGGCCTCCCAAAGTGCTGGGATTACAGTCATAAGCCACTGCGCCTGGCCCAGACGTGTATTATATTGTGTTTATTTGATAAATGCACTGTTGAACATGCAGTATATGTTCAGATAGAAAAAGGAAGTGCCAGAATAACCCAGCTTTAAAAAGGTCTTCAGAAGAAAGGAAGTCTCACTTTTTAAAATAAACAAATGAGAAAGTGTTTTTGAAGAGGAGCAGAAAATGGAGCAACTTGATTCCAGAGCACTCGCTCCCCTCGTGATGTTGCCGGCCACACGCACCTGCGACCTCGTGCAGAAACGTGCAGCAGTGCTTTCCAGCTGGTGGCAGGTGATGTACATGGTACGGAGACAGAGGGACGCCATGGTGGCAGGAGCAGCCGTGGTGGAGAGCACAGGGCGACACTCGGCTTGGCCTGGATGACCAGTCATGACGAGCTAAAAGTCCTGCCGTTTTCTGCTCACACGTCGTTCCCACGTCTGCACATTGAGTGGTGATGTTAGCCGGTGCTGGCTGAACTCTGTTCTCTGGCGGAGAGACTGCCAGTTTGCAGAGTGGACAGTTCCAGACCTCTGTGAAAGGGGGATCATGACCGTGGCACGTGTTGCTAGCACCCTCACCGCGTCCAGACTCCCTCTTGAGTGCCTTTCTGAAATGCTGCTCCTCGGCGCTTTCCCCATTTTACAGATGAGGAAACTGAGCACAGAGGTCTCAGAGGCCGGATTCAAGCCTTATAGCTTGAGCTGCATGGCCCATGATCTTATCCTCTGTGCTGTCCAGCCTGCTTGGGATGCAGACGTTGCGTGTAAAGTGCCTCCATAGTGCCCGGGACTCGGTTGGGTATTCAGTGTATGCTAACTCTTTGTATTAAAGTATGCAGAGGTATCTGCTTGTGTCAGTTTGAGGATGCTAAAACCTGAACATGTTTAAGACACATTCAGAAACCAGCTCATCTCTTCCTTTGATACATTGCCCAGCTGTCGGCCCTGGTGTGTTGGGTGTGTCAGTGACCCATGCAGTGAATCCAGAATTCACGATGTTCAGGCTGTGTCATAGTGCAATCTGTGATGCTAAAAAGTGCACAGGTTCCATAGCCAAGTTACAAAGACGCTCACCTCAGGATTCGATAAAGAGATAGTCAGGCGCTCTTTTGTTATCTTCGCATCTGCCTTCCTCAACAATGCAGTTCCAGGCCAATCATAACTATAAATGGAGGAAGTTCCCCTGAAGTAGTTGAGGAGAGGAACACTGCCTCAGAAAAGGCAGGAAGGAAATAACACCAGACCGGCTAACACTTGTTTCTGGTGGCAAGAACACAGGAAGGTAATTTTTTACTTTGCCCAGCTGTTCTGGTGTGGGGGGATTAGCAGTCACAGGAGGCTGGGTTGGCAGGTTTCCCCTTGCTCCTGATTTGCAGCCTTGTCGTGCGGCCTTAGGCACACTCTCCGTCGACACTGTCCCCTTCACCACCGCATGTGTGTCTGCAGGCCACGCAGGGATTTTCCTGAGTACTGGGGAGCTACCTTTTCTAGTTTCCTCAGGGAACCTCCTCCTTTTACCTTACAGAAGAGAGGGATGGGCTGCTAGGGGCAGGTGGGGGGCTGCAGACAGCCCACCTCCAGAGCCCCCGGTGGCGATGTATCTGACTTCAGGGAGCTTCTTCAGTGGTTTTGAAAGCAAGATGCTTGTGCATTTTGGACTACAGAGACAACATTTGTTACTTTTTTTATGACTCCAGTTAAACCTTAGTGGGAACCAGATTAAATAGTAAAGTCTTGAAAAAATACCTGTAGCAGCGCAGCTTACCTGCCGCTTTCCTTTTGTTTTCTCCAGGTAATATTAACGGCTGCTATTTGAACTATTACTTTTTTCTTCTGGCTGCTATTCAAGGAGCTACCCTCCTGCTTTTCCTCATTATTTCTGTGAAATATGACCATCATCGAGACCATCAGCGATCAAGAGCCAATGGCGTGCCCACCAGCAGGAGGGCCTGACCTTCCTGAGGCCATGTGCGGTTTCTGAGGCTGACATGTCAGTAACTGACTGGGGTGCACTGAGAACAGGCAAGACTTTAAATTCCCATAAAATGTCTGACTTCACTGAAACTTGCATGTTGCCTGGATTGATTTCTTCTTTCCCTCTATCCAAAGGAGCTTGGTAAGTGCCTTACTGCAGCGTGTCTCCTGGCACGCTGGGCCCTCCGGGAGGAGAGCTGCAGATTTCGAGTATGTCGCTTGTCATTCAAGGTCTCTGTGAATCCTCTAGCTGGGTTCCCTTTTTTACAGAAACTCACAAATGGAGATTGCAAAGTCTTGGGGAACTCCACGTGTTAGTTGGCATCCCAGTTTCTTAAACAAATAGTATCACCTGCTTCCCATAGCCATATCTCACTGTAAAAAAAAAATTAATAAACTGTTACTTATATTTAAGAAAGTGAGGATTTTTTTTTTTTTAAAGATAAAAGCATGGTCAGATGCTGCAAGGATTTTACATAAATGCCATATTTATGGTTTCCTTCCTGAGAACAATCTTGCTCTTGCCATGTTCTTTGATTTAGGCTGGTAGTAAACACATTTCATCTGCTGCTTCAAAAAGTACTTACTTTTTAAACCATCAACATTACTTTTCTTTCTTAAGGCAAGGCATGCATAAGAGTCATTTGAGACCATGTGTCCCATCTCAAGCCACAGAGCAACTCACGGGGTACTTCACACCTTACCTAGTCAGAGTGCTTATATATAGCTTTATTTTGGTACGATTGAGACTAAAGACTGATCATGGTTGTATGTAAGGAAAACATTCTTTTGAACAGAAATAGTGTAATTAAAAATAATTGAAAGTGTTAAATGTGAACTTGAGCTGTTTGACCAGTCACATTTTTGTATTGTTACTGTACGTGTATCTGGGGCTTCTCCGTTTGTTAATACTTTTTCTGTATTTGTTGCTGTATTTTTGGCATAACTTTATTATAAAAAGCATCTCAAATGCGAAATCCATGAGCCGGTTCTTTGCGTGGTTTGTCCTCAGTCGCTGCTGGTGTGGCGTGTGGATTCCTCCCCTGTCGTGTAGAAGGCGCAGAGCTTCCCGAGTCGGGAACTGAGGGGAGGGTGGGGAAGTGCGCTCCTGCACAGCCCTCGGATGCTCCGGCGCGTCTCCTGATTCTGCAGCCTCCTCTGCATGGAAGGGTAGTTTCAGCATTTGGAGAAGACAAAAAACAAACCAAAAAACCCTCACGTTGTTGTTCGTTGTGTAATAGAAAGTATAGAAAAACTATAGAAAAATACAAGACATTTCAACCAGTGGAAGTAGGATAGAGTGAATACAGATGACACTCATGGTATCACTGGATCTCAGAGGGGCCGGAGTTGTGAGCCCAGGTTAAAAAAAACGGGGCAGGTTTCGAAAAGCCTTGTGCTACGAAGGATACCACTTTCCGGAGACAGAACTCATGTCTTCAGGATATATCACATGTAAAAATAACCCATGGTGTCAAACAGATTTTCTTCATAAGGCCTTTGCACAAAAGGGGAAAGGCAGGTGGCGTCGGGAGAGCTCTCGGATCCTTCCTCCGGTGCGTTGTGCCCTTGATGCCCCGGGCTGTGTGAACGGTGAGTGAGTAACCACATCCATCCGCTCCGTCTGTCCCGCCAGCCCCTGCTCCTAGCTAGGTGCACCCTCGATGTTACGAGGGAAATTCTCTCCAGAAAGTCAGTTGGAGGGTTGACAGAGTCATCAGGGTACCAGCCTGTGATATTGTGATGAGATAAGAAACAGATGTGGTCTGGGCCCTAAATCCCTGGGACAGAACTCCTGCAACCCCTGTAGATAGGGCACGAGGAGAAGCCCACATTTTCATATTTGCTCTTTGACCCCTTGACCCCAGCTCCTGGCCTAGAGCTGCTAAGGCCTTTGTAATTTCCTGGGTGATGGGAGCATCTTTTGTTCTAATGAGGCCATCTGTGGTGGCTCCTGGACAGCCTCAGGAGAGGGGGTGCTTGCTCGGGGAACCAGTCTGGTGATTGGAGTGGGGGGACTTTCAGCCCTCCCCCTCCCCCACCTCCAGGAAGTTGGGGGGGTGGGGGTAGAAGGTGGAGTCGATCACCAGTGGCCAGTGGTGTGTCATCAGTCATGACTACGTAATGAAGCCTCCATAAAACCCCAGAGGCCTGGGGTTCTGAGAACTTCCTGGTTGCTGAACTCATGGGGGTTCCCCGAGGGTGGCACACCCAGCGGGCATGGGAGCTTCCCGGTCCCCTTCCCACACACCTCACCCTGCACACCTCCATCTGCCGTTCCTCTGTGCCCTTGTCACAGCCTTGATAATAAACGGGCACGCGTGAGTAAAGCGTTTCCCGAGCTCAGAGCTGCTCTGGCAAATCAGCTGAACCTGGAGAGGGAGTTCCTGCTCTGTAGTTGGTCAGAAGCGTAGGTGACAGCCCACTACTTGCGCCTGGCATCTGCCGGGGCGGGCAGCCTCGTGGGCCTGAGCCCTCAGCCCTGGGATCCTGATGCTGCCTCCAGGTGGGTGGTGGCAGGGCATATGCCAGGATATTATAGGATGCTCAGTGTCCGCCGGAGCATCGTGTGACGTGGGGAAGGAGAGCCACTTTCCCATCCTGCATCAGAAGTGTTCTGTGAGAGTAAAGACTGTTTTTTTATCAGACAACTTTTTACATTTTCTTCTGAATTTAGATAGTTGATCAGGTTCACCCTACAGCATGAAGCGGTGATTGAATAAATAAGCATGAAACATGTGCCTGCCCTGAAGACGTCGGTGTGTGTGTAACTGGCTTTTCTTGGCCTCATGAAGCAAACGTCTTCTCGCTCCATGTGAAGATGCTCAGCCAGACTTTCTTTTCGGGGAAGCTGGGCAGGACAGAGCTTTTCATTTCTCCACAGTGTCATGGGCAGATGGGGAGAAAAAGTTCTTAAGACTGACAGGGACCCACTGGGCCTGTGGTCAGTGATCCCAGGGTGAGACTGCGACCGCATGTCCTGCCTGAATTTGCGGACGGGCTGTACAAGTACAGGGTCCCTGGGGCCGGCCTCGTGCCCCCCACCCCCAGGGGCCGAGATGCTGCTTCCCGGAGGATTGGAGAGCGCACAGTACCACATCACATCACACTTCCCAACAGCCCATCATCTCAGAGTCACACCAGGCCCGTCCTGATCACTTCTGAATTCTAGGTAATAAAAAATGGATGATCCTCAATATTACCAATTATTTCACTTGGTGCAAAATCCCATCACCTGGAAAAAAAAGCACATTAAGCAGGAGCGGAATGCTGCAATAATGTGAAACTGCTGTGTGCCGCAGAGTGATACACACTGTTATTAACACGGGCCACATATGTTAATGGGGATTCTCAAACAATGAAGTCACTTGAGTAACTATTTTTAAATGTTCATTCTCACATGTTCTTCTTTTGGAAATAGGGCCTTTTAAAGGAGATAATGCCTACAAAGTGATTTGTTGGACTAGAATCTATTAAGCAAATGAAAAGTACAGAATGTAAAGGGTGAAAGAAAAAGCAGCCGAATGATGGAAAGCTGGATAGTAACAAGAAAACTCAGCATTTGCTGGTTTCCAAATGAGCTAAGCATGCTCAGGTTGTCAAAGGGCTGCATGGAGAGGAAGCCAGCCCAGTGCCAGGGACCTTGTTTTTTCTCTGTTTGACCGAATCCCAAACCAATGCATCGTGAGAGACGTGTCTTGAGACGAGATGAGCAGACACCCCCAGACGTTCAGGGACTAGGCCTGGTCACAGCCTCCCAGTGGTGAGGACGGCACAGAAACCTGTGTTCTGGTCTCTGTGCCGGGCTGTGTCTCTAGTGACATCAAAATTCAGCCACAGAACGCATAGGGAGTTGAGGAGGCCGACAGGTAGCACGGCATTTCCCAGAAACGCAGGATGAGCCCCTTGACCTCTAGGGCTTTGATGGTGGGAGTTGAAGTTGGGCAGGTCCATTGCATAACTCCCCTTACCCATCCCTAGCATCTCCCTGTTGCTTAATCAGAGCTGCTGTCAGGGCAGATTGCTGGAGGTCAGGAGTTTGGGACCAGCCTGGCCAACATGGTGAAACCCCGTCTCTATTAAAAATACAAAAAATTAGCCGGGCGTGGTGGTGCATGCCTGTAACCCCAGCTACTCAGGAGGCTGAGGCAGGAAAATCACTTGAACCTGCGAGGCGGAGATTGCAGTGAACCCAGATCGCGCCACTGCACTCCAACCTAGGTGACAGAGGGAGACTCCGTCTCAAAAAATAAATAAATAAAAACTGTATTGGTATATTAATCCTTTTCTGGAACTCTCAAGTCAATCACGAATCCCTTCTTTCAAGCCTAAAGGACTTCTCCAGACAGCTGTCCAAAAGCGGCTCTGCACGTCTGATTGCAGTGATTGGGGTTGGGAAGGATGCATTTGGAGTCACCTGCGGGTGCTCGGTGAGGGCCTGGATGTTGATGGAGTAGGGACCTGAGGTTCCCAGGCTAAGGAGGTGTCTTGGAAGCCAAGTGAAGGGAGTGTTTCCAGAGGATGGGGTGGTCCACGTGTCACAGGCTCCTGCCGGCAAGCTGAGCTCTGTGTGGGGTCCTGACAGGTTGCAGACAGCTGGAGGAGAGAGGAGACGCCCTCAAGGGACTCACAGAAAAGAGGAATGCAGGGCAAGGGAGGTTTCCACTTTTAAGAATGGAGAAGTGAAAATAAGCTTCTTCCTGAAAGTCTGGCATCGGAGTAAAGTGACTTTTTTTTTTTTTTGAGATGGAGTCTCACTCTGTCGCCCAGGCTGGAGTGAAGTGGCACGATCTTGGCTCAGTGCAACCTCTGCCTCCCGGGTTCAAGCTATTCTCCTGCCTCAGCCTCCCTAGTAGCTGGGATTACAAGTGCCCGCCACCAGGCTCAGCTAATTTTTGTATTTTTAGTAGAGATGGGGTTTCATCATGTTGGTCAGGCTGGTCTCAAACTCCTGACCTCAGGCGATCTGCCCACCTCGGCCTCCCAAAGTGTTGGGATTACAGGTGTGAGCCACTGCACCCGGCCTTTTTTTTTTTTTTTTGAGACGGAGTTTCGCTCTTGTTGCCCAGGCTGGAGTGCGATGGTGAGATCTTGGCTCACCGCAACCTCCGCCTCCTGGGTTCAAGCAATTCTCCTGCCTCAGCCTCCCGAGTAGCTGGGATTAGAGGCATGCGCCACCACCCCAGCTAATTTTGTATTTTTAGTAGAGACGGGGTTTCTCCATGTTGGTCAGGCTGGTCCTCAACTCCCGACCTCAGGTGATCTGCCCACCTCAGCCTCCCAGTGTGCTGGGATTACAGGCATGAGCCACCACGCCCGGCTTTTTTTTTTTTTTTTTTTTTGAGACAGGGTCTCTCTCTGTTTCCCAGGCCGGAGTGCAGTGGTGCAATCATGGCTGGCTGCAGCCTTAACCTCCTGGGATCAAGCAATCTTCCCACATCAGCCTCCAGAGTAGCTGGGACTACAGACACACATTACACCCAATTACTTTTTTATTTTATATTTTGTAGAGTCACGGTCTCACTATGTTGCCCAGGCTGGTTCAAATTCCTGGCCTCAAGTGATACTCCCGCCTCACCCTCCCAAAACACTGGGAATACAGGCATGAGCCACTGCACCTGGTCAGGAATTTAGTAGAGATGGGGTTTCACCACGTTGGCCAGGCTGGTCTCGAACTCCTGACCTCAAGTGATCCACTCGCCTCGGCCTCCCCAAGTGCTGGGATTAGAGGCGAGAGCCACCACACCCAGCCATGTGACTATTATTTTTGTGGGAAAGGGCTGGATTCCTGACCTAGCTCTCTGTGTTTGGTGAAGGCTGGGGTTTGGATTTAGTGAGTCAAAAGTGAGGTGTAAATGGTGCAGATGCTTTTACTGGCCCTTACACACAGCAGGATCCTGAGCCTGGCAAGAGGATGCCATTCAGGGAGAAAGAAGCCTCCAGGTCCTCACTGTTAGCAAAGCCTAAGGGGTAAACAGAGGGGGCTGTGAACTTGGAGGAGAAAAAGAGGGAGTGGAAAAAGCCATGCATCCACACGGCTCTGCAGGACTTAGGGCCAGGCAGGCCCAACCCAGCATGAATGTTCGAGGCCATGGGAGCCAGCCCTCCTGTGACATAGCCACCTCTCAGCATCAGAGAAGTAGATGGCTGCTGTACTGGGCTGACTAATAATAGCCCCAGCCTTCATGTCCATCCAGAACCTGTGACCTCATTTGGACAAAGTGTCTTTGCAGATGGAATCAAGTTAAGATGGGGCCACACTGGATTCATGTGGGGCCTAAATCCAATGTGACTGGTGTCCTTGGAGGAAGGGAATTGGGACCTCCTTAGGGGCTGTCATCCTGCCTGCTCCAGTGGCACAGAAACCAAACTTTGCTGCCTGGCAGCCAAATTCCAGGGTGTTGAAGCCACCTGCGTGAAGCCCTGGCATGTTGTCACAGGAGAAGCTCATCGTCAATCAACAATGCCTTCCTCACAAAGCTGGTAAGAATGCTAAAACTGCTCCCTCCAGGACCGGCAGTGCTAATAGCTTATAAAATTAAACTTCTTTCCTACAGATCTAGACATGAAATTTTATTCTTTATATTACTGCACAAATTTACTTCATGGGTACAGATACGGACATGAACAAAATTACCAACTTTAGAGAACTGAATTAAGAAAAGAGCCCTCCCCGCTCTGAAGTCATCCAAACTCCCCGAGCAGAGAAAACAAGCCCCAGCGGGCCACCTTATTTCCTTTTCATTTTTTGGTCTAGGACTTTAATTTTTCTACATCCTGAACACAAAAGTCGTATGTTCCTGAAGTCAGAAAAACCGCAATAGCCCATTTATACCCACCAGAAGTTAAACCTGTGCTCTGCGTGTTAAGGCTGATGAAGGAGCACTTCATTACGCCACTCAAACTGGAATCCCATCTCCGCCGGGCAGAAGCTCTTCTGGAGAGCTGCTTTTCATGCTCACACTGCAATTTCACATCCATCAGGGAAATGGGAAAGAGGCACTCGGAGCTGTCACTCAGGGATGGGCCACAGGATTTGGACCGAGAGTCCTTTCTGGAGGGGCATGGCCTTCTACACAGAAACCTACAGTAGGCGGGAAGACGCCGTGAGATGGGACGAGGGAGTGAGTGTGCGTGGGATGGGCACAACTTGCCTCGTGAGCAGGTGGACCCTTGAGGGCTGGTGCCCAGGACCACTCCTGCCCAGCACCAACCACTGAGCCCCACCCCTGGGCCCTCGCACCTCCCCATGCCCAGGCCAGGAAATCGTCCCCTCCACATAGGTTTCTTGGAGGGATTATGAGGTTGGTGGGCTGGGGAGGGGCGCCCATTTGTAGATGCCTGATCCTGCTCAGGCACTTTGCAGCATTTGACCACCAGTGTGGATGGTGACCAAAGTGAAAACACCTGCTCCAGGAGCCAGCTGTGCCCCCTCTCCAAGCTGGAGCAGTCTCCCTGGGCCAGGAGGACTCGCCTCTGGCGTTTTTTGCCAGCAGCCTCCGGGATCCCCTGATGATGCTGTCAGCATTCAATTTGGCGGATTTGTCACCCACTGAGAGCCCCTCATGTATTTATTTTATTTTATTATTTTTTGAGACGGAGTCTCGCTCTGTCACCCAGGCTGGAGTGCAGGGGCAAAATCTCAGTTCACTGCAACCTCCGCCTCCCGGGGTCAAGCGATTCTTGTGCCTCAGCCTCCGAAGTAGCTGGGATTACAGGCACCTGCCACCACGCCTGGCTAATTTTCATATTTTTAGTGGAGACAGGGTTTTGTCATGTTGTCCAGGCTGGTCTTGAACTCATGGCCTCAAGTGATCTGCCCACCTCGGCCTCCCAAAGTGCTGGGATTACAGGTGTGAGCCACCGTGCCCAGCCAGGAGCCCCTCATTTAAAATGACCTGCTGGCCAGTGCCAGGAGCCCTGCCCTAAGCAAGCGCCTCACAGGGTCCTTCACCCAAGGCAGCCTCTTAAAGTGAGTTAGTGTTGGGAGCAGGCATTAGATCATGAGCTTGTTCTCCATTAAAAAAACTTACTAAATTGACACAAATTGTATATATTAATATTTATTGTGTACCACACATTCGGAAACGTATACATGGTGGAATGGTTACATCGAGCTAATTAACGTGCATTACTGCACATATTTTACTTGTGATTAATAACACTTGAGACCTCTCATCAATTTCAAGAACATAATACCTTGCTATTAACTATAGCTGTGTTATGCAATAGATCTCTTGAATTTTTTCCATTTTAATTAACTTTGGGTTAGGATTCAGACCAGCTTTGCTGTGGGCTGAATAATTACCACCCCCGCCCCCAACCCAAGGTGTCCTGCCCTGATCCCGGAACCTGTGATTGTCACCTCACATGACAGAGGGCATCTTTCTTGTGCGATTATGTTGATGCTGTGGAGATGAGCAGATTGTCCTGGACTAGCCAGGTGGGCCCCAAGGTCACAAGGCTCATTATGAGTGAAAGACGGAGGCAGGAGGTCAGAATCAGAAGATGGGAGGACAAGATCCAGGTGGGAGTGACGTGCTCTGGAGGAGGGAGGGGCCACAAGCTCAGGGGCTTGAGCGCCTCAGGGGTTTGGGCGCCTCTGGAAGCTGGAAGAGGCCGGGAAATAGGTTCTCCCCCTGGAACCTGCAGGGGGAACACGGCTCTGTCAGCACGCTTGATTTTAGCCAGTGTGTTAATTCGTTCGGGCTGCTATGACCAGAATATTATTGGGACGGCTTCAACAACAGGAATAGATTCTTCAGAGTCCTGGGGGCTGCGGCGTCCAAGGTCAAGGCACTGGCTGATTGGATGGCTGGTGAGGCCCCTCCTGATTTGCCCACTGCCTGTTTCATGCTGTGTCCTCACGTGAGGCAGAGATCCTCTCCTTCCTATCCCTTCTCATAAGGGCACTAACCCCATCACGAGGGTGCCACCCTCCAGGCCTGATTGCCTCCCAAAGCCCCACCTCCTGATACCATCACCCTGGTGACTGGGCTGTCACATAGGAATTTTACCAGGCACAGTGTCTGGAGTGACCAGTGAGTCCCATTTCAGACTCTGACCTCCAGAACTGAAGAATAATACATCTGTGCTGTTTTAGGCCACCAGGTTTTCGATACTTCGTTGAAGCAGCAATAGGAAATGAATGGAGGATATTGGTTTGAATGTAGTAAAACTTCCAGGCCGCACTCACGTGCTTCGTCATGTTTTTGAAGCTACAGAAGTAAGTGATCATCTCACAGCCCTAAGGTAGTTCAGCATTCTCTCCTGGGTCTTTTGAATTTGGGGAAACCAGGGACTGGTTCCCTACCCCAGCTCCCCCGTAGGCAGCATGGTGAAGCTATCCTATGCCCCAGGGCTGAGATGGGGCATGAAGTTGAATGGAGTGCCAAAAATCTTGGTAGCCAGGATAAAAAATATTTAACTCAATATTTTAAAAACTCAAAATTAATGCAAAAAACTCCATGATGAAAAAAAGGCTGCAACAGTGAACACAGGCAGGACTGTTTCTGCCCTTTCAGACTCAGCCGCCCCCACCTCTCCTGCCAGGCCCTGCTGCACGTGGTCACTCCGTTTCTCAGCCCTTGGACTTGTCTATTTCAGACTGTAACATCCCTGGCACTCCCCCACGCGCAGCACAATCTCTGGCTACTCTGAAATGTAAATGGGTGACTTATCCAAAGCCACCTAAATGAGCCAGAATTTACAACTTCACTTCTATGTAAGTCATTTGTCTTTTCTAGAGGGAAGGAATGGACACAGTTCAGGGAGCATCAGAGAAGCTTCAGGGTGGATTTATGCTCAGCATTTAAAATCTTTAACCCAAACCAAGCCCGGTATACCCAAAGGACTTCCCGCTTACTGCTCTTTAGGGCTCAGATATTTCAAAGACATAAAGCAAACCACACAGGTCAGCATTTTTCTAATGTTCTGGACACCATGCTGAGTTCAAATCGACTCATTCACAATGAATCATAATAACATCGGAAGCAATGCCAAGAGAGTCAGAGAGGCCGGGCACAGAGGCTCACACCTGTAATCCCAGCACTTTGGGAGGGTGAGGCAGGCGGATCACTTGAGGTCACGAGTTCAAGGCCAACCTGGCCAACAGGGCAAAGTCCCGTCTCTACTAAAAAAACACAAAAATTAGCCAGGCGTGATGGTGAGTACCTGTAAGCCAAGCTACTCAGGAGATTCTCAAGTCTCCGCTGAGGCAGGAGAATCACTTGAACCCAGGAGGCGGAGGTTGCAGTGAGCCAAGATCACACCAGCGCACTCTAGCCTGGGTGACAGAGCAAGACTCCCTCTCAAAAAGAGGAAAAAAAAAATTAGCCAGACATGGTGGTGAGCACCTGTAAGCCAAGCTACTCGGGAGGCCGAAGCACGAGAATTACTTGAACCGGGGAAGTGGAGGTTGCAGTGAGCAGAGATCGTGCCTCTGCACTGCAGCCTTGGCCACAGAGAAAGACTCTATCTCAAAAAAAAGGAGAGTCAGAGAAGAAGATTCAGCCTGGTTATCATTGTGCATCAGAGGTCGTTCATTCATTCACTCCCATCATTCAGTCACTCAACAAATATCCCTCAGCCACCTGTATATTTATGCTGTAGCTCCATTTTAGACAGGGACACAGCAGTGAACTAAACAGGAACTCAGCTTTCCTGGAGCCCACATTTTCATGCAAGAGACAGAGAATAAACGTGTCATCAAACAGTCACATATCAGAAAGTGAAAGCGTTTTGAAGAAGCAATAGAAGATGATGTGATGCATGATGAAGATGGAGGAGGGGGTCTGCCTTAGGTTGGCTTGTCCAGGGACGCCGAGGGACCAGGAGCCAGCTTGCTAATATCGAAGGACAGAGTTTCAGGCCAGGAGAACTAAGGGAAAAGCCCAAAGTCAGGAGAAAGCTTGATGCATGCAGTGAACAGAAAGAAGGTCTGGGAGGGAGATGGGGGAGGCAGGGCTGACGTGTAGAGGCGGTGAGTAACTCCACACAGAGCAGGACTCCGGAGCAAACCACTTTCTTTTTTTTTTTTTTTTTTTTTTTTTTTGAGGTGGAATCTTGCTCTGTCACCCAGGCTGGAGTGCAGTGTCATGGTCTTGGCTCACTGCAACCTCCGCCTCCCGGGTTCAAACAATTCTCCTGCCTCAGCCTCCCAAGTAGCTGGGATTACAGGCGTGTGCCACCATGCACAGCTAATTTTTGTATTTTTAGTAGAGACCAGGTTTCACCATGTTGGTCAGGCTGGTCTTGAACTCCTGACCTCCAGAGATCTGCCTGCCTCAGCCTCCCAAAGCGCTGGGATTACAGGCATGAACCACCGTGCCCAGTGGCAAACCACTTTTTTTTTTTTTTTTTTGAGACAGAGTCTCACTCTCGCCCAGGCTGGAGTGCAGTGGCGCGATCTCAGCTCACTGCAACCTCTGCCTCCCGGGTTCAAGCGATTCTCCTGCCTCAGCCTCCCGAGTAGCTGGGATTAGAGGCGCCTGCCACCACACCCGGCTAATTTTTGTATTTTTAGTAAAGAGGGGAATTTGCCATGTTGGCCAGGCTGGTCTCAAACTCCCAACCTCAGGTGATCCGCCTCCCAGCAAACCATTTTTTAAGGATAGCCCCCACCTTCCGTCAAGCAGTTGGTGAGATTCCCATTAGATGTCCAGCATTTCTTATTCAGCCTGCTATCTAGTGGCCGAAACATAGAACTACAGGCTATTTTCAAAAACTGCAAAGAAATTTTCTTGAATGCCTCCAACAACGAAATTGTGCAGAGAAGAATACCGTTAGCTTTTGCCAGAATGTTCGTATGGAACCTGGTCACTCAAGTTGTTTTTCCAAAACCTCTTAGGTTCAAAGTCAATACGATTTTTGAACACACCAGTCGTCTGTCATGTACGGGGACATACGCCCTTGCAGATTTGCTCCCGCACTTTGAGAGAATGAACATGCCTCAAGCCTGGGCTTCCCTGGAAGACAGCCTGAGATGCGGCCTCAGGAGCAGGAGTGAGGAACAGGGAGTGAAACCGGGGAGAAAGGAGAGTAGGAGAAAGAGAAGTTCCGGAGCTGGTGGCCACCCTGGGTGCCTGGGGCCGGACTCCCTGGGTCCTTTGGAGGAGCCTTTTCAAATGCATCTCAGAGCTGTCTGCTTGGGCACAAGACAGGGTAGGCGGGGGAAGCTATCCATTGGTCTCATCCTCCCTCCACGAGCATGATTCCTTGAGCATAGCTGCCAGCTCCCGGGTTATCCAAGGGCCAGTGCTGAGCAGGTTTCCAGGCATCCCCACTGTGGAGTCAGAGGTGAGTTCTGGAAAGTCATCTAGGTGAACTGAGGGCACTCCTCGCATGGGAAGACCCGAACAGAGACGGCCAACTCAGAGGCGCTGACCTGGACAGACGCCTTGCACACACGCTGGAATTTTTCCCAAGACAGAAATGGTCTGGGAACCGCCAATGGGGCACTTCCCAGAGCGTTGGATCCAGACACCCTCCCCTCATTCACCCGGTTCTTCCAGGGACTAGTGTTGGCCCCTGTGAGTTCCAGGAGCCGGCGTTTCCAAAGCTGCTTGCTGTGCTGGAGGAGATTTTCATCCTGAGCCTTGGACCAGGTTGGGGCGGGTCAGATCCTGAGGCTACAGGAGGCCGAGATCACCAACAGGCACTCGCCGGCCGTGTGTGGCATTTGGGGACACTCTGCTCAGCTTGGAGATTATTTTCTTCAGTTGAACTAATAGCTCGGTGTCCTCGCTAGGGCTGCTGCAGGACCAGATTTCCACTGACTTCGTGGCTTACCCAACTGGAATTTATGCTCCCTGTTCTGGAGGCCAGAAATCTGAAATCACAGTATTGGCAGGTCTGGCTTCCTCCAGAGGCTCTATGCCTCTTCCATCTCCTGGTGGCTGCCAGCGTCCCTTGGCTTGTGGCGGCATCGCTCCCATCTCTGCCTCTGTCTTCACTTGGCCTCCTCTCTGTGTCTGTGTCCTTTCCTGTCTCTTAAAAGGACACTTGTCGTTGGATTTAGGGTCCACTCAATTACAAATGATCTCATCTCCATTCTCTTTTTGTTTTTTATTTTTATTTTTTTCTTTGAGATGGAGTCTTGATCTGTTGCCCAGGCTGGAGTGCAGTGGTGCCATCTTGGCTTACTGCAACCTCCGTCTCCTGTGTTCAAGCGATTCTCCTACCTCAGCCTCCCGAGTAGCTGGGATTACAGGCACCCGCCACCACGCCCGGCTAATTTTTGCATTTTTAGTAGAGGGGTTTTCACCAAGTTGGCCAGGATGGTCTTGAACTCCTGACCTCAGGTGATCCGCCCGCCTCGGCCTCCCAAAGTGCTGGGATTACAGGTGTGAGCCACCGTGCCCGGCCCTCATCTTCATTCTTCATGACACCTGCAAAGGCCCTGTTTGGGAATGAGACCACATTCTGAAGATCTGAGTGAGCATGAATTTTGGGGGAACACCATTCAAACCACTAAACACACTGGAGAAAGAATCAGGGGATTTTTTTACTTTAGAAAATCCAGACTTCTGGCCAGGTGTGGTGGGCTCACACCTGTAATCTCTGCACTTTGGGAGGCCAAGGCGAGTGGATCACCTAAGATTGGGAGTTCGAGACCAGCCTGGCCAACATGGTGAAACCCCATCTCTACTAAAATTACAAAAATTAACCGGGCATAGTGGTGGGCGCCTATAATTCCAGCTACTCAAGAGGCTTAGGCACGAGAATCACTTGAGCCCAGGAGGCAGAGGTTGCCATGAGCTGAGATTATGCCACTGCACTCCAGCCTGGGTGATAGAGTGAGACTCTGTCTCAAAAAGGAAAAAAAAAAGAAAAAGAAAAGAAAGAAAATCCAGACTTCCAAAGACATCAGAAAATTGGTCAAGATTGGATTCTAGGCCCTAGGCTGTCTCCTTTGGAAGGGGCATCTCTTCTGAATTGCTGCAGTTCTGGTGGCTCAGAAGAGGCACACCTATACCCTCTCCCTGGCTGGTTAGTGCATTGGCATCACCTACCTGGGCTGGGCAGGGTCTGAGTGTCTGGCCATTGATGTGAGAGAAGTTAATAGTTGGCAGAAAGTGCTGAGTAAGCTGCTGGCTTCACTATGGCCTTTCAAAATGAAACAAAATTGCTGTGCTTTGAAAAGTCCAGCATCAGGGGAGAATAGACCCTTCACTTCAGAACCTTTATAATGGTAGGTCACAGGTTAGAACAGAACACCTCCATGAATTTCTGTCTTGTGCAGACAATTCACATTACAGCAATTTATATCACTCCAATTAAGTAAAGCCATTACTTCCCTTACTCATTAGTTCAGATGGCTCTTATCTTGTTGAGAGAAGTTCATCCAAGACACAGAGACTTTATGTGGTCTAACCTTGCCTGAAGTAAAAAGAAAGTCTGTCTGCTGTTGCATGTAACCCTATAAAGGTTCATCAGTACTGGAGAGATAGATTTCTATATAAGGTTAGAAGCATCAGAAATCCAACACAGTCTGGCTTAAGCATGATAGGAAACTAATTGGTGCAAGTAAATGAAAGCCTACATGTGGATTTCAGGTATGGGTGGATCCAGCAGCTCACATCATGGTACCAGCACTCTGTCTCTTCCCATCTTTTGGGTATGGTTTTATCTGTGTTGACTTCACTCTCAATTTATTCTGCAAGGCTGCAAGAGCTTCTGATCCAGGAACTCCATGCTTTTATTCTACCAACATTGACCCCTGTGAAAATCAGGTTTCTCCTTCCCACAAGTTCCAATAAGAGTCTCAGAATTGATCTCGTTGGTTCTGACTGGAAAGGTTACAGACACATGCTCATCACCACAGCCAGGAATGTGCAAACCTCCCACTGGCCAGGACTGGTTCACACCACAGCCCTGGAAAGCAGATCAGGACCGGCTGTCCCAAACCACATGGATAAAGACTGGGGGACTGTGGCTCCCTGAGGAAATTCTGGGATACAGTTTTTTTTTGTTTCTAGGAATGGGGTCTTGCTCTGTTGCCCAGGCTGGAGTGCAGTGGTGCAATCGTGGCTCACTGTAACCTCAACCTCTCAGGTGCAAGCAATCCTCCCACTTCAGCCTCCAGAGTTGCTGGCACTACAGGCATGCATCACCATGCCCAGCTAATTTTTTAATTTTTATTCTTATTTTTGTGGAAATGGGGTCTCGCTATATTGTCAAGGCTGTCTTCGAACTCCTGGACTCAAGCAATTGTCTCGCCTCAGCCTCCCAAAGTGCTAGGATCACAGGTGTGAGCCATTGCACCCTGCCTTGGAATAGTGTTTCCAAAGTAACAGGAAGGAAACTTAAACAAATTAACAGATGTCTGTTACATATTGTGTTACCCATTGACATGGTTTGGCTGTGACCCCAACCAAATCTCATCTTGAATTGTAGCTCCCATAATTCCCACATGTCATGGGAGGGACTCTGTGGGAGGTAATTGAGTCATGGGGGCAGGTGTTTCCCATGCTGTTCTCGTGGTAGTGAATAAGTCTCACGAGATCTGATGGTTTTATAAAGGGCAGTTCCCCTGCACACACTCTTGCCTGCCACCATGAAAGATGTGCCTTTGCTCCTCCTTCACCTTCTGCCGTGATTGTGAGGCCTCCCCAGCCATGTGGAACTGTGAGTCCATTAAACCTCCTTTCCTTTATAAATTAGCCAGTCTCGGGTATGTCTTTATTGGCAGCGTGAGAACAGACTAATCCACCAATTTTACCTATTTGGACTTTTGTCTGGATCTCAGGCCTTCCTCCAAGTCCACAGCCCTCAACAGCCAAGCTCCCAGCACTCTGGGGAGTAGTTTACCAACTTAACACACAACCCTGCCCACATTGCTTTATCTCAACACCCATAGGTGGTCTCTGATCCAGGGAATGGTTCACGCCAGTCAGTTTCACCTAGACATGAATTTCAGGCAGGACCACTTTGCCAGAGGGTTGGTTTGATGGTGGCTTTTGAATGGAGGACTGACCAGATCCTGCCCAGAGATAGTCACAAGCTGATGTGGGGCACAAGCCTCAGACCCTCAGACAGTGGGGTGTGAGCTGGGTCATCAGAGGGGACCATGCAAAGAGGTGGTACAAGAAAGGGGACCCAGGGACCACCTGGAATGCAGCGTTTCTGAATCAGACCCATCCGTGCCACTATAATTGTTGCTATGTCTGCAAGTATGAGTTTACTGGGGCTTCCCTAACAAAGTACTGCCAGCTTCATGGCTCAATACCACAGAAATTCAATCTGTTCTGCAGGCAGACACGACTATTCTCATTTACACAGACAAGGTAACATGCATGGAGATATACAGCCCCTTGCCTGCATTGCTCATGTGGGAAGCAGGAGAGCAGGAATTTGACCCAAGAGAGTCTGCTCTGAAGACCATGTTTCTTCTTGTTTCTTCTTTTTTTCACTTTATATATCATTTTTATTCATTTTAAAAGTATACATTTAAGGCATACAACATGATGTTTTGATTACTACTGTCAAGCGTATTAACATACCCATTATCTCAAATAGTTACCTGTTTTTGAGTGTAAAAAGCACCTAAAATCTGTCATCCCATTTTTACTACAGAAAACACTATTATTGGCTGGCGCAGTGGCTCACGCCTGTAGTCCCAGCACTTTAGGAGGCTGAGGTAGGTGGATCACCTGAGGTCAGGAGTTTGAGACCAGCCTGGCCAACATGGTGAAACCCCGTCTCTACTAAAAATACAAAAATCAGCCAGGCATGGTGGCACACACCTGTAGTCCCAGCTACTTGGGAGGCTGAGGCAAGAGAATCGCTTGAGCCTGGGAGGCGGAGGTTGCAGTGAGCCAAGATCACACCACTGCACTCCAGCCTGGGTGACAGTGAGACTCTGTCTCAAAAATAACAATAATAACAAAGAGAAACATACCAAAGATGAAAAATAATTGTAACATTAAATACCATGAAAACAGCTAAACTCAGTTGCCTGCCTATTTCAAAATAGCTAAAAGAGAAGATTTGAAATGTTTCCAACACAAAGAAATGATGATGGAGATCCTAAATACCCTGATTTAATCACTGCACATTGTCTGCATGTATTAAAAGATCCCGTGTATTCCATAAACATGCATAATTATTAGGTATCAGTTAAAAAATTTTAAAGAGAAATTAGCCAGTGTTGAGGAGGTGTTAAACTATACGTGTACCTGAGTGAGACTTGATTTCCAAAACAGGATTGAAAAGAAGCTTTCTCATTATCTGGGTGGATGTTATTTCATGCCACAAATGTGCAGCTGTAAATCATTTCCCAATGATGGTGGCGTGCATCCCACCTGTGTGGAGACTGGAATCAGGCTTCATTCAGCTTCCAGTCTCCAATGGTTAGGGCTGTGGTGGAGGGTGGGGTGCTGTCTGAGTCCTCATTCCAGAGGTTATAAGAATGAAGACTGGCAGCCTCCTTCCAGCCAAGCTGGGTTAGCGGGTCCACATATCAAGGCCCGCTCAGCTGTCTCCTGGGGGACTTTTCAGGGCCTCAGGAAGAGGGGATCCTCACTGACCCTGGAGTGGGGCGGCTGAGGTCAGTCCACAGCCCCTCCAATGCCAGCTGCTGGAGCCTGTACAAAGACCCCCCTTTCGTCTCCCGATTCTGCAGCGAGTATAGGACCTGCCAGTGGCGCAACCTGGCAACCACCTCTTCGTGTGTATACACATGCATGCATATGCTTACACACATTTGTACACACACAAACTCACACAGGCATGCACACACACACACCACACACAGCATGTGTACACAAACACATTTGCACACACAGAAACAACACACACTTCTCTCTCCAAGTGTCAGTTTTATTCTCTGGCTACTTTTTTTTTTTTTTTTTTTGAGACAGAGTCTCGCTCTGTCGCCCAGGCTGGAATGCAGTGGCATGATCTTGGCTCACTGCAACCTCCGCCTCCCGGGTTCAAGCAATTCTCCCACTTCAGCCTCCCGAGTAGCCAGGATTACAGGTGCATGCCATTATGCCTGGCTAATTTTTGTATTTTTAGTAGAAACAAGGTTTCACCATGTTGGCCAGGCTGGTCTCGACCTCAAGTGGACTCCTGACCTCAAGTGATCCACCCACCTCGGCCTCCCAAAGTGCTGGGATAGGCGTGAGCCACCTCTCCTGGCCAATTCTCTGTCTACTTTCATGTTTCTTCTCCGGAGGCCACGCCCAGAGCTTGGATGGGAGGGATCAGGATCACTACTCTTACATCGTTTGGAAGGTACTGGAGACTCAAGAGTAAAGGAAGTGAGACACATAGACTGGACTGAACTTCAGTTCATCACCATCGATGACTTCCCCCTCCCTCCAATAATTAACACCCTTTGGGCTTTGCAGGCACATTCTCGACTAATAAAAGGCCCCTTCCTATTTAGTTACACAAATTATACAAAACTTCATACTTTAAAAATGATAGAAAACATAGACATTGTATAAAGAGGAATAATATGAGCCTTCCCACCATCCAGTGTAGGAAATAGCAATTTATCAATATCCTCAAAACCTGCCATGCTCCCCAAGTTGCCCTCCTCCCTTCCCCCCTCTGTCATAGATTTCATATTTATCATGCTTTCTTTTCTTCATTATTTTACTACATTTGTTTGTGTCCATCAACTTTTTAAAAATTTTTGTATGCATTTAAATTTTACGCAGATGGATCCATGCTATAAGTCTTTTTTTTTTTTTTTTTTTTCATAGACAGAGTCTTGCCTTTGTTGCCCAGGCTGCAGTGCAATGGCGCAATCTTGGCTCACTGCAACCTCTGCCTCCCTGCTTCAAGCGATTCTCCTGCCTCGGCCTCCCAAGTAGCTGGGATTACAGGCACCTGTCACCATGCCCGGCTAATTTTTTGTATTTTTAGTACAGACAGGGTTTCACCATGTTGGCCAGGCTGTTCTGGACCTCCTGACTCCAGGTGATCCACCCATCTTAGCCTCCCAAAGTGCTGGGATTATAGGTGTGAGCCACCATGCCTGGCTGTATGTCTTCTTTTAAGATTTGCTTTGAGGCCAGGCGCGGTGGCTCACACCTGTAATCCCAGCACTTTGGGAGGCCGAGGCGGGCGGATCACGAGGTCAGGAGATCGAGACCATCCTGGCTAACATGGTGAAACCCCGTCTCTATTAAAAATGCAAAAAAATTAGCTGGGCGTGGTGGCAGGTGCCTGTAGTCCCAGCTACTCGGGAGGCTGAGGCAGGAGAATGGCATGAACCCAGGAGGCAGAGCTTGTAGTGAGCGGAGATCGCACCACTGTACTCCAACCTGGGTGACAAAGCAAGACTCCATCTCAAAAAAAAAAAAAGAAGCTGAAAAGAGCATGGGAGATAGATTATGTGAAGCAGGGAAGCATTCCCGCTAACAGGGAACACTTAGCTGTGTTTCTCCTGCTTCTGGAGAGGATGGGATCTCTGTTCCTCTCCCCAGGAATAGGATGATGGCATTACCTACTGTCCAAAGCAAAACACCTTTGAGAATGGGAGTTTAAAAAATATATCAAAACGACACATGGTACTCCATAAATACATACAATTAGTATCTGTCAGTTAAAAATAAATAAATAATAACACTATACCTTAAGAATCTATACCTTAAGAAATATTTTTATGGTGTGACAAATTAGTTTTATTATATTGATGGGCCTATAAAGTCTATTAAAAACTGTTTTAAAAAACATAATGTTTGAAAAACTATTCTAAAAAAATCATACCTGTGTACATTATGGAAAAGAATGTTAAATTCTTTATGTTAACTAAAATACTTTGGCCTGGCATGGTGGCTCACACCTATAATCCCAGCACTTTGGGAGGCCGAGGCGGGTGGATCACTTGAGATCAAGAGTTCAAGACCAGCCTGGCCAACATGGTGAAACCCCATCTGTACTGATAATACAAAAATTAGCCAGGCATGGTAAATTGTGCCTGTAATCCCAGCTACTCAGGAGGCTGAAGCAGGAGAATCACTTGAATCCAGGAGGCAGAGGTTGCAGTGAGCTGAGATGGTCCCACTGCACTCCAGCCTGGATGACAGAGCAAGACTCAGTCTCAAAAAAAATATATTTTTAGTATTAATTTAAAATAACACACCAGGCATGGTGGCTCATGCCTGTAATCCCAGCACTTTGGGAGGCTGAGGCAGGCAGATCACTTGAGGTCAGGAATTCGAGACCAGCCTGGTCAACATGGTGAAACTCCATCTGTACTAAAGATACAAAAATTAGCTGAGTTTGGTGGCATATGCCTGTAATTCCAGCTACTCAGGAGGCTGAGGTAGGAGAATCACTTGAACCCAGGAGGTGGAGGCTGCAGTGAGCCAAGATCGCTCCACTGCACTCCAGCCTGGGCAACAGAATGAGGCCCTCCCTGTCTTTAAATAAAGAAATAATAAAATAACATAAGCTGACTAATTATGCTTACTGCAGATTCACACTCTTTCATTATTTTCTGAGTCATGCGTGTCTCTAATACTATACCAGTGTTATTTTTCTAGAGAATACATTTTTTCAATGTAATCTGTCTAATATAAGCTCAGAACAAGAGCTGCTACATAAAATTTCTTTCACTAACTTTTAAAATATTTAAATTAATAATAAAATATTCAGCCCAAATATTTTCACAGGCAAACTTCTTTTTGCCTCTATTCAGGGAACCTTTCTCGGACAAATATTTTTACAATACAAAACCTATCAAACAAATTACCTCTATTTAAGGTTTCTTGATACATTTTACCAAATTTAGATCCAGCTTCTGAATGGTAAGCTTTCTCATTTATACTTCATTCTGACACAGAATAGAAATTTATCTAATTAAATATAGGAACTCTTTCAAAAGATTCTTCCTCCAGGTCAGGATATTTCAAAACACAATCCCATGATTTCAAAATGAGATCTCGCTGCAGTTTTACACTCTTATCATTCAATTTGTTTTGTTCCTCCCGTCCTTCCACAGGGATAAAATTCAATGTTTTTTTGCTTTGCAGCTTTTTTTTTTTTTTCTCAAGGATTGTTATTTGCTAAAAGCTCCAAAAAGCTAAGGTTTGTGATGTGTCATTGTCTGAATACTCTGATGAAAGATTTCCATCTGATTGTGAGCAGAATGCAATTCTAATCTCAAGCTTTTACAAAACAGTTCTCTATCATTGTAGGACACTTAGGTGGATTTACAAAGTAGCTCTTCAAAGACTCAAATACTTCTCAAACCTGATTGAATCATAGCACCAAACAGAAACTGATCACTGTTTTGACAATTTTTTTGTATCCACCTCAACTTTATTGAAACATTTTGCGGCCCACTTATTCTGCGTGTATAGAAATATATCTAAGCTGGCCACAGTGGCTCATGCTTGTAATCCCAGCACTTTGGGAGGCCAAGGCAGGAAGATCACTTGAGCCTAGGAGTTTGTGATCAGCCTGGGCAACATAGTGAGGCCTCATCTCTATTAATAAAGTAAAATATTGTTTTAAAATATATATATATCTTTAGAAGAGAAATATATCTTTTATGGCTAGAGCTTTCTATTTGTTATCTATTATTGTGTAACAAATTACTCCCAAATTTAGCAGCTTAAAACAATAGGCATTCATTATATCACAGTTTCTGTGGGTCAGGAATCCAGAGAGCTCAGCTGGGTTCTCTGGCTTAGCGTCTCTCATAGGTGGCAATCGAGATGTTGTTGGCTGAGTCTGCCACCAGGTTCAGTGGCGGGGAGGATCCGCTTTCAAGCTCACTCACAGAGCTGTTGGTAGGACACACAGTCTCGCTGGCCGGTGACTGAAGACTCCGACTCCTCCATAGGGTATTCACAACATGGCGGCTTGCTTTCCCCAGAGCGAGAGATTGGAAAGAGATACCCCAAGAAGTAGTGAGAGAGCCTGTGCAACATGGAAGCCAGAGACTGACTGTAACCGACTTCAGAAGTCATATCCCATCACTTTTGCTAGATTTGATTATTAGAAGCAAGTCACTCCATCCAGCCCATAATCAAGAGGAGTGAATGGTACAAGGGTGTGGACACGGGGAGTGGGAGCCATTGCGGTCCACCTTAGAAGTCGGTCTGTCACAGCTTTTACTTGCTAGACCATTGCAACTCGATTGGACACAATTATGAACCGTGTATGCACCTCAATCAAACCAACTAAGATCTCCTCTGTAAGGGTTTGTAACATAATTAATTTCAAAGAACAAACATTGTATATAGTTATTGTGTAACAACATGATGTTTTGAAATATGTAAACATTGTGAAATGGAATCGGAGTCTTCAGTCACTGGCAAATTGGGCAATTAACATATGCATGACCTTGACTTCACGTACTTAGCATTTTTGTGGTGAGAACACAAAATCTCTCAGTAGTTTTCAAGAATATAATACATTGTTAACTCTAGTCACATGTTGTACAGCAGATCTCTTGAACTTATTCCTCCTATCCTCCTATCTAACTGAAACATTTTATTTTTTGAGACAGGGTCTCTTTCTCACCCAGGCTGGGGTAAAGTGGTGCAATCATGGCTCACTGCAACCTTGAACTACTGGGCTCTGACAATCCTCTTGACTCAGCCTCCTGAGTAGCTGGGACTACAGGTGCACGCTGCCATGCCCAGCTATTTTTTTTTTTTTTTTTTGAGACGGAGTCTTGCTCTGTCGCCCAGGCTGGAGTGCAGTGGTGCAATCTCGGCTCACTGCAAGCTCCGCCTCCCAGGTTCACGCCATTCTCCTGCCTCAGCTTCCCGAGTAGCTGGGATTACAGTGCCCAGCTACTTTTTAAAAAAAATTTTTGTAGAGACGGGGGTCTCTCCATGTTGCCAGGCTGGTCTTGAACTCCTGGGCTCAAGCAATTCTCCCACATCCTGGGATCACAGGCCACTGGCCTAACTGAAGCTGTATAGAAATATATCTAAGGTGGGCACAGTGGCTCGTGCTTTTAATCGAAGCAAGCCTGGGCAACATGGACAGACCCGCATGTTGCTGGGACTACAGGCACTCACCACCACACCCGGCTAATTTTTTTCAGGGATGGAGTTTCACCATGTTGGCCAGGCTGGTCTTGAACTCCTGACCTCAAGTGATCTGCCCGCCTCAGCCTCCCAGAGTGCTGGGATGACAGGTGTGAGCCCCCGTGCTCGGCCTTTTTTCCCTTTTTAAAAATCAGGCCAAGACTTTGACTGCAGGTCCTGGGCTGCTTCAGGCCTTAAAGTTCCTGCCAGCGACTTGCCTCTCTCCAGCACCAGAATGTTTCGGTCCAGCAAAGCGATGTTCCCTCTCCCCAGAGCAGTGGGTGCATTGTGGCTGCGTTGTTGTATTTTGTTTTCGTCTAGCCTAAATATTGACTCTCTCTAGAAGCAGTAGATGCTAGAACAACCTTCTTTCCAATCACTTCAGACTAAGGAAGCTCCTGGAAAAGAGAGCAAATATTTTGTTGAAGTGCATTGAGTGAAAACAGAGAGACAGAGAGAGAATGTGCTTCATCTGGAGGACTTCTTTGTCAGACTGGCAATTCACAGAGGTACCAAAGCCTGGGAGATGAGGCTGGACAAATTTCAAATACGCATGAGGGGCTTATACACCTCTGGGACCAGCCTTTACCATTCAGGTGGCTTTGAATAAATTGGGAAGAAAATTGAATAATCAGAGGAAAAGCCTCAGCAGGCAAAGTTGCTCTCAGAGAAGTGACAAAGCAACATACACACAAAACCTCCAGTGCTGACAGAGGACGGGCTGCAGCAGGGCTGCCAGCATTCGTGAGTACCTCATTGGTGCAAGACTTTTACAGGCAAGAGTGTGTTTAACTCTTACGACTATATGATGTGGATATTGTAACCTCTATTGTTTATACACAATGCTAGGGGTCAGGAGTATCCATTTCAGGAAACCAAAGAAGACATTTGAGCGCAGATAAATTTGCATAACCTTTATTCATTCAATAAATATTTGTCCAGCTCTTGTGATATGCCAGGCACTGTGGAAGGTGCGGGAAAGAACACAGTTTCCAATTCTGCTTTCATGGAGCTTAAAATCTAGTTGGCGGCTGAGGGAGGGGAGCTGGAGAGACAATGAACCAGGAAAGAGGTAAAACGAGACAATGTCACAGAGAGATTAGTGCTGCATGGGAGCCTAAAAAGGCGCCACGATGGTAGTGGAGGAGCGACTCCCTTAGATTTGGGGAAGCTTCAGAGGAGAGGGGAATGGGAGCTGAGAAATGTCTAGAACCCACAAAACAGGCCCCCATTTGCCCTTCCTTGGGGGAAGAGTCCACCAGGCAGATAGAAGAACAAAGATCTTCTATCAGGTCTGTTTGAAGGATACAAAGAAGGCCAATGTGGTTTAGTGAGGAAAGGGGATGTGGTAAGTGTTGGGAGGACAGAGGCAAACTTGTAATCCCAGCACTTCAGGAGGCTGAGGTGAGTATATGGCTTGAGCCCAGGAGTTCATAGAGGCTGAGGTGAGATGATGGCTTCAGTTTGGCGGGTGGAAGCTGCAGGGAGCCATAATCATGCCACTGCACTCCAGCCTGAGTGACAGAGTGACACCTTGTCTCAAAAATAAATAAATAAATAAATAAATAAATAAATAGAATTCTGCAAGGAAGCGTACTGGCCCTATCACTTTTATGAGATGAAGCTCAGCCCCATGGCCACACCTCATTGCAAGGGAGCCAGAACGTGCCATCTATTTGTATGCATGTGTGGCAGATGAAAGATGGTGGCAAATCTTTTGACACTTCCATTGCAAGGGAACTGTCTCCCTTCACCTTGGGTCTGGGCTGGCCTGTGTTTGTGTTGACCAGTGGGGTACAGTGGAAGGAAGGCACTGCTTTTTCTGAGTTCAGCATGAACAGGAAAGACAGCCCCTGGCTTGACCTTGTTGGAGCCCTAAACCTCCATAGAATAAGCCCAACTGCTCTGTGGTTGCCATGTTGTAAGGAAGCTGAGGGAGTGGGAGATGCTCGGTTAGACCCAGCAGGTTCTGCCCCCACCGTCTAAGCCATCTCAGCGGGGCCTTGTTTGAAGGACTGACCTACAGACACATGAGATATGATCATATTAAATGGTTGTCTGAGGCCACTGAAGTTTGGGATGATTTGTTATGCAGCAACAGGTGACTGAGACAATGAGGAAGGAGAAGACACTGACGGTGGCAAGCATCACCAGTGTCCGTTCCATGTCACGTTTCCTCCACCTCGGATGGCACATGTGCAGGAAGCACTGCGATGGCCGAGTGCGGCAGCTCACTCCTGCAGTTCCAGCACTTTGGGAGGCCAAAGTGGGAGGATCACCTGAGCCCAGGAGTTCTGGGCAACATAGTCAGAGCCCATCTGTATACAAAATGTACAAATTAGCCAGGTGCGCTGGCATGCACCTGTAGTCCCAGCTACTCAGGAGACTGAGGTGGGAGGATTATTGGAGCCCAGGAGTTTGAGACCAGCCTGGGCAACTAAGTGAGAACCCCATCTCTACCCAAAATTTAAAAAATAGCTGGATGCGGTGGTGCACACCTGTAGTCTCCCCTACTCAGGAGCTGTGGTAGGAGGATGGCCTGAGCCCGGAGGTCAAAGCTGCAGTGAGCTATGATCACACCACTGTACTCCAGCCTGGGGGTCAGAGCAAGACCTTGTCTCTGTTTAAAAAGAAACAAAGACGAAGAAAAAGAAAAAAAATGCAACCTCTTTGTCCCTGCACTGAAGCTAGCTGCTTTTTTTTCCCTGATTTTTCTCCATAGCACTTACCACCTTGCACATAGCACATAAGGTGTGATAGGATTTGTTAATTTAGCGACCGTTTCACCCTACTGGTGGATTTGAGAGTGTGGACTTAGGAAGGTAGTCCATGGCCAAGTGGGCTTCCTACTTCCTTCCCTCAAATGGAATTCTCTGACAGACCCTCGTCAGAGTAGTACGGCTCTGCAGCTCAGACCCATTTACCCAAGCAGCCGCAGGGGAGTCCTCCGCAGAGGGCGCGTGAGGAGGGCGGGGAGAGAACGGGTGCTTCCTTCCTTGCTTTCTGTCCCGGAGTTAGACATCCTTACATTAGAAGCCCAGGAGGAAACTCGGGAAGAAGGAGAAAATTGTCTGTCTTGCAAAAGCCGAACTGTTTGTATTCGACAAATTGAAAAGAAATATTAGAAAAACAAACGAAGAGAGGCATTTCTTTCTTTTCACTTCACGAATTTATTCTTCCTGGGACTCCCCATGGCCTGGTCTTTCTTTCAGTGATCTGGATGCATCCTGGACACACGGCTTTGCTTCAGCCCTCTCTGTGGCTAAGCAATTTTACAACCAGTTTACAGCTATCCATCTTAGTTTCTTCCAAAGAAAGCTGGTTTGCAAGCACAGCTGTTAGTGGCAGATTCCCCATCTTGAGAAGACAACCAGAGAAAAGTAGTGGTTTGATTTAGTTGAGGCAGCGCGGGGCGGTGGGGAGAGTCTGGGGTGAGGTGGAGACGGAGCCATCCCTCTCATTCTGAGACTGGCCGCTGCATCCCGGGGGGCGGCCCGTGTCAGCAGAACCACTGCTCTTTAATGAATTCTGAGCCGAGGGACATGTCTACAGGTTTGTAAACAGATTATTGCTGTGGTGAAGACAGCTTTGATGATTTCAATCTGGAGACAGAGGTCCACACTCAAATAAGATTGTACACCTTGGAGCAGGTTAATCTTTTAGTCTGAGACCCACCCGCAAACTCTAGGCTCCCTCCTGAGCCCTGCTCAGAATTTCATGAAAGACCTTGCCTCTAACACAAAGCAACTCATTCTCTTCCCTTTCCTTCCTCCCTCCCTCCCCCCTGCCTGCCTCTCTCCCTCCTTTCTCCTTTCCTTTCCTTTCCCTTTCTTTCCTTTTCTTTCTGTTCTCTTTCTCTTTTATCCCTCTCTCTTCATTCCTTCTCCCTCTCTTCTTCCTTCTTTCCTTCCTTCCCCTATTTCTTTATCTTTCTTTTCTTTATTTCCTTCTCTCTATCCATTCCCTCTCTCTTTTCTCTTGCTCTCTCTTCCCTTTGTTTTTCTTTCCTTCATCTTTTCCCTTTTTCTTTTGTTCTTTCCTTTCCCTTCATCCCTCCCACCCCCAGCTTTCTTTCTAATTAACTGTCATCTCCGTGCTCCACCCCACCCCACTGGACCTTCTGGAGCAGTGCTTGTCTCTGCTCACCGCTTCTTTCCTCTCCCCTCGTGCCGTGCACACAGTAGGAGCTCACCACATAGTTGTTAAAACAAGATGTTCAGGCAGGAGCCCTCAGGAAGGTGGGGCACCTTGAGCACAGTGTCCCCCTTTTCTGGCTGAAGGCTTGGGGAGCATGGGGGGCTTGGGCATCCCTCAGAGGGAGATGTTGTGAGCTTGCGGTTATTTACAAAACCCGTGTGTTCCCAGCGCCGTGGAAAGCACTTGGCGTGTCGTCTCGTCTCATCCTCATAGCAGCCCAATGGGAAAAGACTTGTTAATATCCCCTAGTTAGGGATAGAGAAACTGAGGCACAGGTGGGTGCAGCAGCTTTCTGAAGGTAGCAAAGCTGATGAGGGGGCAGCCCGGGTTTTGAACTGAGCCGTCAGATTCCAGAGCAGATTTCCTTAGGCACTAGAGAGAGAGAGGGATTCCACACCCAGCCATCACCTGTAGAAGGACTCATCTTCTCTGCTTGTATTTGGAGACAGGGTCTCACTATATTGCCCAGGCTGGTCTTGAAATCCTGGGCTCAAGTGATCCTCCCACCCTGGCCTTTCTAGTGGCTGGGATTACAAGTACATGCCACCGCACCCAGCTCTTTCTGTGTGTTTTTGTAAAATCAACTTTACTGAGATGTAATCTACATATAACCCATTTTAAGTGTTCCATTCCATGTAGTGTGTGTGGTTCCATGCCTCTCCTGCGTGGTTATGCATGGATTAGTGCATGTGTATTCCTGTCATAAGGCTTGGGCATTATTTTCTCCACATTAAGGATGGGGAAACTGAGGTTCTGAGAAGGTGGGTGACTTGCTCAGGGACATGCAGCTGGTAGCAGGGCTAGGGTGCAGACCCAGGTTCATGTGAACCTAGATCCCATTCCTGTCTCCTTTGATCACCTGCTATTCACCCCATGGGTGAGGGAACTGCCACCCTTGGGTATAAGGATAGCAAACGTGACACCTGGCACAAGATGGATGAGATAAACAATGGTTTGTTGGCCACTTGTACTCCCCGCAGGCGAGAGGGCATCACATGCCACATGGGGCCACATGGAGGTTGTCGTTGGAAGCAGACTGTGCCGGCAGGGATTGGGGGCCAGCTCTATAGTGACAAGAAGGTGTGGGTCCCCTGGTTCCCACAGGAGGGTGTCATTGTTTCCGTAATTCCATGGGGGCAGGGAACGGAACAAAGCCCAGGGCTAAGGGACGGGCAGGCATCGTGCCTGGTGTCCATGGTAAGGAGGGTGGAGTGGCTGGGGGGCCTGATCTGTGGGAGCAGAGTGGGAAAGGGGGCTTGCAGTTAGGCCATTTCCCCCGCAGTTTCCCCGGAGGTCAAGGCAGCCCATAAGCCCCGGCCTTTCTTTTAGAGCTCACAGTGCCCTGTCTTACGGCAGCCACAACCTCTCACGCTATGCACATGGACTGTTGTACTTCTGGAATGCTCAGCCAAGCCCCCTTCTCCTTGACACTTCCACCCAATAACAGCGACTCTGCTGAGTTTACTCCATGTCAGGGATCTTCTGTAAATCCTGCAACAGCAGCATGGAATGGGTCCCACCAGGGGCCCACTTTACAGGAGGAAGCACTAAGCCTCTGGGAGTCTGAGTGGCCTGTCCGGGGACACACAGCAAGGGGCGGGTGACACTTGCACGCATATGTATTCACTGGTTCACCTGGGCCCTGTCTGCCAGCCCTGCCCCCTCCTCCACTGAAGGTGGCAGCCCACAGAGTGGCATCTGGGCACATCCAGAGCCACAGCTCTGCTGCCTTCAGAGCCTGAATCCCAAACATCTTTGAAATGGAGTTATTTCTGCCCAAATCAGATTCTTCAGGTTGGTTGTACACTGAGGATTTGCAAGATGAGGTTAGCTAAAGTGAGAAATGATTGAAACCATCACTCAAGCTTTAAACCACCGCTTGCTGTGGCATCGGCCACTTGCTTCTCCTGGTTGGGGGTTTCTTTCTTTCTTCCTTTTTTTTTTTTTTTTTTTTGAGATGGAATCTCACTCTGTCGCCCAGGCTGGAGTGCAGTGGTGCGATCTCGGCTCACTACAACCTCTGCCCCCTGGGTTCAAGTGATTCTTGTGCCTCAGCCTCCCGAGTAGCTGGGACTACAGGCGTGCGTGACCACACCCGGCTAATTTTTGTATTTTTTGGTAGAGACAAGGTTTCACGATGTTGCCCAGGCTGGTCTCGAACTCCTGACCTCAGGTGATCTGCCTGCCTCAGCCTTCCAAAGTGCAGGGATTACAGGCGTGAGACATCCCTCCCGGCCTGGGGTTCATTTCTACAGAACTCTCCAGGATAAGCCCTGGCTGAGCCTCAAGCCAGGCATGGGCAGCTCGTGTGGAGGTGCGGTGGTGGTTCTACCTCCTCCCCTAACCTGGAGGGCGAGAAGCCTGAGGGCAGAGTCTGGCTCTGCTCACGTCTGTCCCCGCAGTGCCCAGCCCAGCACTGGCCACACAGGGATGCTCCAAATAACATCCCTATGCAGACGATCAAAGCACTTGCTTGTTGGATGCTCACCAGGCACTAAACCCTTTACCATGGGCTAACTCACTGAATCCTCCTGTCAACCCCATGAGATACAGCCTGTTATTATAATACACATTTTCAGAGGGGAAACTGAGGCACCAAGTGTCAACACAGCCCTCGCCACTTCGTGGGTCTGAATCACACATTTCCTTTTGGGTGGGATTTCCCTCTGCTTGGAGCTTTCTCTGCATTTCTTCCCTGTTTAGGAGGAGGAGCGACCGTTTCCAGCTATCCTGAGTGGGGAAAGGGAAGATGCTGAGAAGCTGGATCACGCCTCAGCGAAGCCTTGATTTTGGGCTTCTGGCCTCTGGAACCATGAGGCCACGGACTTCTGTCATTTAAGCCGCTCAGTTTGTGATAATTTGTTCTGGCAGCCCTAGGAAACTAACGCACAGGACAAAAGCCATGATGTCAGCAGGGCTGGTTTCTCCTGGAGGTTCCAGAGGAGGCTCTGTCATTCCCTCTTCCAGCTTCTAGCAGCTGCCGGCATTCCCGGGCTCATGCCACCTCTGCTTCCACGCTCCATCTCCTCTCTGACTCTCTGCTGTGCCGTTCATCTCTCTGCCTCCCATGTGTGAGTTCCCTTGTGACTAGGTCCTCCCGCGTCCCTTGCCTTGGATAATGCAGGATAATCTCACCAACATTGTCCATTAACCCAATCACACCTGCAAAGCCCCCCTTTTTTTTTTCCATGTAAGGTAACCTGTCTGCAGGTTCCAGGACTTAGAGGACAACATCCCTGGGGGCCATCGCGAGCTGACCACACTCACATTCTGCTGTGATGATTGTGGAGACCACATGCTCTATACAGCGCAGCCATAAGCAGGACTTCCTGTCTTGCACTGCGTGAGAGTGTGAGCCGCCTGAAGACTCCAAGGTCAGGGGTTCACCCCCACAGCATAGTCTGTTCTCGCCTGTGCTCTACGAGCGGCCCCTCCTGGTGTTCTTCATCATATTCAGCAACATCTGTGAAATCCAAGGGGTTCACCTTGAATGGGTTTCTCTAGCAAAGGGCCAGAGTTTCAAATGTCTGGGGTATCAGGGTATACCCCAAGTATCCAACATGGACACACCACACGAGAGCAAAACATGGGGAACTTACAAAAAGTGTGGGTAAAATTTTACGGTTATAAAATAGGGCTGGGTGCAGTGGCGCACGCCTGTAATCCCAGCACTTTAGGGGGCTGAGGTGGGCGGATCACCTGAGGTCAAGGGTTCGAGACCAGCCTGGCCAACATGGCAAAACCCCATCTCTATTAAAAATAAAACAACAACAACAACAAAATTAGCCGGGTGTGGTGGCAGGCAGCTACTCAGGAGGCTAGGGCAGGAGAATCGCTTGAACCCAGGAGGTGGAGATTGCAGTGAGCTGAGATTGCACCACTGCACGCCAGCCTGGGCGACAAGAGCAAAACTCCATCTCTAAATAACTAAATAAAATAAAATAGGATTGAGGTCGAATTTAATCTTTTTCTCTGAAGGACAGTGGGGCTCAGCTGCTATCTGGATTCCATGTGAAATGCACTTAGCATACAGTGGATTTTCTTTTCCTCCAAATACCAGCTATTTCTAAATTCAACCCTCTCTTAGGCCAACCCCACTCTACTATTCTTACAGCGGGGGAAGCCCTGAGGTTTCCAGCGCATCGGTGAAGAGGGGCGATTTCTTTCCCATGACAATGACAACTCCATTTCCAATGTCTAATTTCTTCCATTGTCATTACCGCATCATTTTCTTTCTTCCCAGGGAGCAACCTTCTGCTCTTTGTTTGCCGATGAGTTACTTGGCCACTGTCACTTCTGAGAACTACTGTCTGGGGCCCTCCTCCCCCAATAATTATTTTTCCAATACTACATGATCCTTAATTATCTCTTGATCGATTTCTCTCCCTGGGAGCTGGTTGTTACTGCTAAGGTTAAGCTCAAGGCTGATGGACAATTCAATCAGATTCACACAGTCCCCAGTCCTGCTAAAGACGTTCATAGATAAGAAAGTGTCACTGTTTGGGTACTTAAGTTAAACAGTGCAGTAGTCTGTGGACATCTGATCAAGGTTGGTAAAATGCTGACCACAGGCAAACATCTTGAGATGTCGGTCAGGAAAAACTATTGGAGGCCGCAAGTGGGGAAGAAAGGTTTAGGAGTTTTTAGCCTTAACAGTGTCAACAGAACTCACCACTAAATAGTTCTCCCAGGACCTTTCATCTGCATTAGGCTCATTATTCAGGGACCAGCTCAGCTACCACCTGCATGAAGCCTTCTCTCATCTCTCCTCACAGCTCCTGAAGGAACCCACCTAAAATCACTGTGGCTGTGTGGGGTGGCTCACGCCTGTAACCCCAACATATTGGGAGGCTGAGGTGGGTGGATCACCTGAGGTCAGGAGTTGGAGATCAGCCTGGCCAACATGGCAAAACCCCGTGTCTACTAAAAATACAAAAATTAGCTGGGCGTGGTGGCGGGCGCCTATAATCCCAGCTACTCGGGAGGCTGAGGAAGGAGAATCCCTTGAGCCCAGGAGGCGGAGGGGGCAGTGAGCTGAGATCACACCACTGCACTCCAGCCCAGGCAACAGAGCTAGACGCTGTCTCAAAAAAGAAAGAAAAGAAAAGAAAAGAAAAGAAATCTCTGCAAACAGCCAACTCCTTTCTAAAGGAATCTTAATGTTACTGGATTAATGCTCAGCCCCCTCTCCGGAGTCATGTGCTTCCCTAAGCCAGTCATAGGAATCTCATTTTAATCACCAGGGACAGGTTGAGGAAGTAGAGTGTGAAATGATTCCAGCCGAAGGGGGACACATGAGGCTGCTTGGAGGCACCTGAGAAATGCTCCTATTTTTTTTTAAAGAGTGAAGCAGAGGAATGAACAGTCCCTCCTTTCAGTCAGACCCATCAGTGATGCCTGAGACCTTGGCTGCCATCCTGAGACCAGGAAGGGAGATTCCAGAGGGGAATCCATGCTCGAACAGCAGCAGAGCAGAAAGAGGGAAGGGCTGCTTCCTCAGTGGCATTGCTGGCTGGCTGAGTCAGGAATCCTGCAAACTTCAGGTCTTCTTTCCTAGACAGCAATGCATTTTTCCTACTGTTCGAGCCACTTGGAGCTGGAGGATAATGCAGGAATTCTGAATGTGCTTCTCCTTGTTGGAGGGGACTCCCCTCTGTACTTGCCTGGTATGGAATCACCCACTTTTGACAAATTGAAAGGAGACATTTATATGTTGTTTTTGTTTTTCTTGGCTGAAAACTTCTTGAAAGCAGTTGTTGGAATCTATTTTCCATCTTCTCCCAAGAAGTCTCAAGAAGCAACTCTTTAAATGATTTTTTTTTTTTCTGGGTGCGGTGGCTCACACCTGTAATCCCAGCACTTTGGGAGGCTGAGGTGGGTGGATCACTTGAGGTTGGGAGTTTAAGACCAGCCTGGCCAACATGGTGAAACTTTGTCTCTACTAACAACTCACACACACAAAAATGAGCTGGACATGGTGGTGTGTGCCTGTAATCCCAGCTACTTGGGAGGCTGAGGCAGGAGAATTGCTTGAAACCAGGAGGCAGAGGTGGCAGTGAGCTGAGATCATGCCATTGCACTCCAGCCTGGGCAACAGAGTGAGACTCTGTCTCAAAAAACAAACAAACAAACAAACAAACAAACAAAAAACCCTCTTTATACCACACAGAATAACAACATCTTGTATAGATTGTCTGGAGTGTACTTCCTTAAAAAAATCTGACTATTCTAGTTACTGTGGCTGCACAACGGATTACCACACAAAGTGGCATCAAACAACCATTGGTTATGCTCACAGATTTCTTCACTCAGGAATTTGGAGAGGACACAGTGGGGACTGCTTGTCTCTGCTCCATGGATGGCTGAAGCCTCACCTGGAAGATCCGAAGATGGGCGGCTGCAATCCTCTGAAGGGTCCCTCACTTATGCATCTAAAGGGTCCCTCACTTATGCATCTAAAGGTTAAAGCTGGCTGCTGGCTGTGAGCCTCAGGGGCACTCCTGGGGTCTCCCCATGGGGTCTCTTTATGTGGGTCTCTCTCTGTGCGAGTCTCCCTCTGTGTGGGTCTCTCCGTGTGGACAAGTTTGCATGTCCTTAAACCATGGCGAAGCAGCTGTCATCCTGCAGAGCAAGTATTATCCAAAGAGGGAGCCAGCTTGGAGCTGTATTATTTCCAGAACCTGCACTAGGAAGTCACATGGCATCACTTTTGCCATACCCTGTTGTCTGGAGCAGTCACTGGGTCACACCAGGATTCAACGGGAGGGGCCATAGAGCACCAATGAGTGAAAGCAGTGTTCGTCATGCTGTAAGCAAAAAGGGGGTGGAGTGACCGCTGTGGCTGTCCAGCACGTGTGTTCCCTGAGCACCTAGGGTTTGATCGGGTTTAGCCCTAGAACCTATATTTTCAGGGTGCTTTACAGGTGGCCAGATGCTAACCCTCACATCCCCCATCCCTCATTTCACAGAAGAATAAAGCTCTTAGAGGGCTGGAGAGTTACCTGAAGGTCACAGCAAAGCACCAGACACAACCCCAATGTTTAACTACAGAAACTGGTCAAAGAGGCGATGGCTCAGCCACATAATGTAATGGTAGGCAGCTATTGAATAAAATCAACTTTATGTTCAACAATGAGAAGATTACGAAGTTACAGTGTTTATTTTTTAAAAGATGTATAAAAATAAGGATGATGGCTACTCTTAGGGGCAGGTAGAATAACTGTGTGTGTGGGTGCACAAAGAGGGTTTCTGTGTGAGTGGTATGGCAGTAGTTGCCAGGGTATTCATCTTATAATAATCTATTATTTATAATTTATATACATGGTTAATTATTAATAAATTATAATTTATATAATTGTTAATTTAATAATAAATTAACAATTTATCAATTTTTTGGCATTCTGTATTTGTGTTATATTTAACTATAAAGAAATTTAAATTAGCTGGGTGCAGTGGCTCACACCAGCACTTTGGGAGGCCAAGGCAGGTGGATCACTTGAGGCCAGGAGTTCAAGACCAGACTGGACAACATGGTGAAACCCCGTCTCTACTAAAAATATAAAAATTAGCCAGGCATGGTGGCAGCCACCAGTAATCCCAGCTATTTGGAGGGCTGAGGCATGAGGATCATTTGAACCCGGGAGGTGGATGTAGCAGTGAGCCGAGATCACATCACTGCACTTCAGCCTGGATGACAGAGCGAGGCTCCATCTCAAATAAATAAATAAATAAAGTAAATAAAAATAAATAAAAAAGTTTTAAATTAAAAAAGACCAAAACAGTTTAGCAGATCCTCAAAAAACTGAACAAAACTATACTTTGACCTAGAATTTTACTCCCAGATTCCCTCCCCACCAAAATATGGAAAACAAATGTTCACATAAAAACTCGTACATGAATATTCATAGCAGCTCTATTCATGATAGTCAAAAAGGTGAAAACAGCCCAAATGTCCATCAATGGTTGAATGAATAAACAAAACGTGACAGGTCCGTACAGTGCAATATTACTCGGCCATGAAAAAGAATGAATGATCGACATGAGCTACAACGTGGATGAGCCTTGAAAACTTTAACCTGAGGGAAAGAAGCCAGTCAGAAAAGGATACATGCTATATGACTTCATTTACTTGGACCATCCAGAAGCATTAAATCCGCAGAGACGGGAATTAGATTGGCGGTTGCCAGGGGTGAGGGAATGGGGAGAGACTGCTTCATGAGGTAATGAAAAGGTTTTGAAACCAGGCAGAGGTGGTGATTGCACACTACTGTGAATGTCCCAAGTGCCGCTGAATTGTTCACTTTAAAATGGTTAATATTATTTTATTTAATTTCATCTGAAAAAAAAAAAGGGCCAAGTATGTTAAGAGCCCTACCATGGCAGAAGAGATCCTGATGGATAAGGAAAAGCAGTCACGAGCTGTCATTAATTGCCCTACGAAGCTGAAGGAATCTATCTCCAGCCTGACTGCCCTGCTGGGAGGTGGAACAGGTGCCTTCTCTGTGGGGGGATTGGGGGGCAGCCTCCCCAGTACCCACGGGCTTAGGCAATAGCTGCCTTTCCCTAATGCTTTGTCCTCCACAGACCCCACCCACATGGCCAGGGTCCTTGGCCTGCCACAGTTTCCTAGAGGACAGGACCCCAGGAAGGAAGGCAAGGTGGGAACAGTATTATTATTTGTTAGGATCTAGGGATTTCATCTGATTTGAGCCTTTCATTAAGAAGTCCACACGATCAATAGAAAAACAGCATTGGGTCCCAGGGAGTCCAAATTTTAGCTGTAGTCCATGGTAATAGACCCAAGGTGGAATGCCGTATCCCTGCAGACTGATCACATCTATTTTGTGAGACCTGGGGAGGTGTGGTGGGGAGAGGAAGCTGTGTGTGTATCTGTGTGTGTGTGGATGTGTGTTCCTAAGTGCATTGTATGGATGTGTCTATGTGTGTTTCTGTGTGTTCATGTGTATAAGTGTGTGTGCATGCATATGTGTCTATGTGTGTCTCTTACCGTGCTCGTGTGTCCATGTGTGTATGCCTGTGTATGCACATGTGTTCATGTGAGTGTGTGCATGCATGTGTATGTGTCTGTGTGTGCGCACACATTCGTGTGCACAAACTAACTAAGTAGGAAGCTTGAGGACAAACCTCAGGGTCTTATCATGCCCTGGAACATTTCATCCAGCTTCTTACTTGAGTTGCTACAAAGCCTCAGGGGAAGGCAGTTGAATGACCTTCCCGAGTCCCAGTAAGTCTTTCATTGTCCTTGACCAAAGGAATAAAAATGCAGCCCACCCAAATATTAACAGCATCTTTTTGTCATCTCAAACCAAACTGCTTTATAATAAAAAAGAACATTACTTTATTGTGTGCAGACCTCAAGTTATTCACTTTCATCCCTCAAAAATTTTTATATGCTCCTAACATATGGAAAGCGGGCATCAATGGCCCATAATCCTGTAAAATGAGAAATCATATATTTTCTGTCCTACAATAAAAAGGCTCAGCTCTGTGAGGAGAGTGGCGCAAGCTGGCTGCTTTTATTTTTAAGCCATCATGATGAAGGTCACTCATTTGCAGGTGGAGAAACATGATGACCCATGTCAGGGGAGTCAAGCTGAGAGGGGGCTGTGGCCTGTGGGGACAGGAGGGGTATTGAGCCTGTGGTCAGCAGGGTTTAATCCTGGACTTTCTCCAAAGCCCTGTCTGTGGTCCTTCCCTCTGGCTTCCCCCTCCTTCCCCTCTCTGGAGGCTTTGTCTCTCTGCACCCTGGTCCCCAGGCTGGCTCATTAACAAGCTGCCTCCTTCCCTGAAGACCAGTCTTGGGCTTTGTTGTTAAAGAATCTGACTTTCTTTCTTTTCTTTTCCTTTCTTCCTTCTTTCTTCTTTCTCCCTTCTCCCTTCCTTCCTTCTTTCTTTCTTTCTTTCTTTCTTTCTTTCTTTCTTTCTTTCTTTCTTTCTTCCTTCCTTCCTTCCTTCCTTCCTTCTCCTTTTTTTTTTCTAGATGGAGTCTCGCTCTGTTGTCCAGGCTGGAATGCGGTGGCACAATCTTGGCTTACTGCAACCTCCGCCTCCCAGGTTCAAGTTATTCTCCTGACTCAGCCTCCTGAGTAGCTGGGACTACAGGTGCCCATCACCACACCCAGCTAATTTTTGTATTTTTAGTAGAGATGGGGTTTCACCATGTTGGTCAGGATTGTCTCGAACTGCTGACCTCCAGTGATCCACCCACCTCGATTCCCCAAAGTGCTGGGATTACACGCGTGAGCCACTGCACCCGGCCTATTTCTTAAATAATGGAATAACATGGTGGATTAGTTTCCTAGGGCTGCTGTAACAAAGCACCCTGTGTGCTGTAAAACATCAGAAACGTATTTCCTCACCGTTCTGGAGGCCGCAAGTTAGAAATCCAGGTGTTGGCAGGCCAGTTTCCCTTGGCTTGTAGACACATCACTCCAATCCCTGCTCTGTCTTCATGTGATGTTCTCCCATTCTCCCAGGTATTTCTGTGTCTGTTTCTCTCTTCTTTTTCTTTCTTTTTTTTAGAATCTTTTTTTTTTTTTTCTGTTGAGACAGGGTCTCGCTCTGTTGCCCAGGCTGTTGGAGTGCAGTGGCATGAACATGGCTCACTGTAGCCTTGACCTCCTAGGGTTAAACAATCCTCCCATCTCAGCCTCCTGAGTAGCTAGGACCACAAGCACGCACGATTACACTCTAATAATTTCAAACATTTTTGTAGAGATGATGTTTCACTATGTTGCCCAGGATGGTCTCGAATTCCTGGGCTCAAGCCATCCTCCTGCCTTAGCCTCCCACAGTGCTGGGATCACAGGTATGAGTCCCCGCACCCAGCCTGTTTTTCTGTCTTCTTAGAAGAGCACCAGTCATTGGATTAGGAAGCACCCTAATCTAGGAGGACTTTATCCTAACATGATTATAACTGTGAAGATCCTGTTTCCACATAAGGTCACATTCTGAGGGTCTGAGTCTTTTGAGGCACTCACTTTTCAACTCGGTACACACAGTGATAGCTGTATAGATGGTGCATAAAGCAAAAATCATGCATGGTCAAAATGACCCTCGAAAACCCTTCAAAAAGGAGACAAAAGGTGCAGCTCTTTCTCTACGAGGGAAGAAATGCTTTCTCAGAGATGCTGGAAGACTCTCCTTACTCATCATTGGCCAGAACTGTGTCACATGTTTCCTCTGGATGAGTCATTGGCAAAAGGAATGAGACAGCCTTGCTTGGCTTGGTCCAATCATGATTCATTACCTGGGACTGGGAACATTATCACCTGTAACAAAATCAATGCAAGCAAAAAGCAATAAATGAACTGATGCTGCTGGGTAGACTGTTTGCCAAAATGGCCTCAATTCTCCCCCTTTCTGTATCCACGCTCCTTGCAATATGACTTTGCAGCTCCTTCATAAACACGTGGAGCCTATTTCAAAACTATGCACCTCTTAAATGTGAGGCATCCCTACAATGGGATATTACACATAGCCCTAAAAAGAAGGAAGCATTGATACATACCACAGTATGGATGCACCTTGAGAACATCATGCTAAGAGTGAAGAAAGCCAGACACAAAGGGCCTCCTATTCTATGATTCCGCTTATGTGAAATGTCCAGAATATGCAAATCCATAGAGACAGAAAGGAGATTTGTGGTTGCCAAGGTCTGTGGGGGAGAGCCGGGGGGATTGGGGAGTTTGGGGGTAATGACTAGAGGTGAAGGGTTTCTTTGGGGATAATGAGAAAGTTCCCAAGTTGACTGCGGTGGTGTATGCATAACACTCAATTTACTAAAATCTGTTGAATTGTATTCCTTAAATGAGGGAAATAGGTGGTATGTGAATTACACCTGATATAGTTTATGTCCCCACCCAAATCTCATCTTGAATTGTAGTTCCCATAATCCCCACGTGTTGTGGGAGGGACCAGGTGGAGATAATTTACTCATGGGGGCAGTTTCCCCCATCCTGTTCTCATGATAGTGAGTGAGTTCTCAGGAGATCTGATGGTTTTATAAGGGATGCTCCCTCAACTTCACTCTGCACTTCTCTTTGCCGCCACCATGTGAAGAAGGACATGTTTTCTTCCCCTTCTGTCATGGTTGTAAACTTCCTGAGGTCTCCCCATCCCTGCAGAACTGTAAGTCAAGTAAATCTCTTTCCTTTATAAATTACCCAGTCTCAGGTATGCCCTTAGAGCAGTGTGAGAAAGGACTAATACAACATCTTAATAAAGGTGTTGAAAAATAATCTACACCTCTTGTCTCAGAGCTGGCCTTGTGACTTGCTTTGTCCTAGAGGAGGGGGCAGAAGTGATGCTGTGTCTGTTCTGAGGCCTCCAGAAACCTTACACACCGCTGACATTTCTCAGACTCTGGGGGTTGTCATATGAACAAGCCCAGACTGGCCTGGGGACAATGACACATGGACCTAGTAACCCCATTTGCCCCAGCAGACAGCAAGTCACCCAGCAGGCATGTGAGTGAGCCCATCCTGGGTTACTCAGCCATCTCTCCAGATGACTGGACTGTGAGCAACCAGCCAAGATCCACCGAGCCACCCAACTGACCCATATTCTCAGGATCAATAATGAGCATGTGTTGCCGAGTCACTACACCTTGGGACAGCAGGTGACCCAGTGATAACTTACACAGCTACCATCCTAACTCTTGCTCAACAGCTTCATCCAGACATAACTCAGACATCACAGCTCATCTATTTCACCAATTCATCAATTTTAGAACCATTTTCATCACCCAAGAAGGAAGCTCAGTGCCTATGAACAGCCACTCCCTGTTTCTCCCTTCCCAGTCCCTGAAAACCATGAATCTACTTTCTGTCTCTCTGGATTTGCATGTCTTTGGCGGTTCATATAAATGGTGTCATTCAATATGTGGGTTTTTTTTTTTTTTTTTTTGGCGACTAGCTTCTTTCACTTAGTGTAATGCTTTCAAATTTCTTCCACATTGCAGCATAGCCTCATAACTTTTTATGGGTAGTATCAGTTATTTATTTGCTTCCTTATTCTCTATCTTTCTCTAGTAAAATTGAAGATCCATGACTTCAGGAGTTTGCTTGTTTTATTAATTGCAGCTTCTACCTTGCCTAGAACTGAACTTTGCACATAGAATGCTTCTCGAATGAATGAATGGGTGGATGAATGAATGAATGAATAGGAAAATCAGTTTGTTTCCCTCCTCCTATTAAAAACAATGTCGAATGACCAAAGAACCTGAACAGGCACTGAGTTAAAAGCTTGTCTGGGCCAGGGCATGTCTCGTTGCCACAGGGGGCAGGCCAGGGACTCAAATCCAGCTCAGTCCAGCTCCACCAGCTCTCTGCACTTTCATGAAGCCACGGGGACAACTGCTTCTTTCCCCAGCTTCACATATTTTGATTCCAGGCTTTTGCAAAGCAATGTTCTTTTTGCTGTTGCATACCAACAACAAAAAAATTCTTCTTTTTGCTTCTGGCAAAATTGACAAAATTGACAATGGAAGACAAAGGAAGTTTTCTTACTTGGTAAAGAAACTGGTTTTGCTTTAGGTGGGAAAGGTTTCCCCAGCTCCATTCCCTCTCGATGTGTGTTAACAGGGACGGGGGAGGCCTCACTCCCTACTGACTACCCGTGCATTTACTTTAATTCCAGGGTCCTGGGTGGGAATGAATTACAGGGTTATTTAAGCTTGTTTTGCCATAAGCCTTGACAAAGTCTTTCTTTTCACAAAAATGTCCTTCATTTTCAAAACTCTGTTTGGCAGTGGAGGGTGCAGCCTGTAATCCTTTTATGCTGTGGTGGTGTCTGTCCTCCACGTGACTAGAAACGTCTTTATTGGCAACATTTTGTCTGGGTAATGGGGGAAGAGAGAGAGACCCTGCCTCAAATCACCTGGATGAGACCCTGGTTGCAAGGGGTAGTCCTATCCAAACTAACGCTGAGGCCCTGGGCTTCGTGACAGCCCGTGGCACGTTCTCAGTTGTTTCTAGCATGTCTAGCAAACCTTTGGAGGTCAGAGCCTGTCTACTCAGGGGTGTTCACTTGGAGAAGGGCAAACACGTTGGGGAGAGTAATAATTTGCAGACCTCTGGAGAACCATTCGGTGCTCCAGAGCTGACACATCCCCCACGCTGTGACTCGCCAAGCCATTCTGTAATGGATGCACGTGGTGCACACCTATAAGAAGCATTTTCAGGCCTAGGGCCAAAAGAATATATCACAACGAAGAAAAATGGTGGCAAGATACATGGGCCAATAGCCGGTAATTCACCAGCGTTGAAATCATAGCCAGCCATTAAGGACTCTGTGAAGGAAGGAGAAGGGAATTCGAATTGTAGTGTGGTCTCTTAGCTAAGTGTCTCCGGGGCTGGCCCAGAGGTGTGAATGCCTTAAACCTCCCAGTAGCTTTGCCTGGTGGGTGGGACTCCTGTGGCCTAGCTGAGGACACTGAGATGAGGAAGAATTGGTGGAATTTAAAAAAAATACCTATTTCCATGTTTTCTTTGCATACAATACCTGCTTGCTGTAAAAACACAAACCATTAAAAATATATATATATCAAGTAGAAGCAAAGCCATTCCTCACCGCAGCCCACCAAGAGACAGCCACTGAGAGTTGCTTGTCATCTTCCTGGCACATATACATCAGTGTGTGTATAAAATGCATTATTGTTTTAACTCAAATGGGATTATAATCTTTATATTGTTATTCATCTAACTTGAAAAAAATCTTGGTATAACTAAATTTTTTACACCTACACAAAAGTAGAGAGAAGAGTATGATGATGTTCACCCACTGAGCTTTAACTCTTGTCAGTGTTCTGCCGAGCTACTTTTATCTGCCATATCTCACTTAAAAAATTTTTCTGTTTTGGAAATTGTTAGATACAAAGGTAGAGAGAAGTCTATCATGAGCTCTCCTGTGTTCCTCACTTAAGAACACAGTTTCAGCAGTTTTTATCATAGAGCCAACCCTAAACCCTTCCTGCTAAACCTCCACCCTTGGATTTTTTAAAAGGCAAATACAGGACGTGGCACAGTGGCTCACTATAATCCCTGTAGTCCCAGTGTTCTGGGAGGCTGAGGCATTCGAGACCAGCCTGGGCAACATAGCAAGACCCCATCTTCACAAAAGATAAATAAATTAGCTGGCGTGGTGGCATGCACTTGCAGTCCCAGCTACTTGGGAGGCTAAGGTGGGAGAATTGCTTGATCCTGGGAGTTTGAGGCTGCAGTGAGCTGTGATCATGCCACTGTACTCCAGCCTGAGTGACAGAGTGAGTCCCTGTCTCAAAAAAGAAAAAAAAAATCAAATCCTGTTTCACCCATAACTTTCTTTCTTTTTTTTTTTTTTTTGGCAACAGCTTTATTGAGATATAATTTATATATCACACATTTTACCCATTTAAAGTATACAATTCAATGGTTTTAAGCATATTCACAAAGCTATACAGTCATCACAATCAACGAACATTTCATCACCCTAGAAGGAAACCCCTTGCCCATTACCCCTTCCCCATTTCCCCTCTCCCAGCCCCTGGCAAGCGCTAATCTCCTGGATTTGCATATTCTTTATATTTTATATGAATGGAATTGTAAACTACGCAGCCTTTTGTGTCTGGCATCCCATATCTCACGTCTTCGAGGCTCATCCACATTGTGGCATGTACCAGTGCTTCATTTGTTTTTATGGCTGAGTCATGTTCTGTTGTATGGATACCCCACTTTTTGCTGATCCATTCATCAGTTGAAGGGCACTTGCGTTGTTTTCACTCTTTGGCTATTGTCAGTAATGCTGCTGTGAACTTTCGTGTACAGGCTTTTATGTGGATATATATTTTCATTTCCGTTGGGTTTATACCTAGGAGTGAAACTGCTGGGCCATATGGAAAACTTTTGAGGAACCGCTGGGCTGTTTTCCACAGCAGCAACAAACTGCATGTTACGTTTCCATTAAGCTGTGCGTGAGCATCCCAATTTCTCCAGATTCTCACCAACACTTGCTGGGATCTTTTAATTAATTTATTAATTATAGAGATGGTCTTACCATCTTGCCCAGGCTGGTCTCAAACTCCTGGGCTCAAGCGATCCTCTTGCCTTGGCATCCAAAAGTGCTGGGATTACAGGTGAGAGCCACCCCGCTGATATGTCTTTTCAAATAAAGTCATATTAGTGGGTATAACTTTCTTTTAAATTTATCGACTTATCATGGAAGTATTAATGGATCAGTATATATCCATATATACTCACATAGTCACCAGCTGCTTCCTAATCCATTATATGAATGTAGCATTCTGTCTTTATCCCTTTGGCTAAGCATTTACATCAGTCATTTCCCATTTTTCAGCATCACAAACAAGGTGACAATGAATTCCTAGACATCTACAGTTTTCTCAACCAGTGTTCCCAAGAGAATTACACTCTCTTGCCCTGAGCCATCCATTGTATGTAAGGAATGAACTTTTCTCCCAGGGGTCTAGAAAGGTGTTAGTTATGTAACCACCCTCGAGAGAATTGATAAAATAGTCTCTCAAGCCACTTTCTATGTTCCGTGATTCACGTGAGCACCCCTGGTTGGGAAGACTACATGTGTTCAAATACCATTTCATATTGTTAGAGTAGAATTGCGAGCTGAGGTTTTCCTTTGACATTTGGGGCTATTTCTAAATTGCCCTCCAAACTGGTCACATCCATTCACAGGACCACAGTGTCCAGCATATGCCTGGAATATTATCATGTTTTACATTTTAATTTTTTATATTTATATAAGTGGAGATGGTGTCTCACTATGTTGCCCAGGCTGGTCTTGAACTCCTCGCCTCAAGACATCTTCCTGCTTCAGCCTCCTAATGTGCTGGGATTACAGGCATGAACCACCACGCCTGGCCATGTTTTAATCTTTGGTAACCCTAGAAGCCCCAAATTATTTGTCATAATTTTTTCCCTCCCATCCTTAGCGCAATTGAAAATCTTGTCAAATGTTTAACAGCCACTAGAATTTCTGTATTTAAGAATTTGTGTTAGAATTGAACATAATTACTCTTTGGGGAAACATGCATTTCCAATACCTGGGTGTACTTCAACATTTAATTCAAGACTTTCCTGACAACTGTTGGGGGCTAATTTTGTCCACCTGGTAAAATACGGTACCAAAATGTGTCAGTAGACAGCAGGCAGGTCTCAATGGACTTTATTTGACAGCTTTAAATTTATGTGACTCCTGATACATTTTTGACTTTAAGGGATTATATTTTAAAAAGTTTTGCTGATAATTGATCCTCTCAACTTTCTTTTTGTATTCACATAATTCCAATTCATGTTACTTACAACCCAAACTCTAGCACTCTTAAAATAACCAGAGAGTTGTGGAGCTTGATGGAAACATACACCCACTGGACTCCAGAACTTTCCATCATTTCATCCCAGGCAGTCCTGCATCCTCCTACCTAATTACTGAAAATATGGTCAAAAGCCAAACAGTAGACTTATGTGTCAGTAACCTGGGACCTGGGGAATGTGTGTTCTCGGTAAAAAATCATCACATGACATTCTAGGATCTGTAATTACAGCTCACCTTCCAGGCACCGTCTTTATGATGTATTTGCAGCAACTATTCACATACCTGAAAACAGTCACCTGTCCTCACCCCGATCTTATTAAAAACATGTGTCTCATAGCCATATAGTAACCATATTTTGCATTTTTAAAAACCATTTTCTCTATTTCATAAAGCAAAGGCAAAATGTACTCCAGAAATATCAAATAATTGCTTTCACTGCATGGCTCCAAATAAAGAACTTTTTTTTTTCTTTCACTTCCATCCTCTTCCATCTACAGAGAGTTCTATTTTTTCCAGGCGAGTTCCCAGTTGGCTTGGAGGAAAGGCTGGAGAGAAACATGGGAGGGCGGAGGGGTTCAGGGGAGAGGGCTGTGGTGGAGAGAGACTGATTTTAATCATGTTGAGGTCCCAGATGTGCCTACAAAGTGGAAGATCCAGCAGTGGAGAGGAGCAGAGAGCCCCAACTGAGCCTGGAGGAACTGGGTCCCCCTCACCTGGGTCTGTGCCTCTGTTTCCCTCCAGAGCAAGGCAAGGGCATCTTCCAGAATGATGCCACTGTCCTGCCCACTTCACAGGCCCTGCACGGCTTGCACTTTCTAGTTTTTGTTTTTGTTCTGTTTTGTTTTTTGTTGAGACAGAGTCTCACTCTGTCCCCCAGGCTGGAGTGCAGTGGCATGATCTCGGCTCACTGCAACCTCCGCCTCCCGGGTTCAAGCGATTCTTCTGCCTCAGCCTGCCGAGTAGCTGGGACTACAGGCGCCCGCCACCATGCCCAGCTAATTTTTGTAATTTTAGTAGAGATGGAGTTTCACCGTATTGGCCCGACTGGTCTCAAACTCCTGAGCTCATGATCTGCCCGCCTCGGCCTCCCAAAGTGCTGGGATTACAGGCGTGAGCCACCACACCCAGCCTGTGCTTTCTAGTTTTTATACATTATCTTTCGAATAGCCTTTTTACATTTAGGGGATGTCTTAGTTTCCCATTGCTGATGTAACAGATACCACCAACTGAAGTGGCTGAAGATGACACACACTTATCATTTCACAGTTCTGCAGGTCAGGAGTCAGAATGCATCTCAAGGGGCTGCTCATCCTCAAGGTGTCTGTGGGGCTGCGTTTCTTCAGGAGGCTCTGGGCAGGAGCTCTTTTCTTGTCTTTTCCAGCTTTGAGAGGCTGCCGGCGTTCCTGGGCTCATGGTCCCTTCTGCGTCCTGAAACCAGCTAAGTGTCCTCTCTCTGTGTCCTCCTACGGGAGTCTTACCTTCCTCTGATTGATGCATGTGCTTCCCTTTATTGCAAGGACCCCTGTGACTACACCACGCCCACCTGGGGAACCCAGGAGAATCTCACAATCCTGAACTCAATCACAGCTACCAAGTTCCTTTGGCCATGAAGGTGACATTTTCACAAATTCCAGGCTGCAGGACATGGACATCTTTGTTCAGCCTCCACAAGGGAAGCCTCACATGATGAATCTCACTTTCCCACTTTAGGGGTCAGAGCCCACATGTCCAGACTCCCCCACCCTGTGCTGTTGCTGAGACACTGGCCGTCGGGGAAGGGCCCCAGCCTCACAGAGGAGAGGAGCGGGAACTAGGCCCCAATGTCAATGTGGAGGCTGGCCAGCAAGTTGCCAAAAATAGACAACAAGCTGGAATCAGAGCAAGGCGTTTGTCACTCACAGGGTACAGGAAATGGAGAGAGCCTCAGCATCACAGAGCCCGCTTCTCTCTCCCAAATGCCACGGTGCAGTGGCTACCCACAAAGCAGGATGCCCCGCAGCTGGGAAGCCCAGGGCTGCAGGCCTGTGGTAGCGCGCGGCCAACGAACCAGTCCTCGTCCCTGTGGAGTTCGCAGGTGCGTGGCAGTCACTCTGTGGGCACCTCAGCCTCCTTGGTTGCCTCCATACCATCTGCAGACAGTGCTCAGTATCAGGGGACGCTATCCTTGCAGCAAGGACACACAAAGATGCCCCAGGACCATGGCAGATTGCTTCCCCCAGCCAGAGTGAGCCTGAGCTGATTTGATGGAATTCCCTGGGATGAGACTTTAGTTCTAAGGGGAACAATGTGAGAAGGAAGCCCAGCCTGGCACTGCCATTTTTTGTTGGCCCCGTTGGTTGAAGATGGGTTTGGCTTTTGGTGGTGGGAGAAGCAGTGGCTATTCTCTCAGTGACTATATATATGGCCAAGTTCCTGGTGCAGAGGTGATGTCCCTCAGGTTGGGGGTCTTCACGCCTGTGCTAGGGGCCCTCTGTGCCCAGTGGGTCAGTAAGAGCTCTATAGCTTTCCCCATCTGGCCAGGCCTGCTGTGTGATTTTGGACATGGTTCCTGGAAATCGGCTTCAATGTAAGTTCTCCAGTCCCGCCAAGGATTCCACAAACTCCCCAATATGCTCGAAAGAAACTTTACCAAGCTCAGTAGCTGGAATCAACCTCTAATCTTGGCAACAACAACAAAAATTTGATCTTAATTAAAGCTGTTCTTAAAACATTACTTCTAGCTGCTGGACTATTTTATCTTCCTTTGCTTATTTTTGCTTGTTAGTGTGTGGCCCTGGAGAAGCTGAGCTGTCTGGGATCCTAGGATTTGTGTGTGTGTGTGTGTGTGTGTGTGTGTGTGTCTGTGTGTTTGCATGTGTATAAATTTAGCAAAGGAAATTCCTGAAAAATTAGCTAGATTTTATACCATTTTGGTTCCTGATAACACAGTGTAAAGTGTGTCTCAAGTCCTGCTGGTTCAGAATGTAAAACTATCTTCTTAAATGCACCTGTCTCTGTGGGGCAGGGTGAGCATTTCTCCAAAACACACCATTTTCTCTGCTAACTCTTCTAAACCAGTGTCTGCAGAAATGTAAAAGGGAATCAGAGAGGAGCATAGTATTAACATTGTCTGTCTCTGAACCAGGAAAACCCAGTCTTCAGCTGCTATTGATTTACTTTCCGTTTGGAGAGGTTGTTATTTGCTCTGATGAAGGCTGAACACAGCTTTTATAAACTATTTCAGCATTGCCCAGGTGAGCACATGCGGACCCCCCACCTCACTGATCTGACAACATCCCAGAGCCGTCCACCTAGAAAAACCCCCTACATTTATATCATATTAAAGACCCTGTTATCTTTTCCAAGCACCTTGGGCTCACAAACAGTTGGGGGTGAAGAGAAGGGAAATGAAAAGGGCGATGTGTCATTTTCTTAAAGACAGGGTGTCAAGACCACAAAAATATTAACTAGGGCAAGAGGAAATATAAAAATAAATATAGCCACTTCTGAATCCCTTTTCAAAATAAACATTTTCTTAATACCAGTGTGTGTAGGGTCCAGGAGTGAATGAGACGCGGTTGCTTATAATCACTCCTGCGCCAGGTGCTCGTTGGGAAAGGGAGGCAAACGCAGCTGGAGTCATTCACAAACAGTCGTGGGGTTGTAGGGGTGAGCAGCATTTGGCCTCTGAAACATACTGATTCTCTGAGGGTTAAGTCATTAGGTAAAGCCCTGTCGTCTTCATCTCTTCTGTTCCCAGTCCTGCATGCATTCTCTCTTCTCTTGGTCACAAAACCATATGATGTTTTGGGGGATGAACCCACTCCACTTTTAGTCTATGAGGTTTTCCTTGGCTCTGGAGGTAGAGACATTTGACTAGGCAATCAGAACACCGAATACCCTTAGCCAGTGATGACTTTATAAGTAGACATGGATGCAGCGATCCAAAAATATTCAATTATATGTATTATTATTTTTTTTTCGAGACAGAGTCTCACTCTGTCGCCCAGGCTGGAGTGCAGTGGCGCAATCTCAGCTCACTGCAAGCTCCGCCTCCCGGGTTCACGCCATTCTCCTGCCTCAGCCTCCCGAGTAGCTGGGACTACAGGTGCCCGCCACCGCGCCCGGCTAATTTTTTGTATTTGTAGTAGAGACTGGGTTTCACCGTGTTAGCCAGGATGGTCTCGATCTCTTGACCTCGTGATCTGCCCACCTCGGCCTCCCAAAGTGCTGGGATTACAGGGGTGAGCCACCGTGCCTGGCAATTATATGTATTTTTTTAATGGTTAGGGAAAAAATGGTTCTTTTTCCTGGAAGTATGGAGAGGCTGTGAAGCAATCTGGGCATTCCCGACAGCCATGGTTCTGCCTGCCTGGAAATGCAGGTAATGCAGGAAATGACAGAACTGAGAGACAGAGAGAGTGACCACACTCAGACCTTGTATGAGCACCTGGATCCAGCTATGCCTGAAGCTTCATAGATCTTTAATTTCAGCTAGCCTCCTCCCTCCACCCCCAAACTTTCTCTTCTTTAGGTCACTTCGAGTTGAATTTCTTATGTCTTGGAACCAAAAGAGTCCCGACTCATATAGAAATCAGGTAAGACTTTCTGTTCTTTCTCCCCTCTACTCCTTGTCTCCCTTTCTGTCTTATTTCATCTTCTCCAGTTCTGCTGTTCTTACGTGTTTTCCCTTCCACTCCAGTTTCTAGCTCTCTGCTAATAATATCATCATGTTTCCTTCAGAGACAAAGTGAATGAATGGCCATTGGTGTTTTAACCACATTAGAATGAAGACAGGCAGGGGGTTGATCCTTGGTCCAAAAGCTCTGCAGAGATTTCCAAATTAGGCTTTATTTATCAAGCATGAATCTCTCCCCTTAAAAGCCAATTTTTCACACACAGAAGGACCTGCACTGAGGAGGCCTGAGATATCTGGGAGTTAATTTTATTTTTGCCTACTCACCAAGGCTTAACATTTACACTCAGGTTTGTGCTTCCAAAGGGAGAGAGGTCATCATTCTCACTCTCTGCATTTCTGTGATTCTCATGAAATGGAATTATATAACCCTGAAGCCTGCAGTTATGAGTGAATATGTTCCAGTATTATTCCGGGTATTTGTGTAGTAAATGTTCTGCTGGAAAAAAATAAAGCAAGCTTAGTTTAGAATTTCTCCTTTCTTACGGTAGAAAATCCCTAATGAGGGCCTGTAACTGCAGCCTCACTCAGGGTCCCTTCTGGATAATACACATTTGCTGTGCTTATTCCCTGAAGAAAAGGAAAAAGAACTTTGACCCTCTGTTTTGGGTAGATGTCGATGAAAGTATTGATAAACTTGTTTCTGAAATAGGCACAATTACACTTTGGCCAGGAAATGCAGGGAAATTGTGTTCTTTTACATGAAAATCAATTACGGAGGCAGCAGCTTCAGAATAATTAGAACATATTAAAATTTTTATGAAATACCAATTCGGACTTCATGAGTGAGAAGAGCCTGAGTACGGACCACAAAGCCCGAAAGAGGTTTCCATGGTAACACCACTTCCCCCCACAATGCTGGTGAGCCCTGGCCATTGCAAATGAGAGGCACGCTCTTTTGAGTTCAACCCACTTCCCTGATTGAAATCCCCCTTCTCTGTCTTGCTCCTGGAGAGGCCATCCCGGGTTTGCTTTTTAAAATATCCCTTCGGCAAATATCACTTGTGACTCCTCAGATGCACTGGGCTTTTCTATTCAAGTGGGAGAAGAGGCAGCCTGAAGGTTCCAGAGTGTCTCTTGGCCCAGCTCACCATCAGTATCAGGAAGATGAAAACGGGGCCGCCCAAGGGCTAATGGAGTCTCAAACTCCCATTCGATTGGGTACCATTGGCCTCACCCCAGACATTTGTGGGGCCCAAAGTGAGAGCATCAGTGGAGGTCCACCTGCCACAGATGTAAATGCTTAAAGGTTACTAATCAGGTGAACAAACAAAATGCGTTCCCTATCCTTGCCTTCAATGTAGGACAGGTGAGCCCCAAAGTTGGGGCTTAGGTTGGAAGGGTTCTCGGCTTTGCCTAGGAAAGAATTCAAGGGCAAGCTGGTGGTGTTAGACAGGAATGTTTTACTGAATGGTACTGCTCCTTGTGGGGCAGGACTAACTCAGGCAGTGCACCCAGAGTTGACAATGTACGGGCTCTTGGCAATTGCATTTATACCTACTTTTAATTATGTGCAAATTAAGGGGAGGGCTACAGCAAATTAAAGGGTGGGTGAGTTAGAACTTTCTAGGAAAGGGACAGTAATTTCCAGGTTGTTGCCAAGGAAAGGGGTGACAACTTCCAATGTGTTCCCATGGTGTTTGTAAACTGTCACGATGCTGGTGGGAGCCTCTTATGCCAATGAGCAATGAGGGCAGCTGGGGATGGCTTTTGTCACCATCTGCTGGTTCTGCCGGTTCTTTCACTTTATCCTGACGGCACCAGATCCTGTTTTGGTCAACGGGGTTGTCACCGGAAAACAAATCCTGCTGGTCTCTTTCCTCACTTTGACACTATGCCTGCATAACAACCCAGAAAGCCAGGCTCCAGTGGAAAACCCTTTGACTCCCTGTAGTTGCACAGGACATGGTACATACAACAGCGAAAGCCAGCCTCAGCCTTGATGCCCGGCGGTGGGTTGCTCACCTTCCCTGCCTCCCGCATCTTTCTCCTGCAATTGGAGAGGCCTCACCTGTCTGCATGCAAACACCTGTCCCCTCCCTCCCGCATCTTTCTTCTGCAATTGTGGAGGCCTCACCTGTCTGCATGCAAACACCTGTCCTCAGAAGCCAGCTCTGCTTAGATTCCCTGCAAACAGCTACTCCCTGGGTGCCTCTCTGGGCCAGGCTGGGTACATGGGCTTCATGGTCCTCTCTTGGGAGGTCAGCCTCAAGGTAGAGGCCCTTACTGCTCTGGAAATAGTCCTGGGGCCATTGTGCAGAGGATTCTCGGGTCCAGCTCTGTGGAGCATAGTCTAGAAGTGGATACCAAAGCCTTGGTGGACACCTCCCGTTGGCCTGTGAATTAGTCTGCTGGGGTTGCCATAACAAAATGCCACAGACTGCATGGCTTTAATAACAGAAATTTATTTTATCACAGTCTGGGGGCTAAAAGTCTAAGATGAAGGTGTCAGCAGGTTTGGTTTCTCCAGAGGCCCCTCTCTTGGTTGGGGTCAGCCTTCTTCTCTCTTTCTCACCGAGGCCTCTCATGGTCTTTCCTCCGTGCACACGCATCGCTGGTGCCTCTGTGTGTCCAAATGTCTTCTTACCACCACACCAGTCAGACTGTATTAGGGCCAACCTAATAGACTCATTTTAACTTAATCATCTCTTTAAAAGGTCCTATCTCCAAACGCAGTCACATTCTGAGATATTGGGGGTTAGGGCTTCAACAGATGCATTTTTAAAGAGACATAATTCAGCTCATCATAGCCTCCTTCACAGGGAGGAACACAGGTAAATGATAATGCAAGGGCAGAGGAACACTGGAGCGGGGTCCTCCGAAGTGTGGGGCCAGGGCAGAGACCCACCGTGCCCACGTGTAAGAGCCAGACTGCACTTTTTATTTGTTTGCTGCTGAAGCTAATGGTCTGGCTTCCCTGCTTTCGGTGACCTCTTTTCACTGCTGGACCATTTAAATGGCGTCCTCAGATCCTAGGATCATATCTATCCATTGCACTAATTCCGTGATGAGCTCTCTCTGGGTAAATCACAAAGCTTTCTTCGTAGATCCCCCAGGTGGGAGTGCAGCCAACATTAGGCCAGTATTAATGGGCCATCAGCACAATTGAACATGGTCCGCTCATAGAAAGTCACCGAAACTGTTGTTAGATTAATCATTTTCAGAACTAAAGAAAGGAAAAAAAAAATCTGCCAGTGATATTGATGAGAGAAGCAGATTTCTAGCAGTTTCCAAAAGAGAAGGCATTTTCTCCACAAGGGAAATGCAGAAAACGGTCGTTTTGGATAGAAAAGCTTTTCTTGATTGATCAAACGATTCAGAGTTTACATTTTAGGCCAAGGGAGCACTGAACTGAGGTTGCTTTTTTTCCTCCTCTCAAGAGACAGCTGAGTTTGACCCTTTGCTAATATGGAAACATCAGTGAACCGTCGATTTTCCTTTGCAGACGGCCAGCGAAGTGAAAATCGGTCCAGCAGACACATGCTTAACTTGTCAATCTGCACCGGTCAGGTACCATTGTCTGACAAATCCCTCAGGATTACATCTTGTCCAATTTTTCTCCCCAGCAACAAAGAGAATATGATAGAATTTGCTGAATGCAGATACTCAAAGAAAACTCCCCACTTGTAGACAAGCCTGTGCGTTCCTGAGGCCCACTGCAGAGGTTTCTCATCCAGTTTCAACACAATAATAAAGAACAAATAAGCAATTCTTTGTTGTAGCAATTAGGAATGCTACTAGTAATACCAATATCTGCACTGAGTAGTTTCAAAGAGCTGAGCAGTGGGTGAAGTGTTTTGCTTGTATTATGAGAATATCTTCCCAATGACATTGGAAGTGAGCCATCACTCCCATTTTACAGCTGAGCAAACTGAGGATGAAAGTCACTAAGTAACTTGCTAATGGCCACTCAGCTTATAGGAAGTCCCTGAGCCAGCCAGATATTGTTTTCTTTTCTCGTTTGTTTTTTTGAGATGGAGTCGCGCTCAGTCACCCAGACTGGAGTGCAGTGGTGTGATCTCGGCTCACTGCAACCTCCACCTCCCAGGTTCAAGCAATTCTCCTGCCTCAGCCTCCCGAGTAGCTGCGACTACAGGTGTGCATCACTATGCCTGGCTAATTTTTGTATTTTTAGTAGAGATGGGGTTTCGCCATGTTGGCCAGGCTGGTCTTAAACTCCTGACCTCAGGTGATCTGCCCTCCTTGGCCTCCCAAAGTGCTGGGATTATAGACATGAGCCACCGTGCCCAGCTAGATTTTCTTTTAAATGTAAAATTAAATGGTTTTTAGTATATTTATGGAGCTGTGCAACCACCACCATGGTCAATTTTAGAAAATTGTCATCACTCCCCAAAGAAACCCCAGACCCTTTAGCTATCACTTCCCTAATCACCATTCTCCCCAGCCCAAAGCAGCACTCTACTTTCTATCTCTATGGATGTGCCTATTCTGAACATTTCATACAAATGGAATTGCACAGCGTTTGTCCTTCTGTGTCTGCCTTCTTTTCCCTCAGCATCATGTTTTCAAGGCTCATCCATGTCATAGCATGTATCTGATTCTGATTCCTTTATTATGACTGAATAATATTCCATTGCAGGGATTAGACCACATTTTGTTTATCCAGTTACCCACTGATGGACATTCAGGTTGTGTCCACCTATTGCTACTGTGAATAATGCTATGAACATTATATATAAGTTTTTATGGGAGCACCTGTTTTCAGTTCTCTTGAGTATATACCTAGGAGTGGAATCTGAGCCAGGGCTTGAGCTGGGTTTGTCTGGCTGCTGATTTTATTTGTATTTTTATTTTTATTTTTTGGAGATGGAGTCTCACTCTGTTGCCCAGGCTGGAATGCAATGGCACAATCTTGGCTCACTGCAACCTCCACCTCCTGGGTTCAAGCGATTCTCTGGCCTCAGCCTCCCAGGTAGCTGGGATTACAGGCACCTGCCATCATGCCCGGCTAATTTTTGTATTTTTCATGTTGGCCAGGCTCATCTTGAACTCCTGAGCTCAGGTGATCCACCCACCTAAGCCTCCCAAAGTGCTGGGATTACAGGCGTGAGCCACCGCACCCAACTTGCTTATGTTAGTAACCAATAACTTTGGGAAAAGCAAAGCTCTTCTGCCCATGAAATAGCTCAGGTGGAAACTGGTTGGCTACTGAAGGATCTGGTCAATATTGGCTATCCAGATGATATGGTTTTTCTCTGTGTCCCTGTCCAAATCTCATCTTGTAGCTCCCATAATTTCCATGTGTTATGGAAGGGACCCAGTAAGAGGTGATTGAATTATGGGGCCAGGTCTTTCCAATGCTGTTCTTGTGATAGTGAATGAGTCTTATGAGATCTGATGGTTTTACAAATGGGAGTTTCCCTGCACAAGCTCTCTCTTTGCCTGCCGCCATCCATGTAAGATGTGACTTGCTCCTCCTTGCCTTCAACCATGATTGTGAGGCCTCCCCAGCCACATGGAACTATAAGTCCATTAAACCTCTTTCTTTTGTAAATTGCCCAGTCTTTGGTATGTCTTTATCAGCAGTGTGAAAACAGACTAATACATCAGATGTGACAAGTGCCCCCCTCATTCTTTTCTTTTTTTTTCCCACAACCTTCCAACTGGACATGACATACTACCGACTTCTGGCCAGAATGTGGCCATCAGGCGAGTTTTGCTTTTCCCTTAGAGTATGTTTACATTATTGTTGTTGTTAGTAGTTGAAACACCTTCAGATGGACCATCACCTCCCTGGTCCCCTACTCCCTATCACTTCTCACCAAGCTTTTCATAGTCCCTGTCTTGACCCTGGAAGCCCTCATTATTGAAAGTGTAATCCCTGAATCAGCCACATCACATCAGTATCCCCAGGTCACTGATTCTCAGGTCTCCAGGTGCAGAATCTCAGGTCCCTGCCCCAGCCCCTCCGAATGACAATCTGCATTTAATTAACAAGATCCCTGGGCAATGCTTACACACTGGAAGGGTTGAGAAGTGCTGGTTTAAGCAGCTGAGTTTGCAACCCTTGCTCTATGTGACTTCAAAAGCGTGAGTTAAGATAGACACCTGGGTTCATGGGTTCTCAGCTTCCTAGACACTAATTTTTCATCCCTGTCAAGATCTTAGAACAACCACATTTATTTCTATCTGGCTGGATGAGTCTAATAATCGGCTGTGATGTCCTCAGCTTATCTGAGACAGATCATACAAACTATTCCTTACCTTTGAGTACTTAGCGAGCTCTTCTAAGGATCTGAAGGGACTGAAAAGTCTTGGACAGAATGTGAAAGAGATCCAACTCATCAGCTTGTTTCTAGAAACAGTCTCTTCCTTGGAAATTTTATAAATAACTTTTTCTGATTATATGGGCAATCTATATTTATTATAGTAAATTTAGAAAATAAAGAAGAGCATACAGAGTAAATAAGAGTTAGGCTTAGTGCCACATAGAAGGCACATTACCTCTAAATAGCTAGTTTTTTTTTTCCTGAAAATACACTTACACACAGCATGCATGCATACACACACACTCTTTAAAAATACAAAATTTAGATCATATGGTAGGCACTGTTTTGTGAACTTCTTTTCCCTCAAAGTATATTGTAAAGATTTTTTCAAATTCACACGAGTAATTATTTTTTCATTCAAATTACTAAGGTAATACTAGTCTGTGGTAGGAGAATAAAGGCCCCCAAATATGCCCATGTTGGCCAGGTGTGGTGGTTCACTCCTGTTAATTCCAGCACTTTGGGAGGCCGAGGTGGGTGGATGGCTTGAGGCCAGGAGTTCGAAACCAGCCTGGCCAACATGACACAATCCTGTCTCCACAAAAAATACAAAAATTAGCCGGTATGGTGGCACATGCCTATAATCCCAGCTACTCAGGAGGCTGAGGCAGGAGAATTGTTTGAACCTGAGAGGCAGAGTTTGCAATGAGCCAAGACTGCACCACTGAACTCAGCTCTATCCTGGGCAATGGAGCGAGATTCTGTCTAAAAAAAATAAAAAAGAAAAGGAAAGAAAGAAAGAAAGAGAAAAGAAAAGAAAGAAAAGAAAGAGAGACGCCCATGTCCTAATCCCTGTGACTTGTGACTATGTTACTTTATCAGGTTTTCTGTGTGAGTCTAATGTAATCACGGGAAAGAGTGAGACAAGAGTCAGAGATGTGCTGCTGAAAGCAGAAAAGGAGTGTGATTCACAGTGAGACAGACTTAACCAGTCATTGCTAGCTTTGAAGAGGAAGGAGCTCAGAGTCTGGAGAAATCTTCAGATGGGACAATGCTGGCTTTACAGGTGGAGAAAGTGGCCATAAGCCAAGGAGTACAGGTGGCCTTTGGACACTGAAAACATCAAGGAGACAGATTTTGCCCTGGAGCCCCTAGAAGGAATGCTGTCCTGCCAATGCCTTGATATAGCCCAGTGTGACCCATTTCACACTACTTCCAGAAAGGTCAGATAATCTAAGCCAGCAGGTTTATAGTATTGTTATAATAGCAACAAGAAACTAACACATGGTTTGTGGTGTTACAGTTCAGAAGAAGTATTAATGAGAAGCAATATTCTTTTGTATCCACCCCAAACATTCCCTAGTTCTACTGACAATTTTTAACCATTTCTAATTTGTGTGATTTTGTGCCTATCTCTATAAAGCGTCATTTACCTATACTGTGATTTTTTTTTTGTTTTTAATCAACTTTAGACATTATCTAAGGACTCTCAGCTATGCAGACTGTCACTACCTCCCTTTCCAGGTCTCCTTAAATTGTTGATGGCCATATACTTACTTTAAATTCCTTAACTGGTGAGATATATACATGTATATAACAAACAGCAATCTCTACTTCTTGACCCATCAATGCTAAATTTTATCTTGTGATGGCTACGTGACAGATGGGAATATAAGTGCTTTTGATATATTTTCTGCCTTCCTTTTCTTTCTTCTTCAGGCAGCTTACCTTTGGGTTGATCACACAAAGTTTAATAAGATTTATTGTTTGGCATCCTGGATCCAAAACTCTCTGCTTAAATATACATTGATTCTAAAAGTTGAAAATTAGTATAACATGAGTACATTATTATGTACATTAACACTTTTTGCACCGTCATAGAGAGTCCTAGAATATAATTGTTCATTCTTCAGTTCTAATAAAATGAGCCTATTCCATCCACTAAGTCAACAGTCACTCATGGTCTCAACATACAAAGAATGTGTTATCTTCATATTGCCATTGAGAACCCATAGATCCTTATTGCTTAACCCAAGGCCGTGATTTTTTTTGTGCAGTTTGTTGTTTCTTCAGAGTTCATGAATTGCTTTTTCTTTGTCTTACAGAGAGAAAATATATACTCTCACCATGTTGCTAAGATCTTCTAGCCTTCTCCTCATCCCAGCTCCTGAAATAAATTCCTCCATTTTTCTTCTTAAAGATATTCTCCCATGAGACATTGACTTCTTTCTTCAGTTTCAATAGATGTTTTCTGTCTACTGCAGAGATGTTATTGTTTTCTTTCTGATGGAGGCCAAGGTTAGTCCAACAGTTTCTTGGGTCCCGTATCTTCTTCTCTAGGATTTTTTTCTAAGAATTTTTTTTTCTTTTCTTGTTCACCTTCTGCACATTTAAGGTAGGTAGGTCAATATTATTGGCCTTTTTTTTTTCTTTTTTTTTTTGAGACAGGGTCTTTCTCTGTTACCCAGGCTGGAGTGCAATGGTGCAGTCATGGTTCACTGTAGCCTGGAGCTCCCTGGACTCAAGTGATCCTCCCACCTCAGCCTCCTAAATGGCTGAAACTACAGGAGCACACCACCATGCCCGGCTAAATTTTTTTTTTTTTTTTTGAGACAGAGTCTTGCTCTCTCGCCCAGGCTGGAGCTCAGTGGCGCGATCTCGGCTCACTGCAACCTCCGCTTCCCAGGTTCAAGCAATTCTGCGTCACCCTCCCAGGTAGCTGGGACTACACGCACATGCTGCCCACATCCAGTTAATTTTTTGTATTTTAGTAGAGACAGGGTTTCACCGTGTTGCCCGGGCTGGTTGCAGACTCCTGAGCTCAGGCAATCCACCTGCCTCGGCCTCCCAAAGTGCTGGGATGACAGGCGTGAGCCACCACGCCCGACCATGCCAGGCTAATTTTTAAAATTTTTTGTAGAGCTGGGGCTTTGCCATGTTGCCCAGGCTGGTCTTGAACTCCCAAGCTCCAGTGATTTGCCTGCCTTGGCCTCCCTGAGTGCTGTGATTACAGGCGTGAGTCACCGCATGCAGCAGGATTTTCATCTGTAAGGAACATCTTCAAAAAAGGGTAGAGTCTGGGGGTCTTTTCATGTCTGAAAAGGACCTTACTTTGCACTCCCCATTGCATGATAGTAGGCCTGAGTTTAAATGTCTAGTCCTGAAGTCGTTTTTCCTTGAAGTCTGGAAGAAATTGTTCCACATTTCTGTGGCAGTGAGTGTTGCTGATGAAAAGTTTGATGCAAGTCTGATTCTTAATTTCTTTATAGGTGAATTTTTTCCTCTCTTGGAGCTTTTAGGATATTTATTTTATCTTTAAAGTTCTGAAATTTCATGAGGATATGTTAAATTCGTTTAGTTAATTTTAATTAATATGTAAAATTACTTTAGTTCTGAAATTTCATGAGTATAGGTGTTTTAAAGGTACTGTGTTCACATGAGGTGACCCATGTGTCTCTATACTTCTGGACACTTTTATTATTTCTTTAATATTTTTCTCCCCTCTGTCATCTCTAGCGTCTCTTCTTTGAGCTTCTTATAGTTCCTGTCTTGCATTTTGTTCTAGGAAAATTCCTCCAGTTTATTTTCCAGCCATTCAATTTAATTTTTAATTTTGGCAATGTTATTTTTAAATTTCCAAGAGCGGAGCAGTTGGTCTCTGACTGTTTCTTTGCAATGTTCTTATTTTCTGCATATAGTTGCTCCAAATATGATTATTAGTGTTCCTTTAAGCTGTCTTCCATCTTCTAAGAGGCTGTGTCTGTGAAATATGTCTATGTCCTATGTGGTCAGCTGAACTGCTTGCTTTTATTGTTCTTTGTGTTTCTTCATATGCCTCACCAACGTGTAGCAGCGTCAGTGAAACAGGTGCAACAAAAAAAGAATTGCCAGTTTGGAAGGTAACAGATGATGGACTGTTTTCATTTGTCATCATGAACATCTCTTAGATGCTTATTGATTCTTTGTATTTCTCCTTTTGCCAGGGAATGGGTCATTAGATAAAACACAAAAATGAAGCTGGAAAGGGATAGCTAAGAAAGAAATTCTCTGGCATCACTGAGTCCTCATTAAATGCTGCACGTCTTTCGCTGCTCTCTAAGTCTGAATCTCCTGGCGCTCCGCCTTCTCCCTTCCCCTCACTGATAAGAAACAGATCCCCAGGATGAGTTACTCCATTCATCCAGGAAGGGAGATGAATTAGTCAAGACCAAACAGGAAAGAAAGACTTCTATGAGGCTTCAGAAAATACTCAGCTAATGAGAAAAGAGACTTTCTGGCAGCTGCCCTCCTTTGTCTTCTCTGCTCTCTTCTTGCCACGACATCAGGCATGTCTACCTTTTTCATTAGATTGCTCCAAATGAAGAGAATTCACCAAGGTGCAGAGGCTCCTCTTTGGAAGTTATGCGGTAAGCTCTTTAGAAATGCAGGCACAGGCTGAATCAGAGAAAAAAGCCCTCATTATTTGGGCATGCTTGCAAGATTTGAACCCTTGTGCAGGGATTGGGGTCAGAGCAAATAGACCACGACAGCAGATACAGATTAACCCCCTGTGCTGTGGAGATTCTTCTGCTGGAGGAGTTTCCTGCATCTCCCATAACACGGTACCACAAACTGGGTGGTACTTTGCTTAAAACAACAGCAATTTATTCTCTCATGGTTCTGGAGACCAGAAGCTGAAATCAAGGTGTCAGCTGGCCACGTTCCCTCAAAAGCCTCTAGGGGAGAATTCCTTCTTGCTTCTGGGGATTGCTGGCCATTCTGGGCTTGTGGCTGCCTCACTCCAGTCTCTGCCTCTATCTTCACAATCCGTCTTTCCTCTGCATATGTCAGTGGCTTCAGATGGTGATGATAGAAGGATGCCAGTCATTGAATTTAGGGCTCTCTTGACTCCAGAATGACTTCATCTTAATTAATTCACTTGCAAACAGTTGTTTTGAAATAAGGTCATATTCTGAGGTTTGGGTGACATGAATTTTAGGGAACTCCATTCAACTCAGTATATGTGCCAAGGATGACTTCTTTTCCTACCACCAAAAATTCAGAGCATCACTCCCCCTTTCTGTTCTCTTTATTGTTGCAAAATTCCCATGTATGGTTGATTGCATTTTGCAAAGATGGCTGCACTACTACATCTCCCATCCCACCTGCTCTAATGCTGTGACAGGGTGGGCTCATGGAATCTATGTCTCCTCCCTTGAACTTGGGTGGACCTTTAGACTAACAGAACACAATGGTTACTGATGATGAATGACTTCCGAGACTAGGTCATAGTTATGGTTTCTGCCTTATGCGCATGTTCTTGTTCTCTCTCTCTCGCTTTCTCTCTCTCTCTCCTCTCTCTTCTCCTTCTCTCTCTCTTTCTTCCTCTCTCTGTCTCTCTCTCCTTGTGCTTTGGCACCTGAACTACCATATAAGAAGTCCAGTCCAGCTACCCTGACACCACCGTGCTGGAGAAACCTCTTGGATAAACCACATGCAGAGACATGTTCAAATCTTCCAAGCCTCATGATCAAGAAGCTTCAAGATGGTCCTAGCACCAGCCCACATCCAACTGGACCTACATGGAGGGTCTGACCCAGAACCAACCAGCTGAGCCACTCCTGAATGACCAACCTACAGAAACCAGAAGAGGTGATAAATGATGATTGTGTTTTGAAGAATGAAGTTTTGGGGTGGGTTGTCATATAGAAAATGGGTAGCTAATTCATTGCCACTTCAGGAAAATGGAGAATCTGCAAGGGGGGCTTCTCTTGCAAATCCCAAAGGCCACCTGCCTGCTGAGTTCTTGAACCTCTTCATTATTAGCTGATTCTGGGCCCCAAAAGAGGAGCTTCTCCAAGACACAAAGAACTTCTCCCTACATGGTTCTCCCTGCCCCTCAACCAAACCTCTCCCATGTGCTGACGCTCCAGGAAGTGGAGACAAGAAGTGACAAGAAAGAGTGGCTTCTCTCCTCTACAAATGGGAAAGGCATGGAGAGGAGCCTTTGTGGCTCAGCCTTCTACAAGCCTTGCTCCTAGAGCAGGCAGTTGGGGGTGGGGCCCAAGATGAAACAGTGTTTTTTTTTTCAGAATCTCTCAAGGCTGGACCCTGACCAGCCTGCAAGTCACCTGCTCCACCATCTGTGGCTCTCAGGAAAGCTCAGGGAGACCACTCAGTCTTCTCAGGCTGTACCTCCCCTCCTTCCTCTTCTCACCCCGCCTAGGCCATAGAGATGGGCTATGCCTCATCCTCAAAGTGCCTCCCAGGAAGTAGAGGGAGGGAGCAGGGAGCATGATGAGGGAAGAACAGAATTCATCATCTCGAGGCTTTATCAAGGTTACAGCTGTGGTAAGGGAAGCTCAACTCTGCAAGGCTCACCTCACAAGTTTCCAGAATGCATCTCCAAATTGTCCAGCTGAAGACTGGAAGACTGGAGCCCTTACCCAGGGGGTCTAACCCCCTTTTGGCTGCAGGGCCTCTGGGGCATCAAGACCCCCACTACAGATTGCACTGGTCCTTGTGATAAGTGGCCTTCTAACTCAGAGAAGTCTCTTGGAAGGAAGAGGAGAGGCAGGGAGCACTGGAGCTGCACAGAGTCAAGGCTGGATGAGGCTGTGCCGTGCAGAACTGCCCTGCAGCTGCAGCTGCTTCCAGAGGCAGGCGAGGGCCCCTGATGCTAGAAGCACCCACCACATTTCATGAGCACACTTTCACCAGCTCCTGATGTTGTATGGCTTGGTGGTCTAACTCCATGGTCTAGCTTCACTGTCAAACATGTAGGGGAAGAAAAGATTCGTATTTTTCTCTACCTTCTTAGATTCATTGACTAGAGCTCTGCAAGTTAGACCAACAAAACAGATTAACCAGAGAAAAACAAACAGGAAGTTTATTGATGTGTGTGTCCTGCATACACACGGGAGAACTCTGATGCGTAACTCAAAGGGATGCTCAGAGCTTGGGCTGATGTTGCATCTGCAGTGAACTGAGTGTGTGTCCCTCCCAAATTCATATGTTGAAATCCTAATCCCTAGAGGGATGGCATTAGGAAATGGGGTCTTTGGAAGGTGATTAGATCAGAAAAGTGGAGCTCTCATGAGTGGGATTAGTGCCTGTACAAAAGGGATCCCCAAAGCTCCCTCTTTGCTCTGTGCCACATGAGGACAGAGTGAGGAGATGGCCATTGTGAACTTGGAGGAGATCCCTCACCAGAACCTGACCACATTGGCACTCTGGTCTCGGATTTCTAGCTCCCAGGACTGTGAGAAATAAATTTCTGTTGTTTATAAGTCACCCTGAGTGGGCTAGGACAGCATCTTAACGAAGAACAACAATTTTGTAGAGAAGTGATAAAACACAAGAACTTTGAGCTTCTAGGACAGCAAGTTGTGGGCAGGTAAAGGTATGAGACAAACGAAAGGACAGCGAGGCTCGTAGGTTTGCTGTGTGGATCTCTTTGATGTCATCGCTGGGCCGATGAGGACTGGAATTGTGTCTGGTGACAGAGAATCATCCTGCCCTTCTTGTAGAAAGCGAGTTCATGGAGATTTGTCCTGTGTCTGCTTCTCAATTGCTTTTAGCTCAAAATAATTCCCATGTCAGAGGGGTGCGTTTGGGGGTGACGTACTCTGAACTCCTACTGCCTTCAAATACCACCAGACGCTTGAGATATGATGTGGCGAGTCTGAATGGAGATGTGCCCTCAGTATTCTGCACACTGAATTTTGAAGCCTTAGTGAAAAAATACAAACTATCTCATTGAAAAATTTTGGTATTGATAGGCCGGGCGCAGTGGCTCACACCTGTAATCCCAGCACTTTGTACGGCCGAGGCGGGTGGATCACGAGGTCTGGAGTTCAAGACCAGCCTGGCCAAGATGGTGAAACCCTATTTCTACTAAAAATACAAAAATTAGCTGGGCATGGTGGCAGGCCCCTGTAGTCCCAGCTATTCAGGACGCTGAGGCAGGAGCATCGCTTGAACCTGGGAGTTGCAGGTTGCAGTGAGCCGAAATTGTGCCACTGCATTCCAGCCTGGGCGACAGAGCGAGACTCCGTCTCAAAAAAAATTTTTTTTGGTATTGATTACATGTAGGAAGGATAATAGTTTAGGTAAAGAGTATTAAATAAAATGTTATTAAAATATATTTCACCCCTTTTTTACTTTTTAATACAGCTTCTAGAAAAGTAACATTACACACATATGGCTTGCATTGTGTTTCTGCCTTTTTTTTTTTTTTTTTTTTTTTTTTTTAGATAGAGTCTTGCTCTGTTATCTGAGCTGGAGTGCAGTGGTGCAATCACAGCTTACTACAGCCTGCAGCTTTGACCTCCCAGGTTCAACCGATTCTCCTGCCTCTGCCTCCCAAGTAGGTGGGACTACAGGCACGCCCCACTAATTTTTGTACTTTTTGTGGAGACAGGGTTTCACCAATTTACCTAGGTTGGTCTTGAACTCAGATGCTCAAGTCATCCACCTACCTCGACTTTCCAAAGTGCTGGGATTACAGGTATGAGCCACTGCGCCTGGTCATGGTATTATATTTCTAAGGACAGCATAGGTTAAATGCCTGTGAGTCACACACACATCTAACACTTGTATTCAGAAGCTATTGTGTGTAAAGTGCAGGGGACCCACGTGGGAGCATGAACAGACAGTTTCTGTCTTTATAGAGCTTACAGTTTAGTGCAAAGCTGTGCACCATGCCAACAGTCTCCCTGTGTTAAGAACTGACTGAGTCAGACTTTTGGCTTGAGCATGCAATCAGGCATGGGCGGCCTTGCACATAAGTATGTCCAGCTCAACCTCTGAGGACATCGCTTATGTAAGAGACATCTACAGAGGGAGCGGGCTAGAAAACAGACCCGTCTGCTTCCCCAAACTTTTTCTCACTCCCTCGCCATCTGTTAACCCAGTAGCAGCTCACCTGGCAAAGGCAGTGTGCGGTCAGGTCCCTAGCAGCCTTGTGGGCAGGACTGTGTTGTTTGATAGCTGGGAAGAATGATAACCTCATTAGTCACCCAAGAGGAAGCAGACCTCTTTCCCTAAAACCTGCTTGTCTTTGATTAACCAAAGAGGAAAAAATAGACCGAAGAGGATGGCACTGGGTGTCAGATGAGGGTAGGAAGGGAAAAGGAGAGAAAGGATGGAAGGCTAGTGTACAAATGACACAGAGGCTTTGCATCCCAGTTGGTGTAGCCTCTCTGTGGCTGACTCTTTTTTTTTTTTTTTTTTTGAGGCAGAGTCTTGCTCTGTTGCCCAGGCTGGAGTGCAGTGGCACGATCTCGACTCACTGCAACCTCTGCTTCCCAGGTTCAAGCGATTCTCCTGCTTCAGCCTCCTGAGTAGCTGGGACTACAGGTGCATGCCACCATGCCTGGTTAATTTTTGTATTTTTAGTAGAGATGCGGTTTTACCATGTTGGCCAGGATGGTCTCAATCTGACTTCATGACCCACCGGCCTCAGCCTCCCAAAGTGCTGGGATTACAGGCGTGAGCCACTGCACCTGGCTGTGGCTGACTCTTTGGTTCTGAGGTTTTAGTTTGGAACTGAAATGGAGCTTAAGCTCTTTCCTACACAACAGGTGCAATTTTGCTAATTTATGCTTGGGGCTGTTGGCAGGTGGGCTTCCCTGTAAACAATGGCACGGTATGCCTGCTTCCTGCAGAGTGTTTCCCAACCTGCAGCTAAATATCTGCCAGGTCATGAGGGGGAGTGAAAGCAAGGAGCACAGGTCTGGGGGGTTGGCTGCCCTTGAAAGCTGCATAGAAGAAAAATCCATATCTGCTTGTCGCCTCATCCCTCCCTGACTCACGGAGATCAGAGAAAACACACTAGGAGTCCCTATTCACTGAAAATTCCTCATATTTACTGAAAATTCCTCAGGCATTTAGCATCATATTGTTATAGAAAAGGGGTCTCTAGTTCAGACCCCAGAGAGGGTTCTTAGATCTTATGTAAAAAGAATTCAGGGCCAGTCCATAGAGTAAAGTGAAAGCAAGTTTATTAGGAAAGTAAAGGAATACAAGAATGGCAGCTCCATAGGCAGAGCAGGGCCTTCCTGAAAGTAAGAGGAGGAACGCGTCCACCCTAAGTATAATACTCATATATATATATAGGATTTTAAAAGATCATGGGGAAATATGTTCTGCTACAAGGGTTTGTGATATAAGATTAATTTTCTTAATTACTATACTTTGCAAGAATCAATATTATTATCTTTAAAGCAAAATGAGGAATGCCTTTGTTCTCAAGATATCAGGATACCAAGACACTCCCAAGTCTGGGCCTGTTTAGTAAATATTATCAATCTGTTCCCTTAACCGTAAACATCTAGAGGCTAGCAACACCTAACTTCCTGGGAAGGCAGCTCAGCAAGCCCCAGCCTCGTTTTCCAGCCCTCACTCAAGATGGAGTCGCTGTGGTTTGAATGCCTCTGACAGTATGCTAAACATTTTGCTTGCAGAATGCTTCTACATGAGGAATAGTGAGGTGCAGTGGGTAGGGACAGGGCCACTGGATCCAGGCTGCTGGAGTTTGAATGTGGACTTTACGCCTTGGTAGCTAGAAGACCATGACTAAGCTGCTTGGCCTCTGGTTGACTCACTTTTCTCATATGTAAAAGGGTGGCAGCAATAACACCACTGTTACAGTAGGTAGCTAGGCAGACATGAGCGGGGCAGGAGAGGCCCAACCTGCCCCAGGAATGGTCAGAGGGTTGTTAACTGTGTCTCTAAAATAATAATTGGTCACAGCCAGTGCCAGGGAAAAGCAGTCTCCCAAAGACAGAAACACTGAAACTGGTGACCAGCAGCTTCCCGATGGGATCTCAGGAGTTGGGCAAGTGGACTCAAGCGCGCACACTAAGAGGCAAAATGGTGGAGTTTAACTGGCATATGACCTTCCTCTAGGAAGGCTCAACTGGTAAGGAAAAAAATGCCTAACGTGAGCATGCACTCAACTCCAGTATACACACTGCACATGTGCCCCCCTGCAAGGGCTGGCAGGCCACTGGGCATGCGGAAAGCCGGCCCCAGAGAAGAATCAGGGGAGAAGGAATGTGGACTCCAGAAGCCTGCCAATGTATAAAACCCCAAGTCAAAGATCAAACCACACACTCGGAGGTCAAACCACGTACTCAGATGTCTCGAGTCACCCGCTTGGTCCTCTTTCAAGTGTACTTTACTTCCTTTTGTTCTTGCTCTAAAGCTTTTTAAAAACCTTTCACTCCTGCTCTAAAACTTGCCTCGGTCTCTCACCCTGCCCTATGTCTCTTGTTCAAATTCTTTCTTCTGAGGAGGCAAGAACTGAGGTTGCTGCAGATCCCTACAGATTCACCGCTGCTAACACTACTACCTACCCATGGGTTTGTTGTAGGGAATAAACCAGTTAATATTTTTAAAGCTCTGCAAACAGACTTGTATGCAGGTACATCAGCGTCATCTCTTACGTGATCATTTAATCCTCATGGTGACCCTATGACAGAGGTACATGAGTTTCCAATTGCTGCTGTAAGAAATTATCAACTTAGTGGCTTAAAGCAATGCACATTTATTATTTTATAGTTCTGGAGGTCAGAAGTCCTAAAATGAAAGTGTCGGCAGGACTGCTTTCTTCTAGAGGTGTCAGAGGCATGTAAACCATATGCAATTTTGCTAATTTATGCTTGGGGCTGTTGGCAGGTGGCCTTCCCTGTACACAATGGCATGGTAAGCCTACTTCCTGCAGAGTGTTTCCCAACCTACAGCTGAAGATCTGCCAGGTCATGAGAGGGAGTGAAAGCAAGGTGCAGAGGTCTTGCTTGCAACTCCATCTTGAATAGGGTCTGGATAAAATGAGGCTGAGACCTACTGGGCTGCACTCACAAATGGTTAAGGCGTTCTAAGTCACAGGATGAGATAGGAGGTCAGCACAAGATACAGGTCACAAAGACCCTGCTAAGAGGCAAAATGGTGGAGTTTAACTGGTATATGACCTTCCTCTAGGGAGGCTCAACTGGTAAGGAAAAAATGCCTCACGTGAGCATGCAAAGTTCTTTACTGCATCCTGTTTTATCCTGTTTTATTTTGGAACTGAAATGGAGCTTAAGCTCTTTCCTACACAGCAGGTGCAAATTTTGCTAATTTATGCTTGGGGCTGTTGGCAGGTGGGCTTCCCTGATAAAACTGGGATAAAACAGGATGCAGTAAAGAAGCTGGCCAAATCCCACCAAAACCAAGATGGCAATAAAGAGTGACCTCTGGTCATCCTCACTGCTACACTCCCAGCAGCGCCATGACAGTTTACAAATGCCATGGCAATGCCAGGAAGCTACCCCTATATGCTCTAGAAAGGGGAGGTATGAATAATCTACCCCTTGTTTAGCATATCATCAAGAAATAATCATAAACGTGGGCAACCAGCGGCCCTGGGGGCTGCTCTGTCTATGGAGTAGCCATTCTTTTATTCCCTCACTTTCTTAATAACCTTGCTTTCACTTTACTCTATGGACTTGCCCTGAATTATTTCTTGTGAGATCCAAGAATCCTCTCCTGGGGTCTGGATTGTGACCCCTTTCCTGTAACATCAGCTCTAGCGGCAAATCCTTTTCCTTGCCTGTCCCAGCCTCTAGAGGCGCCCACATTCCTTGACTCAAGGCCCTTTGTTTGTATGACTCCGATTGGCTTCCATCTTCACATCTCCTTCTCCAACTCTGACCCTTCTGCCTTTGTCTTTCCCTTATAAGGACATGTGTGATGACATTGGAGCCACTCAGATAATCCAGGAGAATCTCCCCATCTCAAAATCCTTAATTATGTCTGCAAAGTTCCTTTTGCTATGTAGGGTAACATATTCACAGCTTCCAGAAATTAGGACATGACATCTTTGGGAAGCCATTGTTGAGACTACAGTGGGTAGATATTAATAGACACCTGTGACATTGGTATGTCTTTCTGAAAGATCATAGGAAAGGGTGATTTGGGCCATGTCCTGCTGAAATGACTGCTAGCTAGTGGAACATACAAGTGGTCCATAGGAGATTGTACCAAACAAGTCTGTATTTCAATATTAAGTTGTATGTGCTAATCCATTCAGAACCATGTGGGATAGGGGTTTGCAAGTGGCTGGATTATTGGATTCCACCATTCCCAAGAGACCAGCGCTTGCTCTAGACTGTTGAGTGCCCACACGGTTATCCCGCTGGTGGCTAAAGGGAAGCCATTCCTGTTCTCTGTGGATGGCCTCTCTTTTCTTCCTGCATGCTCTGTCTCATTTACCCATTATTCCTTCTGCCTTCCCCAGTCCCACCTTTTCTTTAAGTAAATTTCTCAAGGGAGATAGCAAGAAATGATGCCCAGACTCAAGGCTCAAACACTGGTGTCTCTGATCTCAAAGCTTATGCTCTGAAGTCTTAAGAATACTCAAGATAGCTCCAGGGTTTGAGAAAGAAATATTTTCCCTCCCAGTCGCCGTGCAGAACAGGTAACTGACTGCACCGCACCTGCCCTGGGTATGATAAATTCCAAAAAGAACACCCTGAGCTGAGTCTTTGTTCCTGCCGTCACTCTGATGGCACAAGTTATTTGGGTGATGTCAGCAACAAAAACACTGGACTGACAAACAGCCACCAGAGTTTGTATAAAAACTAAACTGGAGGCATTAGAGTGTAACTCCTGGCTACGCTGGGTAGGTGATGTGGCTCACGCCTGTAATCCCAGCACTTTGGGAGGCCGAGGCAGGCAGATCGCCCGAGGTCAGGAGTTCAAGACCAGCCTGGCCAACACGGTGAAACTCCATCTCTACAAAAACTACAAAAGTTAGCTGGACGTGGTGGCGTGCACCTGTGAGCCTGACTACTCAGGAAGTGGAGGTTGTGCACCACTGCACACCAGCCTGAGTGAGACTGTCTCAAAAAAAAAAAATTCCCACTCCTAGTCTTCCTTAAAGACAGCAACAGGAGGAGGCCAGGGAAATTGTGCACATACACGGGGTGAGGTGCACTGAGGCGGAGATGGCAGAGTGTCCACCAAACCACATTCCTGGCACAACCAGGCTGCCTCTCCCTGCTTCCTCTGCCGTCTGTGTTGAAAATGCAGGAGGAAGTGGCAGACCTCACATCCAGGCATGGCCCATGGCAATCCCCCACATAGCATCCTTGTTTTCTTTCCTCAGCTTCTGGTTGATTTGAGAGGATGCTGGGGAGCCTGGAGCTGCAAGGTGGAAGAAGCTGAATGAAAGAGGAAACAGGGCCTCCTTCCACCTTCCACACCATCCCTACGGGACTGTGAAGTGAGTGAGAAATAACCTTTTGTGGGGTTATATCAGTGAGATTGGAGGATTATGTGTTACAACCCCTGGCTACCCTGACTAATGCATCCAAGTATTTCCAACTCCATCGTCTTGTTTCAGCCTTTCTACAACCTCGTGACATAGGTAATTCCATTTTTTTTTTTAAGGCAGGTGTCACTCTGTCACCCAGGCTGGAGTACAGTGGCACGATCATGGCTCCCTGCAGCCTTGACCTCCCAGGCTCAAGCAATTCTCCCACTTCAGTCTCCTGAGTAGTTGGGAATACAGACATATGTTGCCACACCAGGCTAAAACATAGGTAATACTATAATACCTATAATATAGGCAATATTATAATACCATATAAGATTAACTTTAAAGATGAGCATCCAAAGAGAGGAAGTGAGGGAACTCTGGCCGTCTTCATCCCAGGTCACCTTGTCCTGGTTGCTTTTGTGGGATGGGGCAGAGGCCTTGGGGCCAAGGCAGAAATGTTTCCTAAGCCTGATCTGTTATTCTACAAGCCTTTAGCTCCAGATGACTTAGACCCAAGACAGTCAGTGAGGCAAGTGCTATAGCTCCCCAAACCCCAACCAGGTCACTCCCTGCCCTTTCAGGTCTCCTGGGTTTCCTGGCAGGAAAGAAAAGTTAGCCGCTGTACCCGAGAAGCAGCTGAGTGGGTATACCCTGAAGTGGAGGGTGATTGTTTAGCAAGGCACCAGAAATGCAAATGGCTTCAGACACAGTCCTTGCCCCTGAACTATAACAGTCATAGCCAACATGGACTGAGCACTCACCTCGGGCTGGGCACTTTGCTAGGTGCTCATCTTGCAATACTTCATGGAGCCCACACAAGATCCTTATTGGGGAGAATCTCCTGCTGGAATCACTTCCACTATGGTGGAAGGAGAATTGTGTGGTGGTTAAAAGTCTAGGCTCTGGAGTTGGAGCAACTCTACCCCTCTCTAGCAGGGCAATGCTACTCACGTTCATTCGCCTCTTTACTCCCATTTTCTCATACAATAGAGATAATGAAACTATCTTAAACTATCTTTATCCTAAGGTTATTGCCAAGTTTAGGCAGAATGAGGCTAACAATGAGGCTAACGCTGCAATGGAATGAGAACACTGCGTGAGCTCCCGAGTTACTAAGGAGGCTGGGGTGCAGAAAGATTAAATGGTTTGTCAAATGACACCACTGAGCTGACACGGTCAGGATATGCACCAAGTCAGTCTGACTCTGGAATCCACTTTAAACCACTTTGTAGGAGGAAAAGGAATTTGTCAGGGTCACGCACATGAAGAACAAAAATGTTCACTGGGGGCCAAAGACTTACCTCAACCAGACTCACCTTATCTGATGCTCATCTGTTCGGTGGACGTCTCCCAAGGCGTTATGCTAAGGGTATAAATGCAAGTGTGCATTGACCATCCAGAATCCACTCTATCCTTCTCACTGCCTTTTATAACCCAGTGCACCTTTCTCTACATACAAGCATTTTCCTGAATATTGTGCATGGGGCAAATCACATTTGAAGCATAGCTTGGATGTTTACTCGTCAAAGACTACTCCAGTGAGTCCTTTCGTAGAGCAAAGTTTTGGGGAAGATGACTAATGACCCTCAGGGTAAAAAAGTCAACCTAGTAAATGCAGATTTCAGTAAACTCAGGTCTGTGACCACACACTTTAATTTTTTGTATAATAATTTAATTTATTTTAAGGCAGGCATGACTTAAAGACCTACATCAAAGAATTCCCTAATACCTGGAATGGTTTGGTAGCGATGGATTCTGATCCACACAGGAGCAGCATGAAAATGGGAACTGTCTTAGGTCATGTCACGTGGTATTCTGTAGCTCAACAAGGTGTAGGAGCACTGGAAGGATTGTGTGACTGCCACAGCAGCTGGGGAGTAAATGAACATGACCTGGACCTAGAACAGTGTTGCTCTGGGATCAGGAAGGACCAGCTGGGACAGCAGATGCCTGCGCGAAGAGACTCAAGGCAGCAACCGCTCCTCAACTCCTGGTACAATTTCATGCATCACTTTAACCTACTGGAACTCAGACGCATCCCTGGGGAGAAAGGCGGAAAATCTGAATTGTTTGAAATGAATTCTTGTTACTAAAGGTAAAGGACTTCATCAAAAAATAATTTCAGTAAAAAAAAAAAAGAAAATTATATTTTTTACGCACCTGAGTCTTTGGCCTGAAGACCATTCTGCCAGAAATAAGAAGTTTTCATATCTTGAGGTTTTAAAATTGGGAGCCCATTTGCATTTACTATGGTCATTTATTAAGAAACAGAAGATTCTAGAAACTTTCATGTCTGCCTGTGGCCACAAGTGTCCTTGATTTAAGCAGTGGATAGTAATTGAGGCAGAAAGGAGGAATGTTTTCTTATTTGATACTTCTGAACTTAAATCATCTGGATAATTACAGCTTTTCTTTTTCATGAGATTGATCTTCCTTTACCGGAAGATGTCTGATAACTGTTTAAACACTGCCAGGTGTCCCAATAATCTCAGTCCTCAAATTTTTATATAATTGCAGGGTCTGTTGCAATTTGTGCCTATTTTCTCCACTAGAAGACGACACCAGGCAAAAAGGCCAAGTGGGGTGCTGCGGACAGAGTGCTACTTATGCAAACCAAGACAAAACACTCACACTCAATGTATTAATCTGTTCTCACACAGCTATAAAGAACTACCTGAGACTGGGTAATCTACAAACAAAAGAGGTTTAATTGACTCACAGTTCTGCATGGCTGGGGAGGCCTCAGGAAACTTAGAATCATGGCAGAAGGGGAGGCAAGACATGTCTTACATGGCAGCATGAGAGACAGTTAAGGGGGAACTGCCAAACACTTTTAAAACCACCAGATAGGCTGGGCACAGTGGCTCCCGCTTGTAATCTTAGCACTTTGGGAGGCCAAGGCGGGCAGATCACTTGAGGTCAGGAGCTGGAGACCAGCCTGACCAGCGTGGTGAAACCCTATCTCTACTAAAAATACAAAATTAGCTGGGCGTGGTGGCGCATCCCTGTAATCCCAGCTACTCGGGAGGTGGAGGCAGGAGAATCGCTTGTACCCAGGAGGTGGAGGTTGCAGTGAGCGGATATTGTGCCATTGCACTCCAGCTTGGGCAACAAGAGTGAAACTCTGTCTCAAATAAATATATAGAAAAATAATTAAATAAAACCATCAGCTCTTGTGAGAGCTCACTCAGTATCACAAGAACAGCACGGGAGAAACTATCCCCAGGATCCAGTCACCTCCCAACAGGTCCCTCCCTCGACACATGGGGATTACAATTTGGGATGAGATTTTGGTGGGGATATGAGCCAAACCATATCACTCATGCACCAGGAGGCTGAAGGGTGAGGGTAGCCACTTACCCTGATCCCACATGGAAACTGCCTTCTACCATGACTCGGCTGAGAGGATTCCATGGAGGAATTTCTACAGACACCATCTGATGAAGGTTTTTATTTTCCTTTTTTATTTTTTGAAACAGTGTCTTGCTCTGTTGCCCAGGCTGGAGTGCAATGGTGCAATCATGGCTCACTACAGCCTTGACCTCCTGGGCTCAAGTGATCCTTCCACCTCAGCCTCTTTAGTAACTGGGACCACAGGCACCTGCTACCATGCCAGGCTAATTTTTGTATTTTTAGTAGAGATGGGTTTTTTCATGTTGGTCAGGCTGGTCTCCAACTCCTGGCCTCAGCTGATCACCTGCCTTGGCCTCCCGAAGGGCTAGGATTACAGGCATGAGCCACTGCACCCGGCCAGTTTTTTCTTTTAAGTCATTCAATCATTACCTCAGTAAATGTATGAACCATCCACTAGTTGCTCAAGTAAGAAATCCCAGGATTCTTTTGTTTTTTATTTTTTTGAGACAGGGTCTTTCTCTGTTACCCAGGCTGGAGTGCAGTGGCATGTTCCTAGCTCACTGAGCCTTGAACTCCCAGGCTCAAGTGATCCTCCCACCTCAGCCTCCTGATTAGCTGGGACTACAAGCACATCCCACCTCACTCAGCGATTAAACATTTTTTTTTTTTGTAGAGATGAGGTCTTGCTCAACAGAGGCCCAGGCTAACCTCAAACTCCTCAAACTCCTGTCCTCAAGCAATCCTTCTGCCTTGATGTCCCAAAGTGCTGAGATTACAGGGATGAGCCATCATGGCTGGCCCCAAGATTCTTGATCTATTGACAAATCCTTATGGTCTTAGGTCTTACATTGAATTCCTCCAGAAGTAGAACCTGGAACAAAGGTTTGAAAGCAAACAATTGATTTTGGAGCAGTTTATTCCAAGAAGGCACCACTACAGAGCTGGGCCGTGAGGTCGGGAAGGGAAGGAAGACAATGCAGGCGTGTGAACGAGCATACCACCTCTGCGACAAATGGAACTCAGTCCTGCGAGGACTCTGAGGGAGATGGGGTCAGTGGTGTCCTGGTGAACGGCTCTGAAGGAAACTCTGATTTGTAGTTTAATGCATTGAATGGTGTCCTCTCCTAAATTCATGTCCACCCAGAACCTCAGAATGTGACTGTATTTGGACATAGGGTCTTTGTACATGTGATTATTAATGTTAAGTCATGCTGAATTAGTGTGGGCCCTATATGCAGTGACTGGTGTTCTTGTAAGATGCAGCAACATGCAAAACTGGAGGGAAGGCACTGTAAAGATGGGGGCAGAGACTGGAGCAACGCAGCCACAAGCCAAGGAATGCCGGAAGCCACCAGGAGCTGGAAGAGGGGAGGCAGGATCCTCCTCTAGAGCCTTTGGAGGGAGCATGGCCCACTGACACCATGATTCCAGACTTCTAGCTTTCTGAACTGTAAGAGATTACTTTTCTGTTGTTTTAAGTTTGTGGTAATTTGTTACAGCAGCTGTAGGAAGCTAATGCATGTAGTGTGATATTGTTTGGATCCGTGTCCCCACCTAAATCTCATGTCCAACTGTAATACCCAGTGTTGGAGGTGGGCCTGGCGGGAGGTGACTGGATCGATGGAGTGGAGTTCTCATGAATGATTTAGCACCAACCTCTAGGTGCTGTTCTCATGAGAGTGAGTAAGTTACTGCGAGATCTGGTTGTTTAAATGTGTGGCACCATCTTGAGTTAATTTTTGTATAAGTTTACATTAGCAAAGACTTGGAACCAACAGAAATGCCCATCAATGATAGATGAGATACAGAAAATGTGGCACATAGACACCATGGAATACTATGCAGCCATAAAAAACAATGAGTTCACGTCCTGTGCAGGGACATGGATGAAGCAGGAAACCATCATTCTCAGCAAACTAACGCAGGAACAGAAAACCAAACACTGAATGTTCTCACTCAGAAGTGAGAGTTGAACAATGAGAACACATGGACATAGGGAGGGGAACATCACACGCTGGGGCCTGTCAGGGGGTGGGGGATGAGGGGAGGGAGAGCATTAGGACAAATACCTAATGCATGCGGGGCTTAAAACCTAGATAATGGGTTGATAGGTGCAGCAAACCACCATAGTACATGTGTACCTATGTAACAAAACCTGCACATTTAGCACCTGTATCCCAGAGCTTAAAGTAAAATTAAAAAAAAAAAATGCGTGGCACCTCCCTGTCCCTTCCTCCTGCCCCAACCATGGGAAGTGCTTGCTCCTGCTTCACCTTCCACCACAAGTAAAAGCTCTCTGAGGCCTCCCCAGAAGCAGACACTGCCATGCTTCCTGTGCAGCCCGTGGGACCGTGAGCCAATGAAACCTCTTTTCTTTAGAAATTACTCAGTCTCAGGTATTTCTTCCTAGCAGTGTAAAAATAGATTAATACAGAAAGTTGAATCTGTATTAGTCAGGGTTCTCCAGAGAGACAGAATCAATGGATCTATGAAAGGGAGTTTATTAGAGAGAACTGGCTCACACAATTACAAGGTGAAGTCCCAGGATAGGCCATTTGCAAGATGGGGAAGAAAGAAGCCAGTAGTGGTTCAGTTGGAGTCCAAAAGCCTCAAAATCAGGGAAACCAACAGTGTGGCCTTCAGTCTGTGGCCAAAGGCTCAAGAGCCCCCAGCAAACCACTGGTACAAGTACTAAAGTCCAAAGGCTAAAGAACCTGCAGTCTGACGTCCAAGGGCAGGAGGAGTGGGAGGGAGCATCCAACATGGGAGAAAGAAAGAAGCCAGGAGACCCAGCAAGCAAGGGCATCCCACCTTCTTCCACCTGCCTTGTTCTGGTCATACTGGCAACTGATTGGATGGTGCCCACACATATTGAGGGTAGGTATTCCTCTCCCAACCCACAGACTCATGTCTATCTCCTCTGGCAACACCCTCACAGACACACCCAGAGACAATACTTCCCTAGCCATCTAAGCATCCTTCAATCCAATCAAGTTGCCATCTAATATTAACCATCACATAATGTTTTCCAATTTTGATTTTGTAAATATCCCTCCCATGGCTGATTTTAAGCTACCAGTGAGATGGGACTGAATAAGGATTTGGGAAGAGATGTTTATGGTCATACTTTGTGAGCCAATACCACCTGACTCCAGCTCATGACAGAATGGCATACATTCTACACTGTAGAACATGCCTCTGAGTTATTCCATCTGAAGGACATAAATGCTTACTTACTTTTGGTGCATAACAAATTACCCCAAACTTAGCAGCTTAAGATGACAAACACTTATCTCACAATTTCTGTGAGCCAAGAATTTGGAAGTAGTTTAGCTGGGTGGTTCTGGCTCAGGTTCTCTTACAATGTTACACTCAAGGTACCAGCCAGGGCTGCATTTATCTGAAGGTTTGAATGGGGCTGGAGTATGTGCCCCTACGTGGCTTTTGGTGGGAGGCCCCAGTTCCTTACCAGCTATGGGCAGGAGGCCTCAGTTCCTCACCACAGGGGGCTGTCTATAGAGCTGCTTGAGTCTCCTTACAACATGGCAGCTGGAATCCCCCAGAATGAGAAAGTGCAAGAAAGAAACCACAATGCTTTTTGTGACCCAGTCTCAGAAGCCACATATCATTACATCTACCTCATTTTATTCATTGCACAGTGTGGCATAAATTAGGGGGGAGAGACCTATGCAAGGATGTGGACACGAGGATGCCCCTAGATCCTGTTTCCTGACTGTCATTGGCTGAAGGCTGCTCACCAACATGGCAACTCTCTAGCTATTCCGAAAGCATTCAGTCATGTTTTGCATGCTTGTGTTAGGTGCTGTTGGCAGGTACTGCACCTGGACTGTGGGGGAATATGGGTGGGGCACCAACAGTGTCTGTTGTATTCTTGCTGCAAAATGCATCCTACATTTTAAGAGTTCTTTGCATCTCCCCTGCTACTACCTCTGAGCCACTGCAGTCCTTCCCCAGTACAATTGCAAGTAGCCCTCCTAATGGAACACACCTCAACACACTCTCCACCTGGTGGCTCTACTCATCTTTTAAATGGGATTCTGAGAAGCCCTCAGTGGCTTTCACTCTACCCACTCTCCTTGCCATGCCGCAGGTTAGCAGTCTCACCCTTTATGATCTTCTCCTGCACTCACTGCCTTCCAACCACATGGGCATTTTTCTAGTTCTCAAACACGGTGAGCTCACTCTTGCTTCCAGGCCTTTGCACCTGCTATTTGCTTTGTCTGGGATCCAAATCCCCAGGCACAACTGTGCTTATTCATAAATTCTCAGCTTATATGTCATCTCGTGACCACCCCACATAAGTAGTACCTTTTCCACGCATGGCGCCTGGTTATTGTTTACCACACCACTCTGTTTATATCCTTTATAGTGCTATTTTTTCACTGTCTTATATCATCATTGATTGATTTAATGTTTGCTTTTAACTGATTCTCCCCTTCAAGAGTACAAGTTCCATATGGATAGGGACTCCTCTTGTCTACTGCCATATTCCAACCACTTAGACTAGTGTCTCATTCATAACCCATGCTCTGTGAGTATTTGTTGAGTGAATGGATGAATGAATTGGATCTGCTGTGTCTTCACCCCAGTTTGTATCACCCACATCCAGTCTAAGTCCATACTGTCACCTTTAATGGAATTGATTTCTCTTTCCGTGGCTACAGAAATACTCTGAAGCAGCAGCTTTCTAGAGAGTGTGTCCTCACAATTCAAAATGGCCTGAGTCTTCCAATTATATGCCTCATTCAAAGGACAGTGCATATTACAGAAAATGTAAATCTTGACCCCTAACTTAATCTGAATTTTTTTTAAATCAATAAAATTTCACAGTCCGGTAATTTTTTTCCACGCAAATGCCCTCTTTGACAGAAAGAAAAAGGCTTTTTGGACAGAATATTTTGGTTGGTAGAGGATAAATTGAAAAAATGTCATAATTTGCCTCATTCTTTGAAACATAATCTAATGTCTTCCCCAAAAGAAAAATGGTAACAGAATAACCTACTTTCCTCTTCTTCTTAGTTCTACTTTATAAACTTTCTTGATCCACATTTTCAAATAAGCACCTCCACCTCAAGGAACTCCTAAAATAGGACTCGACCGTCAGAGCCCATGGGTTTTTGTTTTTGCTTATTTGTTTATTGTTTAGAAGCAGTTAATAAACCTTTTTGATCAGGCAAACACTCAGGAAACCCACCCAATTTAGCTTCTCCAGATACAAATTTTTAGATGCAAAGACCATCCCAGCACCCTAGTGTGACAGTCAAATGTTTGAATACTTCAAGCCACTATAAAGAACTTAGAACAAATGCCGATTTAAAAAGCCAACGTATTACATGGGCATTTGGCCCCTGTTCCCAATAGAGCTGTGACCTCCACAGCTGTGAACAGGGGAAACAGTGATTTTTCATTGCCCCGGGAAACTCTCTCCAACAACATTGTGTTTTTGTTTTCACTTTTGTTTTTCAATGCCCAGTTCTTGGCAAGCTCTCACCTTTCTGTTCTGAGTCTTTGCACCTGTGCTTTTCTCTGCCTGGTATTTCATCTAGATTCCTAGCCTTTCTGATGCATCCTAAGTCTCCGGTCAAGCCATATTTCCTCTGCGTGGCCTTTGCTGACTTCCCTGACCACCTCAGGTGCCCTCCTTACAACTTGTCCTAGCACTGTCTTCCTCCCCTTAACATTTTCCACAGCTGAAACTTTCTTTTTCTTTCTTTCTTTCTTTCTTTCTTTCTTTTTCTTTCTTTCTTTCTTTTCTTTCTTCTTTTTTTTTTGAGACGGAGTCTTTCTCTGTCACCCAGTCTGGAGTGCAGTGGTACAATCTTGGTTCACTGCAACCTCCGCCTCCTGGGTTCAAGTGATTCTCATGCCTCAGACCTCCCTAGTAGCTGGGATTACAGGTGTGCACCATCACACCCAGCTAATTTTTGTATTTTTAGTAGAGATGGGGTTTCACCATGTTGGCCAGGCTGGTCTCGAACTCCCAACCTCAGGTGATTCATCTGTCTTGGCCTCCCAAAGTGCTGGGATTACAGGCGTGAGCCACCATGCCCGGCCACAGCTGAAACTTTTACAGCATCCAGTGTGAATATTTGGTTTGTATTTGTAATGAACAAAGTTGATGTTCTGCCCACATCCAGATCTCTCCATGCCATGCCTTTTGGTGAATGCCTTTTGTGAATTCCTTCCCCCTGTCTGCCTGGCTTCTTCCAGATTTCCTTCCTACTAGCTGGCACCTGCAGCTCTTCCTTAGAGGACCGTTCTTGGGCACTGGAAGCCCACTTTGCTTACCTCTGCAGAGGCCAAGAAGAGCCTGGGAGCTCACATTGTCCCAGGGCAGCTCTCAACCCAGGAGGACGCATGTGGCCCTGGACAGGACCAGGTAGGCAAAGGTAGCACATCCCGCCTTTGGCAATGCTGTTTCTATCATTAGCTGGGTGATTTTTGGAAGGTTGCCAGTTTTGAGTGGTGCCTGGAGTATCAGAGGGCTCTTTTTCAGGCCTAAGGGATGGACAAGAATGACTGTCTCAATTCTTTTCCTTCTGTTACAGAATAATCCAGGGAAAGCTGGGTGGTCTGGATGTTCTGCAGAGCATCATGCTGACCAAGTGTATTCATGGACCACGTTAATTGGATCTGATGAGCAGGAAGTGGCAAGAATTTTGAGTGACCTGGAATACATGCTCCAGAGGGTGAGAGACGACCTCTGCAGAATGTTCGAATCCTGCCACGTTGGTAAAATGATGAGTGGTCTAAGGCACGTCTACGCTGTTGAAACTTTCCCTACAAGGTACAGTACAAGTTGCTCCTTGTACCTCCCAACACTGAGAAAGAGGAACACTGCTTGGCATGTCGCCTCTGGTTTCAGAGGCAGCCTAGCTTTCTTGGCCACGCTTTCTTGGCCGTATATTGAGAGACTCAACAGGTTGCTAGCTTTTAGTGGGACTCAGAGTGAAAACAAAAATGTCTTCATCAAGTCCAGGCTGCAGATGAATGGGCTTGTCACTTGGGCCATTTGAGCTGGCAGAGCCCATGGCCGTAGAGGTCTTGCTGTTAGACTAGGTGCCCTATGTGGTTTCTGGAAATGTCCAAAACAAGAAGCCCAGTGGAGAGCCCAGGGTTCTGGAGCACAGCCACCTGTCTCTAACAGAGAAGTAGACACCGTTATTCAAATAGTAGCTGCGAGCAATGGTGAGAGTGAGCATCAATAGTGGGTTGAATGGTGCCTCCCCTCATCAAGGACACATCCACAGAATGTGATCTTATTTGGGTTAAGAGCCTTTGCCAATGTCTTTAAGGAAAGGATCTCGAGATGAGATAATCTTAGATTGGGGAGGTGCTAAATCCAGTGAGGATCCTTAGGAGAGGCAGGAAAGGAGAAGACACAGATAGAGAGAAGGACCTGCCGAGACAGATACAGACACTGGAGCAATGCGCCCACAAGCCAAAGGACACCAGGAGCCACCAGAAGCTAGAGAAGGTGAGGAAGTCTCCTCCCCTCGAGCCTTCAGAGGGAGTATGGCCCTGCCCACACCTTTATTTTGGACTCCCGTCCTCCAGAATGGTGAGAAAATAAATCCTGTTGTTTTAAGCCACCAAGTTAGAGGTAGTTGATTGTTACAGCCCTGGGAAGCTAATACAGCATCTGGCTGTGCAACCGGAGCTGCCCATCCTGAGCTGGGGGTCACTAGACCCTGCAGGTTATAAGGCTGCAACTCACATGGGTTCCAGAAGCGATCCACTGAGGATCCACTGTAAGATCCACTGTAAGGTCTGCTGTATGACAGAAGTGGCCTCTCTGGAATGAAGCCTGAGCCAGTCCACACAGAACAGACACTCCATCCTGATGAACAGCCCAGGCTTGGAGTCAGCCTCCAGTGTTTCCAAGATGCCCTTCTCTCCATTGTCACAGATGGCCTCACGAGGGATTCAGAAAGGCCAGATGATAAAGGAGGAAAACCTCAAGCCTGGTAGAAAGATGGGTCTGCTTAGTAAACTGATACAGGCCACAAACAGTCTACACTGCTGTCCCAAGAGGAGCTGGAAGAGCATTGAGTGAAATTCCTTTTAATGGACAGAGCTCTGGACACGTGCCTTCCATCCATGTCACACGGAGAGAGAAGTGGCTTCAGGTGAGGATATACGTGTACTCCCAGGCAGTAACAGGTGGTCTGGCTAGTTGGTTAGGCCCCCTTAAGGAGGAAGATTAAAACTCTGGAGACAAAGAAGTCTGTACAAGGGGCATATGGCTGAATTTGTGGGAGCAGGCACAGAGTGTGAGGTTCACCTATTGCATGTTAACACCAGACTGCAGAAGAGGCACTCAACGAGTGGACAGGATGACCTATGCATTAGAAGCCAGCCAGCCCTTGTCCTCAGCTGCTCTGGTATGCTCAGTTACAGAACGAAAAAAGAGGCAGAAACGGGGGCTGTCCCTGGGCCTAGCAGGATAGTTGGCCTTTGCCAAGGGGGCTCTTGCCACTGCGGCTACTGGGTGCCTGAGCTGTTCTCTGGAGAGACTCGTCCTGGGCCCTCACATGGCTCATCCCTAAGATACTGTGTTGGATTCCCATCACTGCTGGAACAAACGACCCCCAAATGAGTGGCTTCGGACAACACAGATTGATTATCTTAGGGTTCTAGATAAGCATGGATATTTTCCCTTTTATCTAGGTCTTCTTCAGTTTCTTTCAATAGTGTTTCGCAGTTTTCAATCTTCTGCGTATATATTTTGCAGCTGTTATAATTTTCTTACATAATTAGGGCTGTTCTAGCTTCCTTTTAAATAATTTTTATTATGATTGTAAAGTGTTCATCTCTAGTAATGCTTCTTGCTGTAAGGTGTTCTTTTTCTGACATCAGTATAGCTACGTTAGCCTTTTATTAGTGTTAACATTGTACATTTTACCATCATTCTTTTACTTTCAACCCTGCTAGCTGTGGCCCTGGGAAGGAGGCTCTGCACCTGTTTTTTCATCTATGACAGGCGGGTAAACCACCTACCTCAGAAGGAGTTGTAAGTAAATAACTAAAAGATGTTTAACATCGGTCCTGGCGTGGACTAAGTGCTCACTAAATGGAGTCTCTTATTATTGTTGCTGTGGCTATTAATATTAATAGAGAAGGGTAATTCTCCATTCACACTGAGAGAGAAGAGTTTCTTTCATCAGACCTTCGAGTTTCTGTAAGACCACGAGAAGATAGGCTGGGGTATACAGGCAACTTCTGTCGACAATGGGGTGGGAGCAGAAGAGCAGCAGAGTGGAGCCCCTACCCATCGTGGTGTCAATCATTCTGTGCCATAGCTGCCCCCTTCTCTACCTCTGCCCTCTGACTGTGAGCACCTTGAGGTCTCGGCCATTATTCCATCTTTTGCATGTTGCACCAGGCCAGGCACGCAGCAGGTGTTCCATGAGTGTGTGCTGAGTAAGTAATTGAACCAGCAACCGAGAGACAAAGTAGCCTCCTATTTCATCACATGCACACGAAGGAAGAATTCCAGGCTTGCAGTTGTGTCTCTTTTTTTTTTTTTTGAGACGGAATCTCGCTCTGTTGCCCAGGCTAGAGTACAGTGGCATGATCTCGGCTCACTGCAAGCTTCGCCTCCCTGGTTCACGCCATTCTCCTGCCTCAGCCTCCCGAGTAGTTGGGACTACAGGTGCCCACCACCACACCTGGCTAATTTTTTGTATTTTTTAGTAGAGACGGGGTTTCACCATGTTAGCCAGGATGGTCTTGATCTCCTGACCTCGTGATCCACCTGCCTCGGCCTCCCAAAGTGCTGGGATTACCCGCATGAGCCACCGCGCCCGGCCCGCAGTTGTGTCTCTTTCTCCGGTCTCATAGTTTAGTGAAAAGGCAGTGGCTTTTGTGAAGTGGCGCACACCTGTTTAACATTTGACCTTATTTGCAAAATGGGTTGACATACATCCTGGGAATGAATTAGAGGTTATGAGCCCACAGACCCATCCAGGGGATCACATGTTCACACACCAAGGGGAAGTGGGCTTGGCAGGTGGCTGCAGGGCTGGTGCTCAGTGGGGAAGGCGTGTTGGAAATCTTTGATGACTGATCCAATTTGTTTTAGGGTCTAACAAGATTAGGACTCTGTGCCCTCACTAGGTAAGGTCATATGTAGCCCTAAGATTGCAATGAAAGATAAATTTTGAACACCACGAGGCCCCCAAGTGACTGAACTCACCAACAGAAAGTGTTTAATGATAGTGGGCCTGACTCACACAGGCCGGAGTTACCAACCAAGCGGGTGTCCCCTGGGAGGATTCCTGGAATATGGGTCTTCCAGGTTTAAACGAAGATAGTCCCAGAAGAAATGGAACCACCTGGTCACTCGAACATAGACTCTTATTTGTCTGCCAACAACAACGGCAGGTTTTCCTTGAGCATCCTGCTTGAGGGAGGGAATTCTTCAGCCTCGTTGTCTCAGGGCCTTGGAACTAGGGTAGCTCCATTGACCCGAGCGGACCACTGAGGGATTTGCCCAAGGCCAGCAGTTGCCTTGCTGCAGGTTCAGGCAGGATGGGGGTGGAGGTGGCTGTGACCATTTTTTTTAGAGTCGGCGTCTCACTTTGTCACCCAATCTGCACCCAGGCTGGAGTGTAGTGGTGCGATCTTAGCTCCCTGCAGCCTCGACCTCCTGGGCTCAAGAGTTCTTCCTGCCTCAGCCTCTGGATTAGCTGGGACTACAGGTGTACACATCATGCCTGGCTAATTTTTAAATTTTTTGTAGAGACAGGGTCTTGCTATGTTGCTCAGGCTGGCCTTGAACTCCTAGGCTCAAGATATCCTCCCACCTCAGCTTCCCAAAGTGCTGGGACTACGGATATGAACTACCACACCCAGCAGATTGTGACCATCTTATAGTTTAACTCAGGGCAGAAACTAAGCATCCAGCATCACCTCCAACCACAATCCTCCTGTCCCTTGTTTGGAGCACAGGTCTTTTCGAGAATTACAGAGCTAGCCGGGGAGGTACTCAGACACAGGAGCAGATGTGGTATCTAAAGGAAAGGTCTTGAAGCCTCTGTCCTCTCTCACTGCGAACCTGCAACCGTGTGCTGAGGAGGCCGAGGTCTCCTGCAGCTTTGATTAGGAAAATCACAATATATTCCTCTCATCTGCTTCTCACAAGGAGAAAAATTGTTACTTGATGATGTCATGGGGATTCTAATCCCATGTGGAGGATTTTTAGGATGGTTTCCCATAACGATATAAATGCCAGCCCCTCTAGGCAAATCCATGCAGACAGAAAATAGTGTGGTTGTGACTTAGGGCTGAGGAGAACGGGGAGTAGGGAGGTGATAGCTAAAGTGTATGGGCTTTCCTTTTAGAGATGATGAAAATGTTTTAAGGTCTGATGTGATGGTGGATGCACAACTTGGTAAATATGCTAAAAAACATTAAGTTGGCCGGGCGCAGTGGCTCAAGCCTGTAATCCCAGCACTTTGGGAGGCCGAGGCGGGTGGATCACCTGAGGTCGGGAGTTCAAGACCAGACTGACCAACATGGAGAAATCCTGTCTCTACTAAAAATACAAAACTAGCCAGGCGTGCTGGCACATGCCTGTAACCCCAGCCACTCAGGGGGCTGAGGCAAGAGAATTGCTTGAACCCAAGAGGCAGAGGCTGCGGTGAGCCGAGATCATGCCATTGCACTCCAGCCTGGGCAACAAGAGCGAAACTCCATCTCAAAAAACAAACAAACAAAAAACATTAAGTTGTACACTTTAAGTGGATCAGTTTTATGGCATGTGAATGATGTCTCGATAAAGTTATTATTTTAAAAAAATACCTTAGCTTCTACCAAAAAATTTTCTTTCCCCAACCAATCAATAATAACAATCTCACCCAAACCTCAAACAAACAACAATAACAATAAATGCAAAACTGTCAAGGCAAAAGTAAACTTTTTCCCCAGAGGAGAGATTTCACAGTTTCTCACCTGCTCCTAGGGTTTCTCTTCTTCTGTTAAGGACATTGGTAGTTTGCAAAGCTGGGGCTCGGACTGGCAATGTTGGCATCTGGCATAGCCCTGGAAGTTGTGAAAAAGGCAAATTCGGGAGCCCTGCCTTTGTCCTATTAAATCAGAACCTCTGGCGACAGGGCCTGGCAATCTGTGTGTCATCAAGCTCTCCTGCTCACTGATTTTGGGTACTGGTGCGGATGACGGTGGATCAGTGAATGAACACCCTCCTGCTCATTGATTTTGGATACTGGTGTGGATGACGGTGGATCTTATGAATGAAAGCCCTCCTGCTTGCTGACTTTGAGCACTGGTGTGGATGACGGTGGATCTATGAATGAACACCCTTCTCCTCACTGACTCTGAACGCTGGTGTGGAAGATGGTGGGTCTATGAATGAAGGCCCTCCTGCTCTCTAACTTTGGGCACTGGTGTGGATGATGGTGAGTGTATGAATGAACGCCCTCCTGCTTGCTGACTTTGAGCACTGGTGTGGATGATGGTGAGTGTATGAATGAACGCCCTCCTGCTTGCTGACTTTGAGCACTGGTGTGGATGATGGTGAGTCTATGAATGAACGCCCTCCTGCTTGCTGACTTTGAGCACTGGTGTGGATGATGGTGAGTCTATGAATGAACGCCCTCCTGCTTGCTGACTTTGAGCACTGGTGTGGATGATGGTGAGTGTATGAATGAACGCCCTCCTGCTTGCTGAGTTTGAGCACTGGTGTGGATGATGGTGAGTCTATGAATGAACGCCCTCCTGCTTGCTGACTTTGAGCACTGGTGTGGATGATGGTGAGTGTATGAATGAACGCCCTCCTGCTTGCTGACTTTGAGCACTGGTGTGGATGATGGTGAGTGTATGAATGAACGCCCTCCTGCTTGCTGACTTTGAGGACTGGTGTGGATGATGGTGAGTCTATGAATGAACGCCCTCCTGCTTGCTGACTTTGAGCACTGGTGTGGATGACGGTGGATCTATGAATGAAAGCCCTCCGTATTAGGAATCACTGTGGATCAGTCAAGAAACCAAAAGGGAAAAAGTTTTTTTTTTTAAAGATTGGCAAATATATTGTCTTCCCTTTAGCCTAAGGGTTTAATTCTTCTGGGGTTGTATATTTTGGGGTGGGAAATAGCAATTAAGTGAAACAAAACACACCCCACAAGACACTGACTTGTCAAGCCATGAAAAGCCTTTTAATGACAATTGGCATCACAGGTATAAATAAATATCTTCTTCTTTCCATCTATAATATGTGCTACAAATATATTTTTCAAAGGTCCAACCCAGGTTAGGAGGCTTCAAGGACCCTTTCTTAGCTACTGATTTTAGTAATTAAAAAAATAAACACAATAAACACCCCTGGCATCTTTGTGAGCGCCCCCCTGCGGAGAGCATGAGGGCTGTCAGGCATCTTCCTCCTGCAGCCGCAGCCAATGGAGCACACGGAGAACTGGAGTCAGGTGATCACGAAGGGGCTTATTTCACTGGCGTGGTCTACGTTGCCACATGTGTCGCTTTGGATGAATGCATTTTTGCAATGTGCTGCTACACAATTATGCTGTTCAAAAACACAGTTGATTGACAATCTAACATAGATTTTATCTTTAGAGTTTATGCTGGTATACCCCACCCAACAACATAAGAAAAACAACTCAAAAACCCTCCAAACAGTTTTTATCTTTGTTCATGTTCAGCATCAGTTATGTCTTGTGATAGACCAAGCCCACCAGGTTGGCTCTGATTACACCTGGGCGTGGCCTCTTTTTTGATTTAACCCAACTTTCTCCCATATAGGAACATCCCCACGATGACAGGGGTGGAATCCCGAGGGGTCAGGTGGTCCAGGTGGGGCTCTGTTCTCCTGGCCACATCCCGTCTGTACAGCCCCTCACAGGGCCACACCTGCTGGCTTTGCCCTATGGTAGTGGTGATGGATTAAGGACAGTTCCTCTCCTCCCCCAGAAGGCTCTGAGGGCTCCCTCCAATTGTACAAAACCCGCCACTATCAACAAAGCTGGAGGGATATAGAAAAACATTCAAGTTACTACTTAAACAATGGATTAATTGGCATTGTTCCTAGGAACCTATCTAATGAATAGGAATATAATTTATGTTTCATTTAGGAAAAATATACTGCTTGATTCTCAGAAATAAACATTAAATATAAATGCAATGGAAGTCTAGGACACAGAGAGAGAGAAAAAAGGAAAAAGTGGAAAAGAAAATAAAAGATGATCAAGTAAAGATTTAAAACTCCCTAGTTCTATCCCAAGAGGCATCCCTTGTTAAGAAATGACTCCCCCCCAGCTGTGTGGTGACAGTTGAAGGCTGTCCTTGGAAAAGTGAATCGTGAATTAGAATGGAAAATGTCTCTTAGCAGGTCCTATTTTTATATTTTGCTCCTTTATTAGAAATATAAACAGATGATTATTTCTCTTTTTATTTGTCTTGTTGCATTTTTTAACAAATAATTTTTGGTAGCTTGTCTGTAGTATGTTTTGACTCATAAAATAACCTTCCTAATTTTGCCTGTGCAGTTCAGTAACTTGGTCTGCACTCCCCATGCCCCAGACTTTATTCCCCTGACCTTTAAAAATCCACCACCATTAACTGCTAAAAATCCCTTGATACAAAAACGTCTTTTCCTGACTTCAAAACTTTCCAACTGGTCTAGCATGGACCCTGGGACCGTCCCTTCTTAACCCCACTGACAACGCCTTCTGCCCCACTTGGGCCAGTTTCCAGTACAAGGAAGGCATCTGGGCAGGGCCCTTTGGCTAGAGGGGCCTAAGCCTTATCTTTGAGTTTCTCCAGATAGTTTCTAAGTTCCTTGGGGGCACCCACAGCCACGTCTTGACACACCCATTTGATGTCCTCATCATTGCTGCTGACGATGGAGTTCACCGTGGGGCAGCTGTCGTCCGGGGGGATGGTGGTAAAGGTGGTAAATTTCACCTTCTTCCTCTTGGAGGTGGGCGAGTGCAGGGGGTCCTGCTTCTGTTCTCTGCCCTGCCGCCCCCCGGAGTCGGCTGACCTGTGAATCTGGCTCTGCACGTGCTTGTGGGAGCCACCATTGAGCAGGAGATGGTTGCTCTCCTCGCAGGCCCCCGGTCCGCGGTCTATGATGGTGGTGTGCTCGTCCTGGGGCGGCGGCGCATCCCCCATGCTCTCCAGGAGTTCGGCCTCATTGCCAAGCCACACCCAGTCGTGAGAGTGGGTCATGGAGGCCTGACCTTCCAGGGGCACTTGCTTGTGCCTGTACTTCAGGGCAAAGGTGGCGCAGTTGATCAGGAAGACGAGGATGGCCAGGCAGAACACCCCCAGGAGGGCGTACATCCCTATCTCCAGATCACTCAGGCCCCGCGGAGTCTGCACCAGGTCGTTTTCCTCCAGCCCACTCCCGGCCTTGGGGAGGTCCACGTGGGCAGGGAAGTTGGTGAAGTCAATGGGGATGTTCTGCAGCTGCCCCTCTCCTGCCAGCCTGCCCCCGTCTGCCCGACTGTTCTTCACCACTTTGTTGTCCAGCAGGGACCTGGCCGTGGTAGTGGCTCTTCGGAGAGCCCCTTCCTCACGCTCCACGGGAGAGCTGCCATAGAGGTGCCCATCTTGGCCTGTGCGCTCATGGTGCTGGCCCTTCTGCCGGCGGTCGCTGGCGTGGTTCTTGATCTCATCTTCCTCATAGTCCCCGCCGGGGCTGGAGTCAGCATCGTTCTGTCCGAACTTGACCCTGACGTTGCCGACGCCCACAGCCAGGATGCTCTTGCGTTTAGATTTCTGGCAGGCCTCGGCGATCGTCATGTCCACTCGGATCAGTGGGCCCTGGCCTTCCCCTTCGGCCACCACAACGGGCCACCTGGGAGAGCGGGGCTGGGGGACTGACACGACAGCCTCGTCCTGGGAGGTGGCTGCCAGGGAGAAGTCCTTGGTGTCGTAGATGTCCAGGGGCGTCACAGAGCCATCACTGAACTGCAGCCACGTGCTGAATACAGCCTCCTGCAGGGACACAGGCAGTTAGAAGACCACCTGGGGGATGCCTTTTCCCTTAGAAACCCCCTCCTAGGAGGACGCCCAATGAAACAGGGAGCAGGACCTCAAATCCAGACCCAGTAGCTCATGCATCTGGGGAGAAATCATACAGGTTTTCTATCAGGGGCAGAGAAACCACCTTAATTTAAACAAGAACAAATGGGGATGTGACTAACAGTGCCCTCATAATCCTTACCCAGAACAAACAAATGGCAAAACAAAAATCCCTAAGTGAGATGAGGCTCCGGGTGGCTTTATCCACACAGGTATTGCTTGAATCAGTCAGCCGGTGCATGTTCACAGACAATGACTGGCTTCTAGGGCAGGCCCTGGTCATTTTGTCACACACTCTGTGATTAGTGGCCTAAGTATGATGAATGGATACAGCTGTTGTCTGTATCCAGCCTGATGACAAAGGTTGATGGGCAGGAAACACTGTCAGAACCAATGACATCAGAAAGGAACCTCCCCTCTTCTCCCTGCACTGCCCCCAGTGAATTAAGCTTTGCCTGAGAAACAAGAAAACAAGAGCATTTTGCCCTTTAAGGTTGACCCTGTTGAGCCATTGCAGATGCTTTGCTTGGCTGTAGTTGGGCGGCAGTGATGTGTGGGACACAGTACATGGCATTGGCTGGTGGGCCCGGTTCAATTGTGCTGCCCTTGCTCTGCATGGGTAGCAGAGTGAAAGAGGAAGCAAAGGGCCAGTGTGAAGGGGCTGAGTTTATTTTGCAGACTCACTATACTTCTGTCAGTGACCCAACAGCTATGTAAAAACTATTTGCCATTGTGGGGACTGGTAAAAAAAAATTGACTTTATGTGCCTGGCTTATTTTACTCAAAGTAATGTCTTCCAGGATCATCCATGTTGCTGCAAATGGCAATATTTCATTCTTTTTATGGCTGAATAATATTCCAAAAAAAGGGGAAGCTACTGGCCTAGAAATGCCACTCACACCCATGCCTATGTGACTGGCAGATTCTCATGAGCACAAGGTTTCCTGCTGTCTCGCCTCCTCCCCAGGGCAATAATGACATCCTCTCCCCTTTGTGTGCCCACAGCAAACATAATCCCACAGAAGGCCTTATTCTTGACTTAGCCATGGGTACTTCTATTCTGCTTCCAAGAGTGGGAACTCCCATGAATAGAGGAGGGTGAAATGTGCAATCCTAATCATAAAACAGACAGTCCATATCCACTGGGCACTCGCTGTGGGTCAGGTGTTGTTCGCAGTTATTACAGAACGCATTTTCTCCTCTTCCACAAAGTAGGTTGGGTTATGCTTCCTGCCCAAAGAGAGGTTAAGAACTGTGCTCACATGCACGCATATGTTCATCGCAGCACTATTCACAATAGCAAAGACATGGAGTCACAATAGCGAAGACACAAAGTCAACCTAAATGGCACCTGATCCACAGCAAGTGCCCAGTGGATACAGGCTCTCCACTTTGTGCTTAGAATTGCATATTTCAGCCTCCTCCATTCATCTAGGAAAAACTCTCCAGACCATTAATGATAAACTGGATAAAGAAAATGTGGTACACACACACCGTGGAATACTATGCAGCCATAAAAAGAACAAGATCCCATCCTTTGCAGGGACCAGATGGAGCTAGAGGCCATTATTCTTAGCAAACTGACACAGAAACAGAAAACCCAACACTACATGTTCTCACTTCTAAGTGGGAGCTAAATGATGAGAACACATGGACAGATAGAGGGGAACAGCACACACTGGGGCCTATTGGAGGGTGGAGGGTGGGACCAGGGAGAGGATCAAGAATAATAACTAATGGGTACTAGGCTTAATACCTGGGTCATGAAATAATCTGTACAACCAACCCCCATGACACAAGTGTAGCTACATGACAAACCTGCACAGGTACCCCTGAAGTGAAAATAAAAGTTAAAAAAATAAAAAAAAGAAATATGTCCAGTCATATCGTTAGGAAGAGGCAGGATCAGGGCTGGAACTGCTGTGGCTTTAGAGCTGAGCTCTTGACCACTGTGCTAGGGACCCCCTAGAACAACCACTGCCAGAGCCCATTTTATCAGCCCCACAAAGACCATGATGACTCACCCTCTGCTGAAAAAGTCAAGTAGCTGCCTCCTTTCCTCCCTGCCTTTTTCACAGCAAACCAGGTCTGACCTCGTGGCCTTCCTGGACCTTTGTCCCCATCCATCCCGGACACTGTCATTGCAGCCCAGGGAGGTAGCAGCACCCACTCCATGGACGGGGCATGGGAAAATCCTACCTGCTGAGCCAGAGATACAGCAGCAAAGCTTGTGTGCGCTCTGAGCACTGGATGGAGATGTCGCCACTCAAAACCAAAAGCCCACACTTGGGTGGGATAACTACCTCTGTGGTATGCGAATTGGGAGAAAAGAAACTCACTTGAAGTTGGACCTGTGCAAATGCAAATACAACCTCCTTCAGAACAAAACAAAGCCGAGCAACCAGGGCTCAAGAGGTGCTCATGATACAAAGAAAGAAAAGTTACAACCTGTAGGTGGCAAGGCTGCACCGGGAGTGGTTGTGTTAAACATTTACACAGGAAGGTGAGCAGACTGATATGTGAGATCATAGAAGACTCCAAAGGCTATAACTTAAAGGAAACCAACAAAAAACAACAGTCTATGAAATAAAACAATAAATAATGTTATTTATGAAATAATAACATTTCATAATAATACATTTCATAATAAATAAATTTCATAATAAATGTTATTTATGAAATAACATAAAACGAACCAACAAAAATAGTCTATGAAATAAAATTAAAAAGAAATTAAAAATTTAATTAAAAAATTAAAGAGACATTAAAAGGAGTTGAAATTGTCTCAATAACAGCAAATGGGGGCCAGATGTGGTGGCTTATGCCTGTAATCCCAGCACTTTGGGAGGCCGAGGTGGGCGGATCACCTGAGGTCAGGAGTTCAAGACCAGCCTGGCCAACATGAGGAAACCCCATCTCTACAAAAAATACAAAAATTAGCAGAGCATGGTGGTGGGTGCCTGTAGTCCTAGCTACTCAGGAGGCTGAGGCAGGAGAATTGCTTGAACCTGGGAGGAAGAGGTTGCAGTGAGCCAAGATCACACCACTGCACTCCAGCTGGGGTGACAGAGCAAGACTCTGTCTCAAAAAAAAAAAAAAAAAAGAAGAAGAAGCGAATGGAAGCAGAGCAGGAAGGGGTGCAAAGAGCCACGTAGAATTTCTAGAAATGAAAAACACAGTCACTGAAATCAGTGACTCAATGGGTGGTTCGAACAGCAGATGAGACATGTTCAAGGAGAGAATTACTGCAGTGGGAGACAAAGCCACCCACGTTACCCCAAATAGAACCACAGGCATATCAAGAAATAAAACTGTGAAGGGCAGGTGAACAGACATAAAGGAGAGAATGAGAATGTCCAACGCTTGTTTGGTAGGAATTCCAGAAGGAAAAATTGGAGTAGCCTGGGAGCAGCCAGTGTTCACAGCAATGATGACTCTACATCCCGCAGGACCAAGGAAGAATGCTAGCAATTAAAAAAAGAATTCTGATGACATCGTTTGAGCATCTACATGTAGCTGTAGCTGAAGATCCAAATGCTTGGACATGAACTGATACATTCTGCTGTGTGTGAAGGCAGGTTGAGTTGGATTGGGTCATATCACTTGTGTTGGTAAGCCCTGGCCAACACCAGCTGGCTCTGAGGGGTGAGCCTGTGTAGGAAGTTTTAGGAGGGTGTGGAGTTCTCTTTGGGTGGCTGCCCATTCAGCTCCTGCTAGCTCAACTTTCAATGATCAACTTTGCTTTTTTTTTTTTTTAACTTATTTTTTGCCCAAGGTCACTCTCTGGCTTCTGGAATCCATGTGGTTGTGCCTACAGCAAGATGTGCCAAGGAGTTAATAAATGCTGTGGGCAGCCCTCAATGAAGGACTCATGGAAGTTGTTATATTTATCCCAGATCCCTTGCCCCTCAAGTGCAGTAACTCTTCTGGCCTTTCTAGACCGGCATACAGTCGCCCAGCAGACAGGAGCTCCGGCTGCCCTTGGCGGCGGCTGAGTTGGTAATACACTCTACTGGTTGCATTTCTCTTCCTTCCATCACCCCCGACTTCTCTACTGGTATTGTCTTCACCACCTGAATAAACTACTTGCACCTGAATCCTTGTCTCAGGCTCAGCTTCTGAGCAGACCAAAACTAAGACAGAAGAGATGGCTCAGCGATGTTGGTGCTCACCCTCGTCTCCTCTGTCCATATCAGCTGATGAATCACACAATCCAATAAGTCCTTCTAATGCCTCAACCTCATGCACAAATACCAAGTGATTTCTCCTTTCATTTTTCGATCCTACTTTCTTTAGAGCAAACAAGGCTTGGGAGAACATGCAGGCTACTACCCTCTATTTGTAGGTGTAAAAACCATTCAGATTTTCTATTTCAAAGTTGAAAATATCATGAACAAGGTGCCAGCCTTCTACACTCTAAGGGGTGAGATAAAAGACTGAACAGTGTGCAAGTTCATCGTGGCTGACATTTCCTCTTGAATAATTTTTCTTCACAAACTAGATGGGGAAAGAAGTTAACATAAAAAAGCCCCTGAACAGCAGACAATCGGAATTAAAGCCTCAGAACACCGTTGACTTGCCAAGATCCATCTCCATCAGCCCTGCTGCATGATTGAGACTAACTTCTACCATAAGCTCATTACAGAGAGGCTGGAATGTAGTGTTTCATCAGGAGAAGCCAGCGCATTTCCCCAAAGATGAGAAATTCTGAATGACTTAAAATAACACATGCCCAGAAATGATTTAGAGCTCTATCCTTTCAAGAGTCGTGTCTGCAAATCAGATGAACTACATCCACAAATCCCCCTAAGTCAGTGCTAGGGGACACCAATTACTGTCAGCTGATGAAGACAGATGGGCGACAGGAGATGGGGAGCGGCCGGCCATACCCCATGCCAAGGGGGTTGCAATGCCAATCGTCCACCCTAATTCATTATCCATTCTCAGCAAATAGCTTCATGCTTTCAGCTTTCTCTCTCCCACTTTCCTCTGCTCTTTTTTCTTCTAATCCCAAATGTGAGAGTATTACTCTGCTCTTTGTAAACCAGAAAACACCATGTTGATTTCCTGGCCCATCTGCCCCCAAAGAAGACTTGAAGAAGCCAGTGCTGTGGGCTGGATGAGGACCTGCATGCACCCCAGGTCCCTCCTGCTGACACTCTGGGGCAAAATCAGGTAGCAACTCTCTCTTCATTAGGCAGAATTCCTGGAATGGCCCACCAAAGATGTTCTGCGCCAGTTCCCAGAACATGGGCATGGGATGAGTGACTGCTGTCATGATTATGTTATATTGTTACATGGCACAGGTGATAGAGTGATCTTCCTGGATTATCTGGGTGAGTCCAGTGAAATCACATGAGTCCTTAAAAGCTGAGCGATTTCTCTAGCTGGTGACAGAAGGGGAAGGTGGAGAGACTGGAAGCATGAGAAAGACTCCATGCATTGTTCCTAGTGTTGAAGCCGATGAAGGTAGGGTGGGGACTGAGAAGGAATGCAGGTGGACTTGTGGAACTAAGAGAGGATTCCAGCCAGTAACCTGCCAAGAATTGGCAACCTCAGTCCTATAACTGCAAAGATCTGGATTCTGCCACCACCCAAATAATTCTAGAAGCAGATTCTTCCTCAGAGCATCCTGGTAAGAACTCAGGCAACCAACACTGTGATTTCAGCCTTCTGATACTCTGGGCATGAACCCAGCTGAGCCCACCCACCGCACTGTGAGCCAATAAGTGCGTGCCATTTTCAGCTACTAAGTGTGTGGCCGTCGTTACATAGCAGCAGATAATGGGCACATCTCTGAGCACTGAGCATCATCACTCTAGCTCTTCATAGACCCCACTACTGGACAAAGCAGCCACATGGATTTTGCACAGTCTGCACTGCTTGCTTATAACACCAGCCCAGCCCCTGTAGGCATTTGAGTTTGCAGTCCTTGAACTGCACTGAAATCCTGCACTATGGCTGGAACGTTCCAATCCCCCCTAGAAGAACACAAGCCCCTAGACTTTGTCATCATGCCTGCTCCCTTAACCATCACTGCTCTCTGTTCTCATCATCATGCCTCTGCTTTGTAGCACTATCGTGTTCCTGCTAGTGCATGTCAGGGGATCCTAACGCCTGCTACTAACCCCTGGGCCCTGTCGCCTGTCCCAGCCACATGACACCTCCTCCAGCATTGCTCAGTCCATAGTGGGATGTGGATTTAATCTGAGCTTCCTCCCCAGACCGCCTGCCTATTGTGGCCGCAAGTCACCAGAGGAAACTGGGTTTGACGCAGAGTGTTCTGAGTCAAGACTGTCTGCTCTGATGGAGCATCCAAGGCTCTGTGTGCTTTCACTAAAATAGTGATCATAATAACAGCAGCCATTCCCAGGAAAAGAGCTAACACTGGCTGGCATGTGCCAGCCACTGTTTTTAGCAGTCAACATCGTTAAGCCTAATTTAATTTGCAAATGGACTCTTCACAGGTGTTGTTACTTTCTCATTAAGGATTGAGACACGGGTGAGGCGTCTTGCCTGAGGTTACATAGGTGGTAACGGACACAGCTGTGATACCATCTGGGCCTTTTGGCTCCTAACTTTGTACTCTTCTCATAAGTATTGTTCTAATGATGGCATCAGAAGCAGAAAGTCCTGCAGACAAGGTAAACACCCATATGCAGGTTGTTAGGGTCAGACGAGCCCATCCTGGCTGTGTTACGTGGATAACTCTCCCTGCTCTCTTTCTAATTTCCTGTCTTCCAGCCCAATTCTAAGAGTCATTCAGTCACTCAACCAACATTTATTGAGCACCTACTATATGCTGGCCCTGTGATGGTCAATTCTAAGAGTCATTCAGTCACTCAACCAACATTTATTGAGCACCTACAATATGCTGGCCCTGTGATGGTCACTGGGGATAGAGCGATGAACAGGGGGCTTCTCTTGTAGAGCTTATATCCCATGGAGGAGAAACATGCTTTATGTGGTAAGAAATGGGGCGGATTCAGACCCATTCGCTGTGAGCAAAGGCATTTATGAGAAGAGGGTATCATAACTGGGTATGAAAATGAGAAAGAGCCATGCTCAGCGGTGAGGGTGGTGTGTCTCAGGTAAAAGCAACAGCAATTGCAAAACCCCTAAAGAAGTGCAAGGGGAGTGTGTGCCTCAAATAGGATGAGAGAGACTGAGGGCTGCACAAGATAAAGTCAGAGATATAGCCAGGGGCTATGTTGTGTGGGGCCATGTGGGCTGTCAAAGGAATATGGTCTCTTTCTAAGTGCAATGGGAAGTCATTGGAGCATTTTAAGCCAGTAAAAGGCATGATGTGATTTATGGTTTTAAGTGCTTGCTCTCCTCTTGAGAAGAGAGGGGAGTGCAGGGGTAAGAACGGCAGCCAAGAGACTTGGTGAGGAGGCTGGTAAATGGTCTGTGTTGCTCAAAAGCTATGTGGGTAACATGAGCACTTTGTCTGCAATGACATGGCTTCCATTGTGGAACATGGTTCTGCTAACCTGCCCCCATTTCTCACTCCACCCTGCCCCTTTGCTGAAGCAGGCACAGTGGCTGACCCTGCTCCCTCTGAACCTCTGGCATTTGGCCCCCTACCTGTTTGGGGGTCCGCAGCACCTCCTCAGCTGTGACCACAGCTGTTACGGCCTTGCTGTTTTCTGCGTTGGGGTAAAGGGCGACAGACAGCCCAGCCACGAGCTGGATGGCCAAGTCTGTCACCGATACTTTGTCATCTAGCACGGTTATTGTCTTCTCTGCCAGGATGGAGTCAGACAGTGGAGACAACACCTGTGGGATTGGCAGGACACAAGGAAAATCCATCACACCTGTTTCCAGATGTTATCCCCTTTACCAGTAATATTTCTTCCATCCCAACAGGCCTGAGGTCCAGAATACAGGGCAAAGGAGTTACATATCTACTTCACTCTATATGCTGGCCCATCCCATGCCTTCGTGAGAATCAAAGTTACCCTTTCCCCAGGACACCTTAATTCTACCTGTTAAAAAATTGGAATAGATATTAAAATCCATTCTGTCTTTAAAAGGGAATGACCCCTCCTATTTAGATGAAGTATGCTTGTACAATGCACGACCTGGTTAACTGTACATGGTGATCCTGTTGAACAGACTCATGAAGAATTGAATTATAAATTTATAAAAGTGAATTATAAATAGTTCACTCCTCCCACCACCACCACAATGTATCCTCTGCCAAAACATTGCTTTCTGCCTCATCTTGTAAGCCAAATGTTGGGCTTGAGATGTCCAGGGGAAATGACGGGAATGTGCTAACCATTTCCACATATGGTGTAAGGATCCTGAATGACATTCCAGAAAGGTGGATTCAGTAGGGTGGGACTTGAGGGATTGAGGAAAAGGCTGTTCATGCCCCATCATGAAATTTTACCATTCTATACACTTCCTTGAGTGAAAAAGAAGGAGCAGGATTTCAAAGAGAGTTTGTTGAATAAGTAAATGGCAGGAAGACAGAATGACTGAAAGAAGGAAGAAATGAGAAGAATCCATGCTTTTTCCCTGGGCCACTGGTAGAAGTGGTACATAGAGAAGACCATGGCTATTTCTAAGAAGGCATAGGGGGAAAAAGTTAGAAAAGTGTGGACTAAGAAGGAGAATCAGAGGTAGGATGGGGGTGCTGGGAGGTGGTGGGAATGGTGGAGGCAGCCATTGAGAATGAGGTCACACGGGGAGCTAAGAGGGTGCAGCTGCCACCTTCTCCATTCTGTTTGGAAGGAGCTGGACTCAAGATCTGGCCTGGGCTCATCTTCCTGTGTTCCCATGATACACATGGGTTGGGGAATCGGCCACAGTGATCTGCCCACCCATTGACTCTCCCTCAACACTGCACACATGCCCAGTGCTGGGGACACAGAGACTCCCAGCTTCCTACCTGGATGGTCGTCATCCCAACCTCTCGCCCAACCAGGACCCGGCTGTCCTGGAGGGTGGCCACGTGAGGTTCCTCCAGCTTCATGAAGTCTGCCACCAGGTGAGTGATGTCGAACTGCCAGTTAGGACTAAGCAGGTAGTTCGGCTGGCCCCATGGACCGGCGCCCTCAGACACAAACTGGGTGAGGACCCGCACGGTGGCGTGCTGGTATTGCAGTGCGCAGCCCCGGCCCCGCCGCTCCTCCTCGTCCTCATCCTCGCTCTCACGAGTGGGCCTTGTGGGAAGGGACAAAGAGCTCTCAGATCCAGGGAGAGGAGTCTAAGACGTTCTTGAGACAGGCAGGCGCTCACCTCAACCTCAAGGAGACCACATTGAAGACACGAGCGCCAGGACCATGCAAGGGGCACCAAGCCTATCTCTAGGCAACACTAAGTGATGGGCATCTCTTTCTCAAATACATTTATTGAAAAATAAAAGACAAGGGCTAATATGTACCAAGTCTGCACTGTCTCATAAGTAGGCATTGGACACATGTGGCTATTTTAATTTTTATTAATTAATGAATTATTATTATCTTTTTAGAGACAGGGTCTTGCTCTGTTGTCCAGGCTAAAGTGCAGTGGTCCATCCTAGCTCAATGCAGCCTTGAACTCCTGGGCTTAAGTGATCCTCCTCCTTCAGCCTCCTGAATAGCTGGGAATACAGGCATGGACTATCATGCTTGGCTAAGTAAAAAAAAAAAATTCTGTAGAGATGGGGTCTTGCTATGTTGCCCAGGCTGGTCTTGAACTCATGGCCTCAAGTGATTCTCCCACCTTGGCCTCCCAAAGTGCTGGGATTACAGTCCTGAACTACCACACCCAGCCCTAATGTTAATTTAAATAAATAAAAATTAGATAAAAAATTGAACCTCATCACACTGGCTACAGTCCAGGCACTCCATAGCTACTTGTGCTAGTGACCACCATATTGGACAGAGGGGTTCTAGAACATCCCACCACTGTAGAAAGTCCTATTGGACAGAGCTGTCTTACACACTTGAGATGTGGCAGGTCCCATTTTATGCTTCCACATGTATGAACTCTTTTAACCTCATAACACTATGAGGCAAACTCATAATTATTCTCATGAACAGATGAGGAAACTAAGGCACAGAGAGGTTAGGTAGCTTGCCCATGCTCACAAAGCTAATTAGTGGCAGAGATTGGATTGGAGCCCAGGGAGTCTTAATTCTTCCCCCTCAGGGATGTGGAACAAACTCATTGTCTTGGCCACTCATGACCACAGACTAATCTGAAGGACTGGGTAGATTCACAGCTTTCCTCCCACATCGGGCCAAATGCCTTCAGCTTCCCCTTGTAGAGATGGATTCCGCATCTCACTGTCCTACTTACTCTTCTTGAAATGCTCTCTCTTATGAGAAAGGCCCTGGTGCCTGGGGGACTGTCAGGGAAAGAGCCCTGATGGTCTGGGGTGGAGCATTCCAGGCAGGAAGCTGTGAACTCAGGAACACCTTCACTTAGCTAATGTCTGCTAATCCGGGGGTCACAGGGCTGAGAAAACAAGACCCCATACTCTTGCATGTGACAGACAGACAGTCCGGAATCCCAAAAAAATTAGAAGCTTTTGGCAAATAATGATTCCAGCATCCACTAGAAACACAATTAAATTTTATCCAATAATTTGATCTGCACAGAACATTTCAAGCTTATAGATATGCATAAAGCACAGGAAAGGACTGACTTTTTTTTGGAGAAAATAAACCAAACTTCAAATTACCTGGTAACCAAGATGCTAAAAAAATGTATTAACTCCATCGTGTCATTTTGGGAGAGCCACTTTCAAGAGACAGCCTCATATAAGCCCCAGTGTAGAGTGCGGACAACCTGGGTTTGAGGCAAACCTGCTGTTTAGCAGCTTTTGGGCCTGGCTGGGTTATCTGGGAGCCCTGGGGAGATTCAACTGCTGAGACAATACCAGCATCTCTTAAGCATTGGGTCCTTTAGTGTTAAGGTCAGTAAATAAAGTTGTTGTTTTGGCTCTAGGGCATCTCCCCATCCGAGGCTCACCTCTTATTGGTCACAATGGGGACCCTCCAGCCCTTTATCTGGCTGAGCTCCGTGTCAGAGACCTCGATCTGCAGGGGCAGCCGGGGCACCCACACGGTGACACACAGGGGGGCGCTCAGGTACTGGTATGTGAAGTTCACCACCGCATCCATCTTTCCTTTGATCTCTTTGCCATTGACAAAGATGTAGTCACAGCGCTCAGACACCTGCAAAGACAGAGGGAGAAAGGATGGAGGAGAAGTTCATGGAGCCTTGGAGACAATCCTTTTTTTGTTTTTCCTATTATCTTGCAAAGCACAAATGCTTATTTCTGGTTTCTCCTAAAGCAGAGCCTGAGACAAGGATTTGGTGCACTCAGTTTAATTGGGAGGTGACCCCAGGGAGCAGGGGTGAAGGAGCAGATGAGGAAGACAGAGAAAGAAGGAAACCCAATAGGAAGGTGCATTTTTTAGGCTGTTACAGGGACCATGGGCTCGGTTTTCAGAGGCTTCATGAAAAGTATCTAGAATTGTCCACTTGAGGAGTAAGAGGAGGGAATATTTTTAGCTACCATTTCTTATTCCTACTGGTTGAGGGCTTGCCCCACCCGGAACAGAAAACAGAAAGCAGATTGAGGTGAGACTGCAATCAAAAAGTGAACTTGAACTTGTACAGAACTGCAGCTGTAGCTGAAATCTGGGTGGGCTGAGTAATTTGATGTGAGCACCAGAGGTTTTCACACCCTGGGCAGTTATGTCTTTTCAGAAAGTAAGCTGCACCCACAACCCACCCCATCCAGCCTCCAAGGATGCAAAGGGCCCGTAGTGCCTTCCTCCCCAGCATGATTCTCACTAATTCTGAGGTCTCTCCCCTGCATGCACATGCAGGCCTGATGCAGGTTCTTCACGGTCCCCAGGCTTTGGCAAGGCCGGTCCCTGTGCCTGGGAGCACCTTCCCATCCCTATTTGCCTGACCTACCCCAGCTCAGGGGTTCCTTATGAGACCCCTTCTGTGGTCTTCTATGACCCCGTGGGATTATTTATATAATACGTGTTCGTTATGTGAATGGCAGATCACATTAGGGACTACCAACCTATGTTCCCTTTCCCTATGCGCCTCCCTTTCCTTTTCCCCTTTCTGGCAGATTGCTGTCTCAGGAAAGGGATGAGACAAAGCAGAAAGAAAAATAAACACACAGACTAAAAAAATAAAGGTTGCAAGTATGTGGCTTTTGTGTTCCCAGATTATTCATTCAAATATGACTCTATCTACCAGCCCAGAGGGCATTCCCAGTGTAGCAAGGAAACAGCAGAATGATACCTGTGTTCTCAAGCAGGCAGGAAGGGGCAATGTGGACAACAATGAGGGGCCATTGAAGAGGTAACCTGGGCGGACTGTGACCGGTAAAAAATGTCCCCTAGGAACTGTGAACAGAAGATTATAAGACAAGATGTGCCCTTCCCCAAGGCCTTGGCAATAGTTAAATCCCCTGGAAATTAGACTGGTATTCTGTTTCTGCCACCCCGATGAATTGAAAACTGAAAATAGAAACCAAGTTGGGTTATAGAGAAACAATATGACCCCTGTTGAATAGCCAAGCTTATCAGATGTGATTTAAATTGGTCCCATGTGTCCATATCACCTCTTAAACTAAGAAATCTTTGAAGGCAAAAAGTACATTGTGTTCATTTTTCACCTCTGGGTTCCTTACCTCAGCTGCTTATGAAGCAGGAGCTCAGTGAAATGGACATTGCATGGATGAATGGATGGAAGGATAGATGGATAGACAGATGAACAGATGGATGAATGCACACACTGATGCATAGACAGATGGACAGATGGAGGAAAGGATGAACAGATGGATGGATGGACAGGTGAATGGGTGGTGGACAAATGGGTAGATAGCTGGGTAGATGAATAGACAGATGAGCTGATGGGTGGATGCACACACTGATGGACAGACACATGAACGGATGGATGGACAGGTGAATGGGTGGTGGACAAATGGGTAGACAGCTGGATAGATAGATGAACTGATGGGTGGATGGACACACTGATGGACAGACACATGAATGGATGGGTGGACAGGTGAATGGGTAGTGGACAAATGGGTAGACAGCTGGATAGATAGATGAACTGATGGGTGGATGGACACACTGATGGACAGACACATGAATGGATGGGTGGACAGGTGAATGGGTGGTGGACAAATGGGTAGACAGCTGGATAGATAGAAGAACTGATGGGTGCATGCACACACTGAGGGACAGACACATGAATGGATGGGTGGACAGGTGAATGGGTGGTGGACAAATGGGTAGACAGCTGGATAGATAGATGAACTGATGGGTGGATGGACACACTGATGGACAGACACATGAATGGATGGGTGGACAAGTGAATGGCTGGTGGATAAATGGGTGAATAGGTCGACAGATTGATAGACAGCTGAACAGATGGACAGATGCACACACTGATGGACAGACAGATGGGTGGATGCACGGATGGATGGATGGAAAGATGGATGGATGGGCAGGTTAAGTGCTGGTGGATAAATGGGTAGATAGCTGGACAGATGGATAGACAGATGAACTGATGGATGGAAGCACACACTGATGCACAGACAGATGGACAGAGGGATGGATGAGCAGGGCCTTCCCTTCATGGGGATGCCTGCTTCAGGACAGTCATCAAGGATCTTGGGGTTGATGGACGATGCAGTGAGAGACTGAGATGACATGGAGCCAAAAGCTACAAAAACACAAGAAGTTAATTCAAAAGTTTCTAGAAAGTGCTCAGGCAGTGTTTCCTAACCTTTCTTGGGTCATTCACTCTTTTGAGAATACACATAAAGCTAATTCTTGCTGGAGAAATGCACACACATACAGTTTAGTGGAGTATTTCTGAGTTAATGAAGTCACTCGGAAACCCCTCACATAGCACTTAGCATACTAAGCTATAATTGCTGATTTGCTTATCTGTCTTCTGTCTAGATCATGTAGCTTGGAAAGAACAGAGTCCCCTTCTGGGGGGTCTGTGGCCTCGGCCAAATAACATCCAGTGCTGAATAAAGAACTCTTATAATCTGATCACCCTCTCTTTCCCCAGCTTCCGGGAACCATGGATGGCTACTCTGGGCTCAATTTTCATCTTCAACTTGCACTTCTGTTTGGAGAGGCAGCTGGTGAGGGCTGGGCTGAGAGAATTTGCTCCATCTGCTGGGGACAGTGGCAGGGAGCAGTTGGGGACAGTGGCAGGGAGCAGTTGGGATGGGAACACATGGATGGATCTTCTCATTCATGGTCAAGAGTGGTTTAAAAATGTTTACATGCTGATTAAAGAAGGAAGGCAATTTTAGTTGCCATCCCAGGCTTGTCATTAGCAGGTAAACACTGTCCTGGATCTGGGAAGGCATTAGCACAACAGTCGAGCAAGAGTTATATCAGTAATCACTTCTTTAGTCAATGTTGTAATTTACAGACCATTGACTTTTCTCATTTATTACCTTTCTGAGCTCTGGTGGGAGGAAACCTGGCTGCTCCCGAATATATAAATAATTAAGAGCAATGCCAAGGGTATGAAGTAGCCGTGCATGATAGAGCCATCGTCACTGCTATTCCTGAAGGTGTCATAAATGTCTGGGGACATCTCAGGATGCATTAATCATCTCCTAAGTGGCCAGCAGTGAGAACTATCATATGAAAAAGTGAGCCCACTCATCTACAAAAAGGAACCAAAACCCCACAGGAGTCTTTTTAGTCCCTCGGCTTTGTTTCTCAGACTGCTTTTCATCTTTCATTGTGGATGAGCTGCCCATTGAGAAAACTGCCCACTGAACTCCACTCACTCTGATATCTAAACTATGCGGACAGAATGCGTGGTAGCCATGGCCCAGAAATCAGTGTCTGCCTGTAAGGACCCAGGGACGGTGGGGTCACGTGAGGCTTGGTGGAGCCACATATGGTCAGTTGCCATATTCCGTTATCACTCAGGCTTTGGCACCTTCCTGAGTCTGCACCTGCCTCCTAGGAAGAGCCTGGGGGTCACTTTCCAAGGGGAAGGCAGAGGCATCTGCCGGTCAGCCACGGATGTCCTGTGGGAGCCTGGCCTGAATCGTCATCTAGCCAAACTGGTTCTCAGACTTGAGCGAGCCTCAGGGAGGGCCTGTTGGCATAGACTGCTGAGTGTCCATCTCAGATTCAGCAGGTCTGGGGTGGGGACCCACACGGGCATTTGTAACCAGCGGCTGCGGATGCTGTTGCTGCTGCTGCTCTGGGTACCACTGTGAGATCTACTCCTTGCACCCTCTACATCCCGCTCATGATGGTAATCATTTAGTTATGATGCTTGGAAGTGCATCTCTGTGCTGACAACTCCTAAACTCCTGTCTCTGGATATCCACCTGCTTCTTCCACGTCTCCACTTGGGTCTCTAATTAACATTTCAAACTTATGTTCAAAAATCAAGCTCCTAGTATGGTTTTTGTGCATCTCAGGGCACTGAGGTTGTGCTTGAATGAAGTTCAGATACAAGAAAATCAAATGCACGTTTCTTGTACACCCAAGTTTGTGGACCTGCTCCGTTAATATGAATGAAATGCTCGTACACAGTGACAATCCCGCTTCACATCTGCAAGGTGCTTTCACGTCATTTTCTTTCTTTTTCTTTGAGCTCAAGTGTTTTATTGCACGATATGATAAATATAGTTAATAATAGCATATTGTACATTTCAAAATTGCTGAGAGAAAATTTTGAATGTTCTCACCACAAAAAGTTAAGTATTTGAGATGATGAATATGCTGCTTAGCTTGACTTAATCACTGTATAAAGAATACATTATATTCATACATTATATCACTTACTACTGCATAAATATATACAATTATAATCTGTCAATTTACAATAAAATAAAAAATTAAAAAAGAAAACAGAAAAGAAGCCTGGGCACGGTGGCTCATGTCTGTAATCCCAACACTTTGGGAGGCTGAGGCGGGCGGATCACTTGAGATCAGGAGTTTGAGACCAGCCTGGCCAACATGGTGAAACCCTGTCTCTACTAAAAATAAAACAAAAACAAAAACAAAAAAAACAACAACTAGCCAGACATGGTGGTGCATGCCTGTAATCCCAGCTACTCAGGAGGCTGAGGCAGGAGAATCGCTTGAACCTGGGAGGCAGAGGTTACAGTGAGCTGAGATCGCACCACTGAACTCCAGCAAAGAAATGAAAACAGAAAAGAAACCCAATTTTTTTAAAACAGTTTTTAAGGCTTTATTTTTTACCATAAAATCAATTTTGCCTACTCTTCCTAGGCCACCAGGTTTCTTCTGGTTATTATTTGCTTGATTTGTCTTTTTCTCTCTTTTACTTTCAGCCTTGCTGGATCCTTCTGTATCCTGGATGTTCTAGACGCTTTGTAAAAATAAACACTTAGAATGATTTTTCTGTTACAATGTTTCCTCTATAACTCATTGTTCTTTTGCTGGAACTTTTAGCACGTTCATGTGAGTCACAGTGGATGTTTTACTTGGATTTCTCTCTACCATATTATTTGTGCCGTCTATTTGTCCATCCTGTTTTCTTTTTGTTTTGCTTTTTTTTAATCTCATTTTTTCCGTCTTTGCCTATTGTTTTCATACTCAGTTTTTCTAGAGCTATGGACAGCAGTTATGATCCTATTTTTTAGATGAGAAAACCGAGGCTCGCCATGGCTGCGGCTCATCCAAGATGGAGAGGTAGAGTGAGAAATGTCAACGAGAGTTGGTTCAAGATTTGACTGGACCGTTTCAGCCATGTTGTTGATACTAGGATTATGGCCTTGGCTGAAGTCGTCCTTCCTGCCATGTGGCTGTTCGAGTCATTGGCATTCCTGTGGGCAGGTGGGCAGGGGAAAGGCAGGTGCTGAGAGAGGCCACTGTCCAGCAACTGTGGCATGCCCGTGGCAAGGGGCCAGTAGTAGTCCGGAACCTCTCCTCAAGTGGCTCTGCCCACGTTTCCTCATCCCATCCCCCAGGGGCCACTCGGAAAGGCTGTCTCTTTCCAAGTCTAGGCAGGGAACAGATGGTCCACACAAACCTGGAACTTGAGGATTGCTGATCCAAGGGGTGGGTAGGGTTAAGGGAAAACAGTGTGAGCCGGGAAAGCATGCCAGGGCTTAGAGGTAGGCAGTAGGTTGGTCTGCATCCTCCAAACTCATGTCTTCCTGGAACCTCAGACTGTGGGCTTGTTTGGAAACAGAGTCCTTGCAGCCCAGGGGCCTCTTCTCAACAGTTGCCTCTGAATCTAGGGCTATTGTTGGAAAATGTTTAAATAATATCTCCTTTTCAGCTCTGGAAAAATCCTTAAATGATGTACAAGTTCCTCTCCGATGTGCCTGGTTTTCTTCCCTGTGCATCTTCTGTGGGTTTCACACTGTTCACTCGACCCAGCTGCTGGCCTCCCTGCTGGTTCCTGAACATGCCAGGTGCACACCTGCCACAGGGCCTTTGCACGTGCTGTTCTCTTTGCCTGAAGGCTCCTCCCCTACTTGTCTGCCTGATTTGTTCTTCATGTCCTTCAGCTCTTTAATCTGGTGGATCTCAGTCTGGGCAATTTTGTCCCCCAGGGGGCATTTGAGCATCTCTGGGCATCTTGATTGTGATAAATGGGAGGATAGATTTGCAACCGGTATCTAGGGGATGGAGGGTAGGGATGATGGTACTCAACATCTTACAGTGCCTAGGCCAGTCCCCCACAACAAAGAATTAACCCACCCCAGATGTCAATAGCACCGAGGCTGAGAATCCCTGCCTTGCTCAAATGTCAACTTCTCAAAGATTCTTTCTCTGACATTTCCTCTTTTTTTTTTTTTTTTTGAGACAGAGTCTTGCTCTGTCACCCAGGCTGGAGTGCAATGGCGCCATCTCGGCTCACTGCAACCTCTGCCTCTCGGGTTTAAGTGATTCCCCTGCCTCAGCCTCCCGGGTAGCTGGGACTACAGGCATGCACTACCATGCCCGCCTAATTTTTGTACTGTTTTTTTAGTAAAGATGAGGTTTCACCGTGTTGGCCAGGCTGGTCTCAAACCCTTGGCCTCAAGTAATCCACCCACCTTGGCCTCCTAAATTGCTGGGATTACAGGTGTGAGCTACCATGTCCAACCTGACATTTCCATTTTAAATGGCAACTCCCCCGAACCTCCCTTCCCTCTTCCTTGCTTCCTCTCTCTAGATTGCTTACTGTCACCTGATGCACTGTAGATTTTACCTGCTCGCTTTATGTGTCCTCCCTCAGGAGAACCTAAACTCTAGGATGGCGGAGATTTTTGTCTGTTTTGTTTACTGTTGTATACCTGGGACCTAACACCTGACACACAGTGGATGCTCAATAAGTACGTGTTGAAGAATGAATGAATGAATCAGAGCTTGCAAACTGGTGGCCTCCCATCACATTTGGCCTACACAGTGTTGTTGTGTTTTTCAACAGAGACAGGGTCTTGCTCTGTTGTCCAGGCTGGAGTGCATTAGTGCAATCATAGCTCACTACAACTTCAAAGTCCTGGGCTCAAGCAATCCTCTTTTCTCAGGCTTCCAAGTGGCTGGGACTACAGGCACACACCACCATGCCCAGTAATTAAAAAAGCATTTGTTTTAAGAGATGGGGTCTTGCTATGTTTCCCAGGTTGGTCCAACTAATGGGCTTAAGCAATTCTCCCTCCTTTGCCTCCCAAATCTATAGAGGATTAAATGGCCAGAGCTGGTCTCAGCATCAACGGGGTAGAATGTTGCCAAGGTAACCACCACGTGTAGCCTTGGCAGGGAAAGGTGCTCAGGTATCTGGGTCACTGAACACTCCCTATGCTCAGGGAAAACTCAGGGGTAACTGCGCACCCAGTGCCGCCAACACTACCCACCTATCACACACATACACACATATGCACACACATGCACACATACATGCACACACACATGCACACACATGCGCACACAACACACATGCGCACACACGCATGCACACACACACATGCACACACGCGCGAATACACACACACATGCATGCACACACAGGAAGAGATGGACTTTTATCAGTGATTGCTTACTTTATAACAACAGCAAACATTCGTTGACTGGCCACAGTTATCCAGGCACCATTCTAAGAGGCTCACATGGGTCATCTCTCTGAGTCCACACCATAAACACAGGAGGGCACTATTATATTTATCATATCCATATTGCAAATGAGAAAACCAAGGCATGGACAGGTGATGTACCTTGCCCGTGATCACACAGCTGGTAGTCATCAGTCAGGATTTAAACACAGCCAGTCACCCCTAGAGGTCTGCTCTCAGCCATGACGCTGAGCTGGCTCTGCACTCAGGGAGGCCCGCCTTCTCCTCCATCATGGACAGGGTCTACTTCCTCTCCCCATTGTTGCTGGACTTGGCTTTGGCCAGGAAAATATGAACAGAAGTGACAGCCATGCTTGGACCAGTCCAAGCTTGGACTTAGGAAATGTGTACTTCTGCTAGTCGTTGGAACTTGACCATTAATAGCTACTTCCTCCAAAGTAGCTATTAATACAATCTCTCAGTGTGGGCCCCAGAATGGGACACAAGGAACAAGGAGCTGACCACAGCCCAATGGCAGCGACAGGCCAAACCCAGCAGAGCTCACACCTTAGGCTGAGCTGTCCGGCCGAGCCCCGCTTACCTGCAAACCCATAAGCAAGAATAAATTGCAATCATCTTGAACAACCAAACGCTGGAGTTGTCTGTTACAAAGACTTGCTGACAGATGCATTCTGCTAAGAGATGGGATGTGGATGATCCTGACTATAACTCTCACGGCCTTTTACATGGCTTCCCCTCTCTTCCTTACCTCCCATTCACCTTTTTATCTTATTCTATTTTCTCTCCTGTTTAGGCAGAGGACACTGGCAAAATTGAGAAGAAAGCAGGGATTGGCAGAGCCCTGAGCCCGGATTTAGGAGGCTTCCCAGGATGTGGGAAGACTCCTGTCAGAGCTTCTTGTCCTGGAGGGGCCACCGTTTCAGGACATTCACCAGGACCTGACTTTGGGACATTAGTTTAGAATCCCTTTCCTCTCGTTGCCGGTACCTGTTCTCACCCCAGAGAACATCTGGCATCTCCTGTGCAATGTGCCCTTCCCTTGCAGTGGCCAGAGCTGAAGTTTTACATTTTAAGGAGGTCTCTCTCATTACTACAGCAGTTCTCTCATTACTAAAGTGCATTATAGCTACTTCTTTGACATCACTGGAAGAGAAGGAAAAAGAAAAAGGCAGAGAAAAGTCAGGGCTAAGCAATATTTCTGAGACAATGTCTATGCTCTTCCCCTCCCTTTTACATCTTGCCCGGTGAAACGATGGCCAAAGAGAATTCAAATGGCCAGGCAGAAATTTGTTCTGTGATAAATCACACTTTATCCAGCTGACAATGCACAATGCTGCCAAGACTTGGACACATCTCCCGTCGTTCTCGGCTCAGGACTGCTGTCCATGCGGGGGGTTGGCAGCGCTAATGAGCTGCCTGGCCCAGCTTGGGGAGGAGGAAGGGGAGATGGCTGGTTGCCCGCCCCACTTTGGCTGAGGAGACAGGCAGGATTGCGGGTCAGACTAGTAGGGACCAGAGAAAGTCATACTTTCTCACAATAGGATATGCTTCCTTGTAGGATCCAAATGTTGTGGTGAGGAACACAGGCTTGCATCTGTGTTGTGCTAGAGTTTGCACTGCTTTAGGATTCATTTTCCTCATCTATGAAACCAGGATTCTTTCTTTCAACCAATACTTTCTGTGCCCCTACTATGTGCTAGGTGTTTCTAGGCATGGAGATACAGAAACGAGTGGGAGAGACCAGGATTTCATTTAGAGAGTGAGAATAGATGATAACAAGTAAAAAGAAAATAATTGTGAGCAATAAATGCTACAATAAAAATAAAATAAGAAAACATGACTGAGAATGGTGCAGAGACCTCTCTCGTGAGGTGACGTTTAGGCCGGAGATATGGGGGAAGACGGTTCCAGGAAAAGATTCAATAAGAGGCACCAACATTTATTTATTTATTTATTTATTTATTTATTTATTTATTTAATTTCAAACAGAGTTTTGCTCTTGTTGCCCAGGCTGGAGTGCAATGGCGCAATCTTGGCTCACTGCAACCTCCGCCTTCTGGGTTCAAGAGATTCTCCTGGCTCAGCCTCCCAAGTACTTGGGACGACAGGCATCCACCACCATGCCTGGCTAATATTTTGTATTTAGTAAAGATAGGGTTTCACCATGTTGATCAGGCTGGTCTCGAACTCCTGACCTCAGGTGATCCACCCACCTTGGCCCCCCAAAGTGCTAGGATTACAGGCGTGAGCCACTGCGCCTGGCGACCAACACTTATTAAGTGTCTGCTGTACACTAGTTTCTGTTCTCAGAGTTTATATGTGTGGATTCCTTTCATCTTCACACAAACCATTTTACAGGTGAGGAAATCAAAGAACAGAGAAATCAAATAACTGGTCCAAGGTCTCACAGCGAACAGGAGTTGGAGCTGGATTTGAAAGCAACCATCCAGGTCCAGAAGAGCCTCACTTAACCTCTCACTTACACTGCGTGAGGGCCTGGAGGTAGGAATAATTGTGGCCTGTTCTAGAAAGAGAAAGAAGGTGGGCAGTACAAGGTCAGAGAAGTAGGCGGAGGGTGTCATGCCGGGAGAGAGCAGTGTCACAGGTTTATCAGGAGAATTAAATAAGAAAGCCCACAAGTAGGGGAACGAGCCCAGTGCCTGCAAATAGGGACACAGTGAAAGCCTGTGGCCAGGCAGAAACCTCGGGCTTGGCAGATGGGACTCTGTAGAGGGCCGGGCAGACAGAACATATTAGCCCCAGAAGGGTGTTTACAAGGGGGTTGGAAGAGGAGAGTGGTGAGAGGCTTCCAGGATGACAGCCTTAATCAGATCTGACCGCACCACGCGTGCAGTTTCTCTCCCGCAGCTCCTGCCCCAGGTCACCCTCTGCACCATCTGTCTTCTTTCTCCTTAATAAGGCACTCGAGATCCTAAAGCCCTAAAACACAGAGGCAGACGCACAGGGAGGACGGCCATGTGAAGATGCAGGCAGAGAATGCGGTGATGCCTCTACAAACCAAGGAAGAGTGCCCTGTTCCAGATGCTGGAAGAGGCAAGGTGTCCGCCAGCAGCCGTTGCCTGGGATTGTTCCCTGGAGGCCTCGGAGGAGGGGTGGCCCTGTCCACACCTTGACTCCAGACTTCTGGCCTCCAGAGCTGTGAGAACGTAAATATCTGTTGTTTAAGTCACCAGTGTGTGGCACTGTGTTATGGCAGCTCTGGAAAACTGTGACAGAGTGTGTGCACACCACTCCCACCTGGGGCGGGCGATGCTCTGTTTCAATAGCGTTATATGTCTGATATTTTCTTCTTGCATCCGTTTTCTGATTTGGAGTCATTCTTCTGAAGCTTCCTACACACAGAGAGTGTTAACGGCCACGCCAGCAGTGCTGAGGCCTCTCACAGACAATGCAGGACCAACGCCTTCCTAGGAGAACCAACGGGCAGCACCTTGCTGGGAGACGCCCAGAGAGTACCCCGTTCTCCCATTCCTCTCCGCCCTCGGCTAGATCGGGAACCATTGCTTGGATGAATGTCATCAAGGAAAACCCATTCATGGGTGGGGCTGACATGGGCTATTCCCCTAACCCAGGCCACATTAGAAATGGAGAGGAGGTGCTGGGACAGGGAACAATCAGGCGACAAAGAATAAGGGGGTGGAGGAGAGGAGCCCCCACTGTCATCCCATGGAGCTCCCTGTGGCCACAGCCCTAGTTTCTTTGGGGGTCTTCCCTTGCCCCACTCCTGTGTAGAGGTTTGGCTGAAGCTCCGCCTCCAGCCAGAAGAGTGAAATCATGTGACGATGGCCTAAGCCAATCAGAGCTTCTCATTCCTAGCCACAGCAATTGGCTCAGAGGTTAGCACAGGACGGACCTAAGCGGGAGCAATCAGAGGAGACCTCAGGATTTTGATTCAAGCCAGGCCACACAAAAGGTATTTGCTTTTCTGCTAGATTTCTACCTGTAAAGATACCATCTGGGCCGGGCACGGTGGCTCACACCTGTAATCCCAGCACTTTGGGAGGCCAAGGTGGGTGGATCACTTAAGGTCAGGAGTTTGAGACCAGCCTGGCCAACATAGTGAAACCCTGTCTCTACTAAAAATACAAAAAAAAAAAAAAAAAAAAAAAATCCAGGCGTGGTAGCGCTCACCTGTAGTCCCAGCTACTCAGGAGGCTGAGGCAGGAGAATCACTTGAACCCGGGAGGTGGAGGTTGCAGCGAGCCAAGATCATGCCACTGCACTCCAGCCTGGGAGATAGGGTGAGACTCTGTCTCAAAAAAAAAAAAAAAAAGATACAGTCTGGTAGCTGTCTGCAGCCATGGTAGGACAGGACAACTTGTCAGAGACTGTGATCAGTATGGAGAATGCTAAGCCAAGTGATGGAAAGTCGGAAATAACATAAAAATACTGATTACTTCATTTGAGCCCCTGGATCCAGCCATCCCAGAAGCCAGGAAATCTCTTACAGTTCAGATATAGGAACCCCTAGATGTTTTCCCCCTTAACTCGGTTTGGGTCTGTTAACCAAAATCATCCTCTCAGATATAAGGGGTAATTTTACTGGATATCTTCACCAGCCCAGACCCATCGGTGCCACTCTTTCCACCAGCCTCTCAGGAAGGAGGACAAGAGGAGAAACATAAAAAACTTATAAAAATGAAAAACAGGCCGGGTGCGGTGGCTCACACCTGTAATCCCAGCACTTTGGGAGGCCAAGGTGTGCAGATCACTTGAGGTCAGGAGTTTGAGACCAGCCTGGCCAACATGGTGAAACCCATCTTTACTAAAAATGCAAAGAATTAGCTGGGCATGGGATTCATGCCTGTAATCCCAGCTACTCAGGAGGCAGAGGGGTCAAAGTGGGACAGGAATGATAGGATCTGGCAGGAGAAAAAACAAGAATAGAAGAACTGATTTCCAGAGCTACATCTTCCCCGAGGCTAACCAGACACCTGGGTCTCAAACTGGACTGTATCCCGTGCTTCATGAACCTGACCAGAAACTTTTCATCAATGCAGAGACCAGCTGCAAGGTCCGTGAGACTTAAAAACTTCTCTTTCCATTTAAGTGCACTCACATGGAGCCCTATTTGGCTCAAGTAAAATCTGACTCATCAGTAAATGGTCTTATGTTCCATAAAAGTCTTTTATTAGAACAGGATATTATCTGTAGCTTAAATCAGAGGGTCAGAACAACCTGATCTTTTTGGCCAGTTCTAGGCCAAAAAAGGTTTATCCATCAACCTTTCCTAGGAACGAATGTGTGGCATAGCTCCTACCAGTCAAAGGTTTTGATTCTGTGCTTCCCATAGAACTTTCTGTGATGATGGAAATGTCCCATATGTGTGCTGTCCAGTGTGGTAGACACTAGCCACATGTGACTAATGAGCACCTGAGATGTGGCTAGAGTGACTGAGGAGCTGAAATTTTCATTTTATTCCATTCTAACTAATTTAAATAGTCACACATGGTTAGCAGCTGTCATACTGGGCAGCGCAGCTATGGGTAAATCTTAATATCAGTCTATGATGACAGCATATTCCCATACTTGCCTGAGCCTGCTGGGAATCTGAGGCCATGTGGGCTTGGTGATCAGGCAGACCTGAGTTCGAATCCTGGCTCTGCTACTAATCAGCTGTGCGGCTTTGGGCCAGTCACTCAGCTTCTCTGGGCCTGAATTTCCTCATTTGTAAAATAAGACTTAGAGTAGTACCTGCCTCATCCTTTCTCGAGTGATCTACTTAAACCCCAAACCAGAATACCCTGCAGTGTCATATTGCTCTGAGAGTAAAACAAAATTCTGAACACAGACTCCAAGGCCTTGGACGACCTGGCCCTGCCTATTTCATGCATCTTAACGTTTTCTCTTCGTCTTCTTACTCTTCATCCTCCTTCATCCTGGCTGTTCTTTTGTTCCTTGGACTTGCAAAGCCTGTTCATACCCTGGGGCCTTTGCACTTGCTGTTCTTTCTGCTTGGACAGCTCTTTCCCAAGCTCTTGGCATTTAGATCTCAGCTCAAATGCTACCTCCCCAGAGAAGCTTCCATGATGGTTGACCATGAACTAGCCCTGTGAATCCTCTCCTCGTCCCATTACCCTCTTGGTTTTCTCCATAGCATCTACAATATTTGAAATGAACTTGCTTTTATGTTTGTTTACTTATATACTTTCTATCTCTGCTATTACAGATAAATTTGTGAAAGTGGGGTTCTGGCGCAGTTGGTTCATGACTGTATCCCCAGAGCATAGTACGTGCTCAATAAATATCCGTGAAGAGAATGAGGAAATCATAGCTTTGATGAAAGGATTATGACTGTAAAGACTATGGCTGTAAAGCAAGATGTTACTGGGTGTCAGGTCCACAAAGGCCCCAAATGTGCTTTCAGGGCTTTGCCTGGCCACTTGTGCTCCTATAAGCCACCATGAGAAGAATGTTCTCAAGGTGCTGCTGCCTTTTGCCACCAAAATGAGACACACAGAGCCAACCCAAACCCAAAACAAATCTGGATCCCAGCCCACACAACTGGCACACTGAGGCAGGGCTGCTCTACTTAACCCAGGGACCCCTGAGGGAGAAACCAGTGCTTGCTGTTGTTAAGTTACTGAGATGTCAGGTTGTTTTGTTATGCAGCATTATCACAGCAATAGCTGCCTAATGCAAGTCTAGCCTCCCAGTGATTAAATAAAGACCCAAGTCCACTAGCCAATACAGTGTGGAGAACTCTCTGCTTTGAACAGCTCTCAGCTCTCAGCAGAGCTTAGTGAATATTGCAGCTGCCATGACCCCCATTACCAGTGCTACCTGACAATTATTGAGCACTTAATATGTGCCAGGCGTGTCACCTGCCTTTTCTTTTTCAATCTTTGAGTAGCATCTATGCAATATGACTCTTAGGATCTCCATATCTGAGATAAGGACACTGAGGCTCAGAGAGGTTGACTTCCCCAAGATCACTCAGAAGATAAGTGACAGAAAGACATAACAGGAGTCTGTCTGAGGCCAAAGGCAGTGGCCTTTTCTTCCAGACTAAGTCACCACACCAGGCACTTTCATGGCAATGAGCGTCCTCCCACAGGAGACTGGAGACCCCGTGGTGTCTGCTCGGCCTAGGGCGGGACTTCTCAACCTCAGCATGATTGACATTTGGGGTCAGATAATTCTTTGTTGTGAGGGCTGTCCTGGAATCGCAGGATGTACAAGCAGCGTCCTTAACTTCTAACCACTAGATGCCAGCAGCCTCTGCTCCAGGTGTGACAACCAAAAATGTCTCCAGACATTGCTAGATGTTCTCAGGGGGTTCAGTCACCCCACAGAGAACCACTGGTCTAGGGCTGCCTGGGTAGGAGGAAGAGTTGACACAAAGGCATCGTCCTGCATGCTTGAGATGGATGACTGCGTTCAAACTCAAAACAATCTTCTGGGGTAGGCCTGGGGCTTCCCCCATTTTGCAGATGAAAGAACTGAGGCTTAAAGAAGAACTTGTCAGTGGCAGAGTTCAAGCTCTTAAGCATGCCATTTAAACTGCACTTTGAATCCCAGATGGAATGCGGGCACTAGAAGAGCCCCTCAAGGAATGAGCGTCCTTGCTTTACAGCAGGGACCCCAAGTCCACAAAGGGGCTACGGTAGGGCAATGTCACCCAGCTTGGCTTGGAGTCCGGGACTTCTGGATTCCAGGAATTTCTTTGTTCTCTTTAATTTTCTTTCATCTGAGAACCACCAAATGGCTCTTGAGGATAAAGACCTTCCAGAGTTTCTTCCAAAGCCCCTCAGCCATGACAAGAACAAATAGAAAACTCTCTTCTGCTGTCCTGCTGTTTAGGGAGGGATGCCACCCGAAAGCAGTAATGCATCCTGTAGATACCCTAAAAACTTAGGGCTGTTGCCAAAGAACTTCACACTCTCAAGGACTTGGAGCCTGCAAAATCAATAGTAGGTTCAGCACAGAGAAAGTTTAGTGCTGACGGGAGCCCAAGCTCAGGGCAACTATCAGGCTGTTGGCTGAGCAAGGTTGCTCTCCATGTGCCGGAGCTAACGCAGGCACCTTTGGTCACTGGGGAAAAGCCAGGCCTGCTTGTTGCCCAAATGCATTATTTTTAGCTCTGCACTGGGATCCATTAGCTAGTATCGTGCCCTGGAGGTCAGACAGGCTGCACTGGAAATTCAATAGATGAACTTTCTCTAATGATGCTTTAAATCTCAGCATCCCCACCCTGTCCTGGGCAGTGCCTAGCAACCCATGGCTGCAGGAGTCCTGCGGAAGGCACATGCAGGGCTGAGGACCAGGGTGGGGGCACCCAGGGGGCACAGGGTGGGGTATTGTGTGTCAGTGTCATTAGGGTGAGGGGATGTACATAGGGTGCTGTCCAAATAGGAGGTACAGCCAGGTACAGGCATTAATAATCATTATTTTCCTTGCTAACTGACTCCAGTGTCCCCTCCTTGAGGACCACCCCATCCCCAGCAGCCCCCACCTAAGCCCCTCTCCAGCAGTGTCCTATTCATGTCGCCCATCATCTCCGTAAGATTCTCATGCATTTTCTTATTATCTGCTTCTCTCTATCACTAGCATGCTGCTTCCTTGAGGGCAGGGACCGCTTCTGTTCTATTTAATTGCTGTGTCCCCCATACCAGAATGGTACCTAGAAAATGGCCGGCACATCTGTGTTTAATAGATTGTCATGTGACCTGTGAAAAACACGGACTGGATATTGCTAAATCTATGACACCACACTAAGAAAACCACTGCCAGGTAATCTGTGCCATGTCATCAACTGCAAGCAAGACACAGCTTTATGTCAAAGATGTTTTAAAGCTTGGACCCCATAGATGAGATCCTCTAAGATGGACACTTGGGCATTGCAAGCGCTTGTCCATATTGCATGTTTTTCTTCCTATTATTGTTCCTGGGGTTATTGTTGGGCAAGTCATGGCCCTTGGCCCTTCTCTAGGTGCTGCTCCTTCACCTCTTGAATGTGAATCAACAAAGAGGCCGACATCCAGGGTTCTCTCCCATTCAGATGTTATGACTCCTATTAACCTGCACATCGCAGACAAGACTCCTCAGCCCTTATCATACTTTTACACCGCACACTGGCCTGGCTTCATGTTCCAAGTGCTCCAAGGCAGCGATATTCATGATGCATTGTAAGGTGAGAGAAGGAATAGGCAGAAATGCATAAGGATATGGCTCTATTTCTGTAAGACAAACCAGGACTGAAAAGCCCTTATACATGTGTGTTGAATTGTGTAGACACATGTGTGTGAGCGTGTATGTGTATGTATGTAGATTTGCCAATAAGACAGTTTGTGGTTAACAAAAACAGTATGTATGATATCTTATTCTTTAAAAATTATCTGTATATGTGGGTATATGTGTGTAAGAAATGATTACCAAAATGTTTACAATGATTCTCTAAGGGTGATGGGAGTAAAGGTAGTTCTTTCTTTCTTAGAGTTTTCTGGAGCAATTATTATTGTAGACAAATTTTATACATTACTTATATAATCAGAAAAAATACCCACCAAAGTATTTCAGGGTGATTAAAAAGCCTACAAAAATAAATGAAACAAAATATGTATGTATATCGTCACTTGTATAGTTATCCTTGCTGGGAATGCAAATGTGAATCTAAATGAAGAAATACCAGGAAATCTTAAATGAGGAATATTTTATTTAAAAATTTAAAAAAAAAGGACTGTATTTCTCAAGAGTATTCTGTGCGTTAAAAGACAGGGCAATGCTAAGGACTTGCTTCAGCTTAAAGGAGGCTAGAGTACGTGACAATTAAATGTGCATGTGAGCCTGGATTGGATCTTGTACTGCAGAAAAATATGCTCCTCCACAAGACACGGTTGGCCAACTGACAAAATTGGAAAACAGAATATGGATTAGATAATATATTGTATCAACATTAAATTAACTGAAGTTGATGACTGTGGGTATGTAAAAGAATATTCTTATTCTTAGGAAATATACACTGAAGTAGTTAGAGTTAAAAGGCCTTGATATATGTAACTTACTCTGAAGTGGTTCAGCAACAAATCTATCTATCTATCTATTTATCTATCTATCTATCTATCTATCTATCTATCTATCTATCTATCTTCTATCTATCTAAATCTACCATCTATCTAATCTATCACTTATCTATCTAACCTATTACCTACCAATAATCTATTAATCACCTATCTTATCTATCTATCTCCCTTCCTCCATCTGTCCACCCACCCATCTATTCACATATCCACCTATCCATCCATCTATCCATCTACCTGCCTATCTGTCTATCTGTCTATCTAGAGGATGGGAAGAGAGAAAGAGAGAGAGAGACTGAAACTGTGAAAAAGCAAATGGGTAAATATTGACAACAGTAGAACCTCAGTAAAGGGTATATAGTATACTTTGTCCAGTCACTGCAACCTTTGAGATAAGTTTGAAATTCCAAATAAAAAGTAAAATGTTAAGCAAAATTTGAATGTACAGAGACTATATAGCCTAATGGTCAAGAGCTTTTGGCCTTCTAGTTAGAATCCCTTCTCTGCCATGTACAAGTTGCGTGACCTCAGGCAGGTGGCCTCCATTTGCTGAGCCTCAGTTTTTTTCTACTATAAGACAGAATTAATAATAGCGATAATGCAGATGTTATGAGTAGTAAATGAGTTGGTATGCAAAATAAAGTCTCGCATGTTTACCTCTTCTGTTTGGCTGTGAGTCCTGAGAGGTTCACCTTCTTCATCTGCTTTTTCCTTACCAAAATCACAGAACCTTAAATGTGGTAGTTGGTTAATAAATGTTGGCTGAATGAAATTGAGGAGGAAAAGAGGAAGAAAGAAAACAAAGAAGGAAAGAATGAAGGAAAGAAAAAGGAAAAGTGAGGAAGCAAAATCATAAAACCCAAGTCCTCCTGCTGAATCTCAGCCTCCACATTTACACATTGGGTACTGTCCCATCTACACACATTCAAGTGCTTACACGGGCCAAGCAGATAATGGAAGTGGACCAAACATAAGGCAACTGTGATAAATCAGAAGGTGCCGGTGGGAGCTAAGCTCTGAGGATGCAAATGCATTAGAATGATACAATGGACTTTGGGGCCTTGGGGGGAATTTTGGGGGCGGGAGGCAAGGGATAAAAGACTACAAATATGGTGCAGTGTATACTGCTCGGGTGATGGTTGCACCAAAAACCTCACAAATCACCAGTAAAGAACTTACTCATGTAACCAAATACCACCTGTACGCCAATAACTTATGGAAAAATGAAAAAATAAATAAAGGGCACCCCACAGTGTTGCCAGGTGAGCACACTGTAGCTCTGCCAGATCTGCTGGATTTTCCCAATAAGCTGGAGAGGAAACCCTCAGATATGACTCGTGAGAATGCAAAATGGTATAGCCACTTTGGAAAAAAGTTTGGCAGTTTCTCAAACATTAAATGTAAGGTTACCATATGACCAAGCCATTCTACTCCTCTGTATCTACTCAAGAGGAATGAAAATGTATGTCCACACAAAGGCGTGAATGTGAATATTCATTGCAGCATGATTCATAAATGGATGAAACATCTGAAAAGTGGAAACAACCCAACTGAGTGAATGGATGAACACAATATGGTATATCCATACAGTGGAATACTATTCCGCAATAAAAGAAACAAACTACTGCCCCATGCTACCATGTAGATGAGCTTCGAAAACAACGCTAAGTGGAAAAAGTAGACACAAAAGACCATGTACTGTATGATGCCATTCATGGGAAATGCCCACAGCAGGCAAATCTATAGAGACAGAAACCAGCTTAGTGACTGCCAGGGGCCAGGGATGGGAATGGGGATTAACTGTGACAAAAATGTTATAAAATCGGATCATGGTGATGGTTGCCAAACTTAGTATAATTTACTAAAAATCACTGAATTGTACATTTGAAGTGAGTTGCATCCAATTCTTACATTTTTAAGCAACACTGTGCATATCACACAAATATACTTGGAAGCCTCCAGTCTTAATCCCTGATCTACCTAATCAGAGGATTACATGAGATGACCAGAGTTGACTCTGAGTTATTAAGCCCTTACTATATGCTGGCTACTAGGTCATGTTCTCTGTTGCATTTATAAAACTGATTAATCCTCATGCTGACCTTTTGAATTAGGAACTATGCTTATCCTCACTTTACTAAGAAGGAGACTGAGTACTGGAGGGAACGCTGTATGATTCACTCAAGGCTGCACAGCTTGAATGTGGCAAAGCCATCAGGAATTCTTCGGGAGACATTCTCCATGATATGCTTGCATTTCAGCACATTGTACAAACAGAGCATAGACTATTTTTGTTCTGAAAGGTCTTTTCAAAGTGTTTTATATAGTGAACAGTCTTGGAAGACAGACAGTGCCTTCTTCTGGAGCTTCAGGCCCAGTATGATAAAGGCATTGTCTCTTTGGGGAGGTCAGGCAGGCTTCCTGCCTGTCTTAAGTCAGGTTGGCCTGCTTTAACAGAATACCGTAAGTCAGGTGGCTTAAACAACACACACACATTTATTTCTCACAGTTCCGAAGACTGGGAAGTCTGAGATCAGGATGCCAGAATTGCTGGGTTCTACTGAGAGCCCTCCTGGCTTGCGGACTGCTGCCTTCTTGCTATATCCTCACATAGTAGAGAGACAGCAAGCTCTGGTCTCTTTTCCTCTTCTTATAAGAGTACTACTGCCATCGTGGGGCTCCACCCTCATTGAAGCCTAATTACCTCCTAAAGGCCCTACCTCTAATACCATTGCATTGGGTGTTAAGGGCTTCCACATATGAATTCAGGGTGGGACACAAACATACAGCCCATGATAAAAGATGCACATTCTCGAAGGCCAGCATTCCTCTCCTGAAACCCGATCCACTACATGTGCAAGTGTCACTGGCCTCTTCTGCATAAGCCAGTGGGAACTGAAGCCCAGGCAACTGGTGCAGAAAGATGCTGATACAGTGACTGTCATTTGTCTCTGACCTCGGGGTCTTGTGTCTTCTGCCAGCATCCACAAAACTGTGACAGTTTGATTTGCCAGTTTACACTAGGGTGCAATCTCAGAGCCTTCAGAATTCTTGACAGAACTCTGAACTGCCTAAATCCAAAACCTCATGGGCCTGCTGCAGACTAGGCACTGATTAAATGTCAATTCCCTCCCCATCTTCTCTCCATGGCATTCTGAGCTGTACCCAACTAGCACTGAAAATATCATTGATCTCATCAGACCCAAGGCCACAGCCAAGCCTGGGTCCTATGGACTGTGCTCATGTACACTGAGCCTGCCTGCTCTGATGTCCTCACCCAGTTTCTGCTGACTCAAGATTTCACATTGCTTTGTCAACAGCCAGGGGTATCAACTCTGGATTCATTTCAGGAGGCAATTTTCTGTTTGAATACATTTATTTCCCTAAAGATACTGATTATAATTCCTGGAGATATTAGTAATGGACTTCCTGTCAAAATTGTCTTAAGAGTAGTTAAGGATTGCTATGTATACAGCTGTGATAAATTTTGGGTTGTTTCCCTCTTGGTTTTTGTAGGCTGAAAGGTTATTTACCTCTAGAAAAGTTATCAGTACTGGAGGTGTCTTATCAACACGTTACATTCATCAAGTGTTCTGGCTTTTAGGGGGCTTGCAAATCAGTGACAAAGGCCAGTGACCAACAAGGACCTGTGCTGTCCACTGTGGGAGCCACAAGCCACACATGGCTATGAAGCACTGGAAATGGGGCTAGTTTCGATTTCAGTGTGCTGTTAGTATAAAACACATACTAGATTTCAAAGACTTAGTGTAAAAAAAAGTAAAATATTTCATTATTAATGTTTATATAGACTACATGTAGAAATGGTAAAGTTTTAATATAATGGGTTAAACACAATGCATTATTACAATTAAATTCAACTTTTCTTAAAACTTTTTTTGAATGTGGCTATTAGAAAATTTAAAATTTCATATGTGGCTCACATTGTGTTTCCATTGGACAGTGTGATTTAGAACTTCATCCCCCTTTTCCTCTTCCTCCCATGGGCTTTGTGGTCTTTCTGTTAAAGCACTCTGTATTGAAGGCCACCACCAGGTCATATATCACTTCCGGGTAAATTAGGGAAAAAAGCCCTTTCTTGAGATACTACCTCCAACAGTCAGAAGAATCGTCATAGTATATGGATGTTGCTGGAATGTTTACTGCCACCTACTGGAATGCTGTCATGGTTGAGTGTGGACGTCGCTGTGTGATGGTGGCGCTGAGCCCAGTGGACAGTCTAGCATGGTGGTCTATTGCTTGTTCTGGGGGTGGGGTTTGCAGAGAAGTGTTTTTCCATGCCATTTATCCACCTCAACAGTTTGTAAACTTCTCTTCTACTCAGACATGGAGTTTTAAACACCAGAGAGAAGGCTGGTTGCTATCTGTCAGACTTGATTTGAGGGAAACAAAAATCACTACCCGAATGCTTTTTTTGATATTTGTTTTTTCCTGGATGTGTTTCCAGGGTTTACAGAAAAATACAGAGAGAGACAAAATGCTTCATTTCTGGCTTGGTAAAGCCCTCACATCGCCTTATTCTTTAAGCAAGCATTGTGGTGTAGCATCATGACTAATGATGGGAAACACCAGGAATTGCAGTTCTTCCTCCAAAAAACTTAAGACTCTAGAGCACACATTACTCTAGGCAAGCCGTTTCTGGGAAGAGCAAAATGCTGGATATTTTAGACTTTCTAAGCCATATGTTTTCTGTCAACTACTCAATTCTCCTGTGGTAGCCCCCAAAGCAGCTACAGGCAAAATGGAAGTGAATTTGAGTGGCTATGTCCCAATAAAACTTTATTTACAAAATAGGCAGTGACTAGGTTTGGCCCATGGCTCATGGTTTGCCAACCCCTACTCTTTAAGGGTGCTTTTAAACAGTTACCCCATCGGCCAACCCACAGCACAAATGTATTTTGTTTTTTATTTTTTTGCCCATTAAAAAAAATTAGAATTTGCTGCTAACCTTGAAAAACAAGGTTGTTGCTTTTTTTAACCAGAAATCTAGATTTTCCGTTCTTTTGGAGACATAAAATACTGAAATCCCACTACCTCATGACCACAGCTGGTTATAGCAATTTCCTTGCTGGGAAAGACAAAGAGCAGAATCTTGGCTGCTCTTCTAGAATAGGCAGAACCAATTTACCACTTCACTTATTGAAGTTACCTGCTTAGCTACAGTAGGCATTCAGAGTTTGACCCATAGTCCAAAGCACCACTGATGGTCTATCAAGGGATGAGTGGGTAAAGAGAATGTGGTGTATAAACACAATGGAAGACTGTTCAACCTTAAAAAAATAAAGAAATCCTATTATTTGTTAGAACGTGGACGAACCTACAGGACATCATGTTAAGTGAAGTAAGCCAGGCACAGAAAGACAAACACTGCACGATCTCACGTACATGTGGAATCTAGTGAAGTTGAACTGATAGGAGCAGAGATAGAATGGCAGTTACCAGGGGATGGGTAAGGGGACAGTTGTGCAGATATTGGTCAAAAGATACAAAATATCAGTTAGACAGGAGAAGGAATATGTTCAAGCAATTTTTTGGTATAATATGCTACATTTAGTTACTAATAACATATATATATATTATTTGAGATGGAGTCTCGCTCTGCCACCCAGGCTGGAGTGCAGTGGCACGATCTCAGCTCACTGCAACCTCTGCCTCATGGGTTCAAGTGATTCTCCTGCCTCAGTCTCCCAAGTACTGGGATTACAGGTGTGCACCATCACACCCAGCTAATTTTTGTATTTTTAGTAGAGATGGGGTTTCACCATGTTGGCCAGGCTAGTCTAGAACTCCTGACCTCAGGTGATCCACCCACCTCAGCCTCCTAAAGTGTAATAATATATTCTTGAAAATTGCTAAGAGAGTAGATTAAGTTCTCATCACATAAAAAAGATAAGTATGTGAGATGTGAGGTTATGCATATGTTAATTATTAGGTTGGTACAAAAGTAATTGTGGATTCTGCCATTTAAAAGTAATGGCAAGAACCATAATTACTTTTGCATTGGCCTAATAGCTCAATTTAGCCATTCCATAATGTATATGTATTTTAAAATAATATGTTGTGCATTATACAGGTATATGCACACACACAATTTTTAATTGTCAAATAAAGGAAGAAAGACAGGAATGAACCAAAAACCCTAACCAGGTTGGCATGATGTGAAAACAAAGAGATGGCAATGGACACGTTGAGTGGATCAGCTGGAAGTGTGTTGCACATAAGCCTCTGTATAGTTGAACGTCATGTATTTCAGTCTAAATGTCCCTAGCAAACGGGATGTCCAAGTGAAGTTCCCACCGGTTCCATCCAGCTGGCTGTGGAATGACTTACTTTGATAACGTCCTCGTCTGTGGACTTGCACTCCACCGACTCTGAGATGTCCATCACGGCACTGTTCTCCTCCACAGAGACCACCTTGATAGGCATGGCAACTGTCTTTCCTGTGAGTACGGCGGTGTTCAGAATTTCAGTGTCCTGCCAAAAAGAATCAAACACACTGGGTCAAGGGAGATATTCCATTCTGTTGGGAACTGGACAATTCTAGGGGGAATCTCCCAGGGTAAACACCAGGCTGTCCTTGTTTGTACAAGACACACTGTACCATTTACATACTGTACCAGGACTTGGAATAAAGGGCTATTCTTTGGAACAATTTACCAAGAATGTTTAACAGTTTACTTTTAGTTTATTTATGATCATATTTCTAGTTTTCAACAACAATCAAAAAGTATTTATTCTTTTTCTTTATTGCAGAGACCAAGTGGAAGTAATACATCAGTTAGGTTTGGTTGTAAGCAACAGAAACTAACCCTGGGTACCTTGAGCAAGCACAGTAAGTTGAATAATGCTTTCCTCTCACCTCCTGCAAAAGATATCCATGCTCTAATCTCCGGGATTTGTGAATGTTACCTTACATGGTAAAAGGGACATTGCAATTGTGATTGAATTAAGATCTTAAGATGGAAGAATTATCCTGGATTATCTAGGTGGATCCAGTCATCCTAAAGTCCTTATAAGAGGGAGCCATGAAGGTCAGAGGAGGAGGAGGAGATGTTGCAGTGGAGGCAGAGGTCAGGGTGATATGGCCATGAGCCAAGAGATGTGAACAGTCTCTAGAAGCAAGCTGGAGAAGGCAAGGAACAGATTTTCCCTGAGAGCTTCCAGAAGGAGTGCAGCCCTGCCAACATCTTAACTTTAGCCCCTTAAGACTCACTTCAGACTTCTGTCCTCCAGAAGTGTAGGATGATACATTTGTGTTAATTTGTCATCGCAGCATCAGGAAACTAACACAGATCCTTACGGGCTAGATCCTGGATTGCTCCCAGCAACAAAAGAAGAGCTGAAGAAGGTTTTGCAAAGTCCAGATCACCTTCAAGGATACTAAAAGCAGGAAATAATGGGCTGTGTCTCCCAAATAAGGTGGAATGAATGTCTTCAACCATTACTTTCTTTTTCTTTTTTACTTTATATATAAGGGAAATTTATTGGCTCATGTACCTGAAATGCCTATAGCATGGGATATGATTGTGTTCAGAGGGCCAAACAATGTCTTATATGCTGTCAATTTTCTTGACATCTTTTTTCCCCCTTCATCTCCCCTTCCCTCATCTTCAACCATTCCTATTCTTTTTTCTTTTTTTTTGATATGGGGTCTCGCTATGTTGCCCAGGCTGGTCTTGAACTCCTGGCCTCAAGTGATCCTCCCACCTTGGCCTACCAAAGTGCTGGGAACATAGGCAAGTGTCACCATGCCCAGATCATTTTAATTTTTTACTTTTCTTGTAGAGACAGGATCTTGCTATGTTGTCCAGGCTGGTCTTGAACTCCTAGCTTGAAGCGATCCTCCTGCCTCAGTCTCCCGAAGTGCTGGGATTACAGGCATGGGCCACCGTGCTTGGCACCTTCATTTTTTAAAAAATGAAGACTAAAGCAAAGCAAAGTGCCTTCCTCTGTTGCTCCATGGGAGCCCATTCCATCATAGTCAATGGGGACTTTGATTTATCCTGCTCAGACGACTTCACGCAAAACTATTAGTGTCACACCTCTCATGTATGTTGTGATCTGCCAGGTGATGACGAAAATACCTTCTGTTTGATTTTGTAGGATACTACCTGATTGCCTTTTTATAATTCTTTTCTTTATGGACAGATGAAAATGAAAAAGGGCCTTGGCTTTGGGACATCTAATGATGCCAGTTTCTCACAAAGTCCCTTTCCAGAAACACTGCTCTGGTGTGAAGCAGGAGGTGGAAAAAGATTTTCTCCGTTCTTTCTCCAGGGAAGCAATTGACACAAAAATGACCTTTTGCATTAAACAAGGGCGCAGCTAAAAGAGTTATGAGTTTTAAGTAGAGCCTCGGCCTCTCTGTGATGCTTTTGCATCAGCCAGCAGTTACCACCCTCGGCTGTGTCTTCTCCTGGGTCCGTGGGATTCCTGGAGCTGGGCTGCAATCCAGGCAGCTTGCACAATGTCTATTATGGAGGCTAAGAATACTTTAGAAATTCCCCAGGTCTATTTTCAGGTTCATTACAGGTAATGTGCTTGGAGTTCAGTCTTTACATTTTCTCTCTCAGAATGGTCTTTGGCTAATGGCTTCATTAAAGCAGTACATTCCCTCATGGATTGTGATTAGTTTTCTAACGGCTGTTGCAACTACACGCACACATGCGCACACACACACATGTTCACACACTCTACCTAACACTCCCTGTCCCTAAATTGCACTCCACCAAAATTAAGATGGGTTGGACATATATGTATATGTGTATGTATATATATCTCTATCTCTATCTCTATCTATATCTGTATCTATATATATTTTGAGACGGAGTCTTGCTCTGTCGCCCAGGCTGGAGTGCAGTGGCGCGACCTCGGCTCACTGCAAGCTCCGCCTCCCGGGTTCACGCCATTCTCCTGCCTCAGCCTCCCGAGTAGCGGGGACTACAGGCACCGGCCACCACGCCCGGCTAATTTTTTGTATTTTTAGTAGAGATGGGGTTTCACCGTGTTAGCCAGGATGGTCTCGATCTCCTGACCTCGTGATCCACCTGCCTCGGACATATATATTTTTCACTGACCAATATCAATTTCAGGAGCAGAGAATTAATAGTCATAGAAATAACAAATGATAAAAGGAAACTTTGGCCTCCAGAATAAACTGGCTGTGACATGGAGGAAGTTCCCTGTATTTAAAACCACTCTTCTGACTGGTAGTTTGGTGTCTATGAAGTGGTGGGCCCTGGAGTCTGGACTCCTGGATTCCGCTCCTTGCTTTCCCATTAACTTCCTGTGCAATCCTGATCACATATCATATCTCTTGGAATCTTTGTTTCCTCATTTTACAAATTAGCAGGGGTTGGGCTATGTCATCTATCTTTTCGACTGTTGAATCCTAGACTGTCTTAGTTCATTCAGGCTGCTATAAGAAAATAGCATAGACTGGGTAGCTTCTAAACAGCAGAAATTTGTTTCTTACAGTTCTGGAGGCTGGGAAGTCCAAGTGCAAGATTCAGTGTCTCATGAAGGCAGAGAGAAAAAAATGTGTGTGTGCCTGTGTGTGTGAGTGCCTGCGTGTTTATGGGTACATGTGCCTGTGTGTATGTGTGTGCCTGTGTTTGTGTATGAGTGCCTGTGAATGTGTGTGCCTGTGAATGTGTGTGTGCCTGTGTGTGTGGGTGCCTGTTTATGGGTACATGTGCCTGTGTGTATGTGTGTGTGTGCCTGTGTTTGTGTATGAATGCCTGTGAATGTGTGTGTGCCTGTGTGTGTGGGTGCCTGTGTGTTTATGGGTATGTGTGCCTGTGTGTGTGTGCCTGTGTGTTTGTGTATGAGTGCCTGTGTTTGTGTATGAGTGCCTGTGAATGTGCGCCTGTGAATGTGTGTGTGCCTGTGTGTGAGTGCCTGTGTGTTTACGGGTACATGTGCCCGTGTGTGTGTGTGTGCCTGTGTTTGTGTATGAGTCCCTGTGAATGTGTGTGTGCCTGTGAATGTGTGTGTGGCTGTGTGTTTATGGGTACGTGTGCCTGTGTGTATGTGTGTGTGTGTGCCTGTGTTTGTGTGAGTGCCTGTGAATGTGTGTGTGCCTGTGAATGTGTGTGTGCCTGTGTGTGTGAGTGCCTGTGTGCTTATGAGTACATGTGCCTGGGTGTATGTGTGTGCCTGTGTTTGTGTATGAGTGCCTGTGAATGTGTGTGTGCCTGTATGTGTATGTGTGTATGCCTGTGTGTTTATGGGTACATGTGCCTGGGTGTGTGTGTGTGTGTGTGTGTGCCTGTGTTTGGGTATGTGTGAGTGCCTGTGTGCATATGGGTGCATATGCCTGTGTGTGTGTGTGCGCCTGTATTTTTGCGCCTGCATTTGTGTATGTGTGAGTGCCTGTGTGCATATGGGTACCTGTGCCTCTGTGTGTGTGTGCGCCTATGTTTGTGTGTGTGTGAGTGCCTACGTGTATGGCTACATGTGCCTGTGTGTGCCTGTATTTGTGTATGTGTGAGTGCCTGTGTCTGTGTGTGTGTGCACCTGTGTTTGTGTATGTGTGTCTGTGTGCACATGGGTACATGTGCCTATTTGTGTGTGTGTGCCTGTTTGTGTATGTGTGAGTGCCTGTGTGTGCGTGTGCCTGTTTGTGTATGTGCGAGTGCCTATGTGTGTGCGAGCCTGTGTGTATAGGTATGAGTGTCTGTTTACATATGGGTGCATGTGCCTGTGTGTGTGTGTGCCTGTTTGTGTATGTGTGAGTGTGTGCATATGGGTACATGTGCCTATGTGTGTGTGAGTGCCTGTGTGTGTGCCTGTGTATGTGTGAGTGCCTGTGTTTGTGTATGTGAGAGTGCTTATGTGTGTATATGTATGAGTGTGAGTTCCTGTGTGTATATGTATGAGTGCCTGTGTGCATATGGGTGCATGTGCCTGTGTGTATGTGTGAGTGCCTGTGTGTATGATATTGATGTGGCAGGCCTACAGAGTTCTTTGCATCTGGTTGCACCTCTCAAATACCTTTTTAGTTGAGGCCAATTCACAGCAATATGCCTAGCACACTATTTATGTGTATACAATTGTTCTGTCTTCTGAGACCCACCTAAACCCCCGCGGGACCAAGAAGAACACATCATGTGCATGGCTGGCTGGCGGTGGATGCCGCTTCCCTTTATGCTGCTGCTTAGCACTGCTCGGAAGAAGGCTTACACTGCTAGCTGCCTTTCCTCTGGCCCCATCCGGCTCTGATGAGTTTAGCATCACAGAAGGCAGCCTGCTTCCTGAAAGCACACAGGTGTACAATTCCTGCCGACCCCAGTAGGTGTTAGAGACCGCTTATCAACACTGTCTCAAGGCCTCAGAACACGACAAAGGCATAACTATGACTTGGAAGCTTTTTGTATTATTAAATGTTTTTTCTCTCCTTTTACCTTGCTCTGAAGCCCTCCACCCACCTCCGTCATAAATCAGAGAACTGTTCTGTTTTGCTGAAAATAATCAATAAGGTAGGGTTCTTTAAATCATGGTCATTTCAAATTTGAAAAAAGCCAGAGGCTTCTGAGAAAACACATTTTTGTTGTTTGATTTACCCTCATAAATGTAAATTAGTTTGGCCATTTTCTAGGTGAACTATATTTTTAACTTTTAAATAAATAAGAACATGGAATTACTTCTGGAACGACTTCATGGAACACACACAGGCATGTGTGTGTGCCTGTGTGAGTGCCTGCGTGCATGCGTGTGGGTGCGTGTGCCTGTGCGCATGTGTGTGTGCCTGTGTGAGTGCCCGCGTGCGTGCGGGTGCGTGTGCCTGTGTGCGTGCGTGTGGGTGCTTGTGCCTGTATGTGTGTGTGCCTGTGAGTGCCCGCGTGCGTGCGTGTGGGTGCGTGTGCCTGTGTGTATGCGTGTGTGCCTGTGTGAGTGCCCGCGTGCGTGCGTGTGGGTGCATGTGCCTGTATGTGTGTGTGCCTGTGTGAGTGTCCGCGTGCGTGCAGGTGTGTGTGCCTGTGTGCGTGCATGTGGGTGCTTGTGCCTGTATGTGTGTGTGCCTGTGTGAGTGCCTGCGTGCGTGCATGTGGGTGGGTGTGCCTGTATGTGGGTGCATGTGCCTGTATGTGTGAGTGCCTGTGTGTGCATGATATTGATGTGGCAGGCCTACAGAGTAGGCACTCGCACATATACAAACACAAGCACACACACATACACACACGCATACATGCAGGCACACGTACCTATACATAGAAGTAATTTCATGAAGTCATTCCAGAAGTAAATCCATGTTCCTTAACACGGAAGTGTTAAAAAGACTCGGAAGTGTGAATAGACTGAAATATGTTAGGGGAGTTTGACTCACTGGCCACAGAGATGGGGGATTTGTCCCAGGAATGGGTGTAAAACGCCCCACCTCGAATATCCCCCAAGGGTTCTCCTGCAGAGTAGAAAAGAGTGAGGAAATGTATTACATCCACACAACGGAAGACTATTCAGCCACAAAAAGGAATGCATGCATGCAACAACATGGATGGATCATGAACATGTTGTGTGAGGTGAAACAAGGCCAACACAAAGGCCCCATATTACATGGTCCTACTCATACGAAATGTCCACACCAGGCAAATCCGCAGACAGAACGGCATTAGTGGTGGTCAGGCGCTGCAGGGATGGGGAAGGGAAGTGACTGGTAATGGGTACGACGTCTCCTTTTGTGGTGATGCACGTGTTCTGAAATTAGATAGGGATGATGGTTCATAACCTTGCAAATACTAAGAACCACTGACCTGTATATTTTAAAACAGTACATTTTATGGCATGAGAATTATATCTCTATAAAAAAGAAAGGAAAGAGTGTGGGATGGGGCTGGAGCCATGGAAAGGCCACATCAGGCTCAGATCCGGCTTTCGATTCTGGGCTCCCGCGTGGCCTCAGACAAGCCAATGATCTATCTCTACCCACAGCTGACTGACCCTGGACATGGGACTAAGAACAGACACATTCGTGGCTCAGAGACCAGACGTCTGCCTAGTAAAGCAACTTTGGGGGTTTAAATTTCATGAGGGTCTGGAGAAAGGGTGAGCTTAATCTAAAATGTCCCAGAGAGCAGCAAACAACCTCTCTCAATCCATGTGGCTGGGAGTCAAGAAGAGGTAGTAGTTAATAAAAAGGAAAAAAAAAGCCAAGTCACATTTGAGGAGCTCTTGGCATGTGCTAGGTGTTGCTACTATTCTCACCGCTACCCCAAACCCATGAAGCGGGTAGTTGTGTTATCCTTAGTCTATGGATGGGGAAACTGAGGCATGGAGCTGAGTGACTGACTTGTCTGGGGACATAGCCCATACATGATTCAGCCACATTTGAATGTCGAGCCCAGGGCAGGAGTATATGTTCTTGACCACAACTTCTCGGCAGGTCAAGAGCAAGGACCTGAGAGAGAATTGCCTTAAATCCTGGCTCTGCCCTTTTCTTGCTATTATTTAAATGCTCCAAGCATCAGATTCCTTGACTGTGAACTCCCAGAATAATTAGGGTTGTTGTGAAGATTAAATCAGATAATGTTTATGGATTGCCTGTCAGGGTTTGGAACAAAGTCCAAGTTGACTCAAAGGGCAGCTATTAAACATAAATGTGAAGTGTCTCGTATAAGGCAATTGGTGGCTGGAGGGAGGCCAAATTCACCCACTTCAATCTCTCTTTCTCTCTGAAAATTGGGGCTGTGCAGGGGGAGGAATAGAAAATAAAATAAAAACAAGTCAAGCACATAGCAGACATCCAAACACATTTAAAATGTATTTATGTTAGCACTTTTTGTATTCTTTTCAGATTTTTTTTCTTTTACAAAAGAGAAAACATGGCTGATAACTTTAAAATCTCCTCTGTCATTTTTCCAGTCCTGATCCTCAATTTCCCTCCCTAGTGGCAATCACTGTCAGGATTTGGCATGTATCTTTCCAGTTTGTGATTCTTATACTTTAACCAAATATCCATATTTATGTAAAGAAAATATGGTATTGTCTTTTGCTTTTATGTTTTATACAAAAGCACGTTTTACATAGTTTATGTAAATATATCATATTGTACTTTCATCAACCTGTGTTTTGTTTTTCAAAACACTCAACATTATGTTTTTATGATCTATCCCTGTTTGTATAGCTGGAGCATTTATTCCTATTTAGATCCATATTTACATACTGATTGAATTCATTTGTCTCAAAACTGACTAAATTCCATTGTGTGCCTTTTCTATATTTTACTTTTCCATTCTCTTACCCATGGAAACTTACAGTGTTTCAAATTCTTTGCCTTTGCAAATAACTGAATCCCTCCATGTGCATATGTATCCAGGGTTTTTTTTTTTTTTTAGCATCTTCTCATCCCAGAAGTGAAATTGCTGGGTTGAGAGGGTACACATTTTCCTCTTTGATCCTGCTATTTGGTGCTTCCAAGCAGTTGTCATCATACACTCTGAGCAGCAGCGTGTGAGGCCGTCCTTCCCTGAGACCCTGGCAAACCCCCATGATTACGTATCCCTTGGCCAGGTGATGGTTCCAGCTGGTCAACTAAACATTAACCTAGCTGTTGCTGTGATGGGATTTTGTAGATGTGACTAATGCTCATAATCAGCTGACTTTATTTATAAAGGAAGTTATCCTGCATAATCTGGGTGGGCCTGATCCAATTGGTTTGAAAGGCATTTAGAAGCAGAGCTGAGGCTTCCCTGAACAGGAAGAAATCTTGCCTGTGGACAGCACTTCAGTTTGTGCCCCAAAGATCCAGGCTGCCCTTCATGACAGTTTGTCCATGACACATAGCTATATCTGTCTATCTATCTAGCCTATCAATCATCTGTCTATCTATTTATGTGTCTATCATCTATCCAATCTATCTTCTATCATCTATCTAATCTGTCATCTATCTAGTCTGTCATCTATGTATTATCTATCTTACCTCTCGCTATCTAATCTATCTTCTTTCTGTCTCCTATCTGTCTATCTGTCTATCTACCTACCTACCTACCTCCCTCCTCATCTTGTTTCTCTGGTGAAACCTGCTGTTTTACCAGCCTCTTTATTTTAGATATTTTGGTGGGTAGGGTACCATTTACTTCCCTATTACTGTAATTACCGTGCCTGGCTCACGGTGGCCGTGGAGGTTCAGGGCTTGTGGACTGCAGAGACCTGAGAGCCCTAAGGCCTGGCTTTGGGCCAGTCCACGATGCCAAGGTCGTGGGCACATGGGCAAATGGGGCTTGGCAAGCCGTTTTCTTCTTTGAGGAAGCTGATCCCCATCCTTGAACTATATGCTGGGAAAGTGACTGCATAAAGTGTCTGGGAACCACAAACAACAAGTGGGAAGCCCATAGAGAAAGCAGGAATTAGCCTGCCTTACACTTTGCTATGAAAATTTGGCCCTTCTAAGTGGATCAAAGTGGACTTAAGAGGCGTTTCTAGCCGTGCAGGTTAAACTAGTTGGCCGCACATCTCAAAGGAGACCCTGCAGGAACTCCCAGTGGTTGTGCCCAGACCTTACATTCTCATTCCCAAGTTTAATTTCTGGGAAGAAACTTCTCCTATAGAACTGGCTATTTTAAAGCAAGTTATAAGTCATCCCATTTTTGAGCACCAGAATCAGAGAGGAAAGGGGTTCCTCAGCCCACCTGGACGAGGAGGAATGACTTGCCCAGGGCCACACAGCTGGACAGTGACACCATCTTCCTTTCATTTCTTTTATCCACCACACCTGCCACCTCTCTCAAGCGTGTTTTCTCTGAGGTGGAGCCGACCTTTGGTGTCGACAGCAGCATGCATTACGTGCCAGATTCTCTTTAAGCGCTTCGTGTATCCCAGCTCCCTGAACCCTTGGAGGGAGACTCTGTTCTCACCCTGATTTGAAGGGTGAAGAGACGACGTCAAGAATGCCAACTAACTCACTCAAATTCACAAAGCCAGCAGCGCGGTGGAGCTGAGATATGAACCCCAAGTGAGAGGTCCAGCCCCTGGTTCTTACTCTTTGCACAAGACAACCCTCTAGAAAACAAGCCCACCAGTGGGGGTTGTGGGAGTGGACGAGTGGCCCTGAGGGCCTGTCTCACCCTGGACTGGAGAAGCCACTGGACAGTGGGACATGGACATTTTTCATTTCTCTCCAGACCCATTCTGACATCGCTGACTCTTAAATCTATCTATCCAATCCGTCTTCAATCATCTATCCAAGGACACTTAAGGACGCTTAATCCAAGTGTCCTTCCTTCCATCTGTAGCCAGAGAAGCAGTCCATTCCTGTGAGTGCCTCCCAAATCCATGGATTTTCTTCCCTGCCACCTGTCTCTGAGGGAGGAATAACTGGGCGAATGCTCCCCCTCCACACGTACAGACGTCCACAGAGCTCAGGGTGTCTTGCTTGGTCTCCTCTGGGGGCTTGCGGAGCTGACTGCAGACCAAAAGTTTCACATTTTCCTTGAGGAAGGCAACTAATAGGGAAATCTACTATTCACTAATTCAAAGTAGATGCTGAGAACAGAGATGGCAACCATGTGCTGCTTCTCAGAATGAAGAGAAAGATGGATTGAATTTCTGTGGGGAGAGCAGGTGTCTGTAATGGCTTCACAGACGTCTTTCACATCCCATTAGATTTTGCAGACTGATGAATAAGACACAGGAGCCAATTCCTGTCCATGGCAAGTTTTTATGTAAATTTGTTAGCCAAGAATGATTTTTACATTCTCAAGGCTTTTAAAAAAAAGAAAGAAAAGAAAAACAATATGCAACAGAGACTGTGTCCTGCAAAACTGAAAATATTTACTATCTAGCCCTTTATGGAAAAACTTTGCTGATCCCTGAACAAGATCATTTTTCCAACAGGAAGGGCCCTCTTTCCTCCAAAGGCCTCTTTTAGTCTTCAAGTTTCAGGCCATTCTCTCTGGTAGAGCCATGGAGTCATCTTCCTTTTGCAGAAGCTAACTCCTGTCCTTATTGCTTTCTCCTCTTCAGTGGTTACAGCCTCTGATCCACCATGCTTCCAGTGGGACTTCAACATCAGCATGATGGCTTCCTCCATAAAAGCCTGCACCCTTTGCTCAACTTGGCATAGATTTGCATCTTGATAATTTGCATTGCATGTTTGGACCTATGAGGAATCTTGCGCTAAACCAGAGGGGCTCATGTTAAATAGGAAGGGAGATTTGAATTGGGGAGAACTTTATAAGTGGTTGATCATTTACATTTGTGATGATTTTTGTGTTACTGAAAGCATCCGGTTCCCTGTATGTGCTTTTAGCTCAAGGAAGGTGACTATAAACACTTGAATAGCAAGAGGCCCCTAAAACTGGCCTTTCTGGACTTAACCATAGCAGATAACATTACCATACTGCCTGCTCCAAAGGAAAAGTATATGAACAGGAAAAAAAAAAAGATCATGTCTTCCTCTATCTCAGCGGAAGCGCAGTTGGTTGGGGAAACATCCCAGCAGGTTAGGAGGACGCTGGAGACAGTGGGAAGGCACACCGCTCACGTGGCAGGTTCTGGGGAGATAGCTCATGTGGCAGGTTCTAGGGGGAAGAAAGGTCCAGTTTTGAAATTGGAACCCAGAAAAGAGGGTCCAGCTCTCAGCATTCAGAGGGCAGCGACCATCGTGGCTTCATGAGTTCAAACTAAAAAGGTGCCTGCCTTGTGGCCTCCATGGGAGCTGCGTCCCTGCTCCTGCCTTGTGGCCTCCATGGGAGCTGCGTCCCTGCTCCTGCCTTGTGGCCTCCATGGGAGCTGCGTCCCTGCTCCTGCCTTGTGGCCTCCATGGGAGCTGCGTCCCTGCTCCTGCCTTGTGGCCTCCATGGGAGCTGCGTCCCTGCTCCTGCCTTGAGGCCTCCATGGGAGCTGCGTCCCTGCTCCTGCCTTGTGGCCTCCATGGGAGCTGCGTCCCTGCTCCTGCCTTGTTGGAGCTTTGCTTTCCTCATCTGTGAAATGGGGATAATCCCAGTTTCCTCTAGGGTTGTAGGCAAGAGGACCTACAAAAAATCCCAGGTCAGTGCCTGGTACAGAGGTGGCCACTCCACCACCCCAACCCCATCCAACTTCATCCCAGGAAACAGAGCCCACAAACTGTGACACTATTTGAATGTCCTGATTCACCAAGTTGCTTTTGAGCTCCCTGTAGCTGCACCAGACCAATAGGTTCCATTTTTCTGTAACAGAGTTGTGAGTTGTTTTTCACTTGCCATGGACCCCCAGGTTGAAGGTCACATAGCCTGAGCATGCCTAGATGAGCCACACATGCAGACACAGAGGAACCCTGAGTGCTCAAACTGAGGTGTGGGAACTGAATTAAGAACAGGACACTGCATAATACGGTCCAGGATCCAATCAGATCGAGCCCTGGCATCACCCCATGGCAGGATCCAATCAGATTGAGCCCCGGTGTCACCCCATGGCAGGATCCAGTCAGATCATGCCTCCCTGCATCACCTCATTGCAACATCCAATCTCATCACATCTCATTACCCAATGCTTATAAAACCTGGCCTCCCTTCCTGAAGTAAAGAAAAAGAGCTTTTCTAGCTACCAAACAATGATGAAATCTGTTTGCTGGGATAATATTGAGATATTAACTTACGTTTTCCCTCTCTGTGGCTTCCCCTTTCTTCCTCCTATTCAAGCAGGGAAACCAGTTCTGTATGTATCTTTGGGGGAAGGAGGAGAAGGACAGAAAACAAAATGCCTCCCAAATTCCAGAGAGGTGAGGGAGTTCACAAGTATGACAAAATGTTTGGCCAAAATCACGGAGGAGGGGGGCGCTCCCTTCACCCATCCTTCCAGAAAGAAAGAACCAATTTTTTTCTCTTGGGAGGTAAAGAGAGAGGAGGAGTGGTCTTTGGGTTCTGAAAGGAAACACACGTCTGGTTTCTAGGAAGAGATTTTGGAGAAGACGCAGGAGAAGATGCCTGCCTGGTGTCTGTGCAGCAACACAAAGACCTTGAATCCCAGAGGTAGCCCCCAAAAGGCAGGGGCTAGGAAAATAAACTGATTAGATCTGGAGGAAATAGAGCAAGATATTGTGGCAAAAGAGGCTGCCTCTCAATATCCACTCTCTTTTTTTCTTCAGTTACTGAACCATGATGCTTTGGGAGGTGGGTTGGGAGGAGAAACTAAACTTCTCAGCCTCCCTTGCAGCTGGCTGTGACCATGTGACTGGGTTCAAACACAGTGGTTCTCAAAGTGTGGTGCCTGGGCCAGCAGAATCAGCATCCTCTGGGGACTTGTTAGAAATGCAAATTTTTGGGCTCTACCCCAGACCTACTGAATCAGAAACTCTGAAGGTTGGTGGGGCACATTTACCAGTGCTTTACCAATTCCTCCAGTGATTCTGATGTTGTTGAAGGTTGAGAACCGGTCTAGTCCAAAAGTAAACGGAAATATGCAGTACTTTAGAAAATCTCCTTAATGAGAACGAAACTCAGTAAGTGGGGCATTTCTTTCGTCCTTTTTCCCTTCCTGCTACTGGGAATATAGATATAATGGCTGGAACACCAGCAGTCACCTTGGATCATGAGGCAAACTTGGACATAAAAGCCATTTGCTAGGCTGGGCACAGTGGCTCACGTCTGTAATCCCAGCACTTTGGGAGGCCGAGGTGGACAGATCACTTGAGGTCAGGAGTTCGAGACCAGCCTGGCCAACATGGTGAAACCCTGTCTCTACTAAAAATATAAAAATTAGCCGGGTGTGGTGGCACACGCCTGTAATCCCAGCTACTAGGGAGGGTGATGGAGGAGAATCGCTTGTGCCCGGGAGGCAGAGGTTGCAGTGAGCTGAGATCCTGCCACTGCACTCCAGCCTGAGCGACAGAGCGAGACTCCTTCTCAAAAAACAAACAAACAAACAAAAAGCCATTTACTGATGGTGAGAAGGTAAGATAGGAGAAGCCTAAATCTCTGATGACTAATAGTGGTCATGGCCTTACTTATGTATGTGAAATAAACTTATTTTATGTTTCACCTAGAGGTTTTGAAGGTTTTCGGTTATTCTCAGCCAAACTTAAGGCTAACTTATGTAGATATTTCTTTTTATGCTTGAGATGGTGGACAAAGACTACTACTGGTTATACTGGAATGCGTTACAACAAATTCCGGTTTTGTACCCATGAGAAGTCAAGTCCCTGGCAATGATGCTAGATGGTGGCTTGCAGTTTGGGAATGGCAGGGAGTGGTGGTAATCCCACTGTTCTCTGTGGCTGCTGGTGGTGGGTGCCCCTGTGGAGCCAGGCTGACAGCAAGGCTGTTATAAGAGGAAGGAGAAAGCAGAGACTGACAACTCAGCCTAATTTGCAGCAATAGAAAAATTACTCCAAAAGGGCGCTTCATTTTCCCAATTCAAGGCATACTAGTTAAAATGATGCACGGGCCGCCCAGCAGCCGACTGGCGTGCTGATTAGTGAGGGCGCTTGAAGTGTGGGTTCTGGATTCAGGGCAGAGTAGTCCAGAGAAGAGCCATCTGATTAACAAGCTGACTCTGTTAGGTGCAACCAGTGATTTACATAATCAGGTGATTAAGAATACATTACACACACGCACACAAACACAGAGGCATTGCAGGGGAGGCCTCTTGCAATTCCACCCAGTAAGGTAATTTTCCCTCTAAGCAGGCCAAGTGCAGACCCCGGCTGTGCCGCACAGTGCGGTATAACAACTCCTCTCATCAGGGGAGAAAAGAGAACCCTGTTACCGCCGGCTTGCGAAGGGCAGCCCTGACGGAGCAGACCAGGCTGGACACGTTACCTGACCACGCTGCCTCCCGGCTCCCACTTCCTAATGAACCCCAAGAGTCCTGGATGATGTTTTGGTAGAATTGATTAAAAAATGCTTGAGGAGATGCCGAAAGTAAAATGCGTTGCTGATGACAACACTAACAATTCCCCTCATTTCCTCTGCGACTGCCTTAGATTCGGTAGGAGCAGGGAGACCCCGAGGTGGCAGGGCAGGGGACAGAGGAGAGAGGAGGCTTCTCAGGAAGCTCTCTCTCCTGAACATTTACAGGGAGCAAGAGAAAAGACTTTCTTCATCAATACACCGGCAGGCCCATCCATAGGGAGGCTGTTCTTAGTTACGCCTTCTCTGTCACCTCTGTTTGTCTTGACTTTGCAATTCCTTCTAGAAATCTTAGCACAGTGCAACAGTGTACCAATTAAGATCCATGTCTAAAACCAGGCAGCATCTCAGCCCAGCATTCTGTAGCAGAGTACAGCAGGGTGCGTGTGGCGCTGAGTGACAAGAGCTTCCTAGTTAGCTCGGAGATCCTGCAGGAGCCATCAATCATCAGAGCGGCTCAGAGTTATTGGGCATCTACGATGTTGTTAGGCAGGAAGCAATGCACTATTGTATACATAGTCATGATAATAACAGTAATTGATGTGTATGCCTCTGTTAGTTTTCTAAGGCTGCTGTAATGAAGTACAGCAAACGGGATGGCATACAACGACTGAAATTTATTCTCTCACTGTTCTGGAGGCCAGAACTTTGAAATCAAGTTGTGAGCAGGGCCGTGCTCCCTCTGAGGCTGCAGGGCAGGATCCTTCCCTGCCTCTTCCTAGCATCAGGGGTTTGCCTGCAACCCTGCAATTCTGGGTCTTGTGTATGTGACGCTGCAATCTCTGCCTCTGCCACCGTGGAACGCTCTCCCCGTGGCTCTATCCAAATCTCCCACCTATAGGGACACCAGTCATTGGATTAGCAGCCACCTAATGACCTCATCTTAACCCAATGGTATCTGCAAAGACCCTATTTCCAAAGAAGGTCAGATTCACAGGTACTGAGGATTAGGACTTCAGCATATCTTTTGGGGGAACAAAAGTCAACCTGCAACAATGTCTCTTTATTCTTTGCAAAGAATTTTCACATAAATCATTGCCACATTTGACATTCAACACAGCAGAGTAGAAAGGGCTGGTGTCAACACAGCAGAGTAGAAAGGGCTGGTGTCACCACAGGAGGGGAAACTGAGGCACAGAGGGCTTGGATTCCCGCCCTTCTGGCCTCCGGACAGCCAAGCCCCCCAGTGTGCTCTCCCCTTCCTGTGTCAGCCCCTCTGAGCTGATGGTGAATTGATCCAATCAGCACCATTATAGCAGTAAAAATACCAACCCTAACATGGGCCACCTCGCACCTCACCATGATTTTGAGCTCTTTTCAAGTACCAGGTGCTGTTCCAGGCATTTCTGCATGCACTGATTTATCTAGTTTCAACAGCCCAATGAGCCGGCACTTACATTCTCCCCCACTTCACAGGTTAGGAAATGGAAGATTTACAGGAAGTGTAATGAACTAGCTCAAGAACTGGCAGCTACTAAGTATGGAGGTCAGGAGGGGAGCCAGGGATGGAGCCCAGGCCGATGGAACCCTAAAGCTCATGCTCTGACCCACTACAATATCTGACACCAATATCCCTCATATATTGTAACTCAACTCAGAAAATGCAAATGCATACACTAAATATCTCAGGAAAGCTCCTTTAAAAAATAGCTTTATTGAGATTTAGTTCAAACACCATACGATGCACACATTTAAAGCATACTAACCAGTACACTCTCACTTAATCTAGCTTCAGAACACCTCCCTTATGCCAGAAGGCGACTCTAATCCCATTAGCAGGCACTCCCATCCCCCCCTCCTCCCAGCCCCCAGCAACCACTAATTGGCTTTCTGCCTCTATGGACTTACCTATTCTGGACATTTTATTTAAAGGGAATCATACAACATGTGGCCCTTTGTGCCTGGCTTCTTTCATCATATTTTCAAGGTTCGTCCACGTGGTAGCATGGATTGGTCCTTCCTTCCTTTTAATGGCCTGATAATATTCTATTATATGGATAGACTACATTTTGTATATTTCTTTCTCAATTGATGGACATTTGGGTTGTTCCCACTTTTTGGCTATTACGAGTAATGCTGCTACGAACATTTAAGTACAAGTCTTTGTGTAGATGTAGGTTTCATTTCTCTTGGGTTTACACCTAGGAGTGCATTATGACAGGTCCTTTTTAAAAGTAGGTAATTACATAGACTTTTCCCCAAGGCGAATTATCTTTCTTTAACTCTGGTGAACTGACAAAGTTAGAATAATCCCGTGGATTTATGAATCTCCTTCCTCCAAATTGGCCTGAGCACTTTTCTCCATGCTATGAAATCCACTCCTCTGCCATTATTTTTGTGGTCATTCCAGACAGCAATGGGGGCTCCAGAAGGGCTTTACCCGGGTCAGGGGCTGGGAAGTGTGGCCATGCTGGCCACCAGGCAGGCCTCCTGTCCTGGGCCCGTTTCCCGGAGCACGCTCCACTTATAGGCACGTGGAGGCATTGTCCTCTGTCTTCTGTGAATCCTGCTCCTTGTGGCTCCGAGAACTCTGTGTTCCGAGCTGTAAACGTTCTTGGATGGTGTCTCATTAATTATAGCTTATCGGCTGCCTTGCGAGTTGCATCTTAATGAGTGACCCTCATCGCTGACCCTTTATTAGCACAGGAGTTCTTTGTTGGGTCCTGCGTCTCTTCCAATTTTGTAAACACAGATCAATGGGATGTTGTGGGGCTGACGTGTCCCACTTCCCATCCCGGAGGAAGGGGAAAGCTTCCTTGCAGGTGCTCTGTGCAGCTCTGCTCCTGGCACCGACCCCGCCCCACAGCCAACAAGAAATCCCTTTGATGTGCAGACGAGGATGGGGTAAGGGTTCTCTCATTATCTAGTTATGTGGCTAGATCCTATTTCAAGAGAGTTTACTCTGCACACAGCAGCCAGGGCCAGCCTTGGGGTACCTGAAAACCCTAAGGATAGAGAGGTCAGAACACAAAGGAGAGTCATCCTTGTCGAAATGACCTGCAAGGGTCCAGGCATGTGACTTCTGGACTGTGGAGAAGGGTGCTAACTGCATTAGTCACATGGAGCTGAAAATAGAGTTAAAAACCCTTTAAAACTTCAATGAGACCAGGCTGCTGCTCTGCTCAAACGTCCCGCTGGTTTTCATCTGAGTCAGAGTGAAGCCAAAGTTCTGTGGAATTGGACCCCTTGGTTTCCTCCCTGCTTCTCCTCCACTCCATCATGTTTTCCAGCCACAGCATCTTGTTGCTATATCTTAAACATGGCAGTCTTTGCATATGCTGTTCCTTCTGCCTGGAGTGCTGTTGCCCCAGATATCCACATGGCTCCACCCTCACCTTCCTTCACCCCCCATTCCCATTCCCTGCTATGGTCTCCCTAGCTGTGATCACCTAGGAGACATTGTTTTATTTCAGCTTTGAGGCCTTCTCTGTCTCCCTCTTAAAGGGAATCTCCATGAAGAGATGTTGTGTCTCTCAGTCGCTGTTCCTCCCCCACTGCCTGGAACAGTGACTGGGCATAGTAGTTGCTTAATGAACATATAGAGCATGAAAGAAAAGGAGAAACCATTTGCACATCTTTCCTATTTGAGTTCTAAAAGCATTTTAAAGAAGGCAATTTGAGGGCACGGCGCTTTAAGACGAAGGCCTTGAATTAGAAAGAAGCAGCAGGATCTTGGCCTGCTTCCTGCAGGAGCACCATCAGGACCCTGGATGGAGTCGTTGTCTGAAGAGCCAGCCTTGGAGATGAGGCCAGGGCCCTGTGCTTGGGCTGCAGACAACTGCAGATGTGAAGAGACTCTGCAATCCAGGAATGATGGATAGCTCAGGGCAGCCTGTGTGTCAAGACCAGGAAACAAAATCTTCAAGCTGCAGCCTTGGGCTTGGGCAACAGGAGATCCAGGAGTTGTTACCCCAAAAAACTGTGAAGTGGGTAGAAACCCCAAGAAGGATGGGGCTAAATTTTGTTTCTTACTCCCTGATGGAATGGTGGATTTAGAAATCTGGGCGAGGCTCAGGACAGCAAGTCATGGTTTGAATCTGCAGTCCCCATCTGAGGGGTGGAGATTTATACCCATGCTGCTGCTCTGTGGTCTACGTGGACCCTCTGACCCCCTTCTGATTGGTCAGTGTTATGACTCTGGTCTGTTCTGATTCGTTGGAGCCCACACCACTCCAGTTGGTGGAATTTGAGCCTTACCTCATTTGCATCCATGTAAATGGGACATTTCAAGTAACACATGAGATTGGCTCTGCAATTTCTCAGGTGCCCTATGAGTGACCATGATGACTCCCTAATCTCCTGATGAATGTGGGCCAGCAATGACTTTTTTTTTGAGACAGGGTCTTGCTGTGTTGCCCAGGCTGGAGTGCAGTGGCAAAAAAGTTCACTGCTCACTGCAGCCTGTAACCCCTAGGCTCAAACAATCTTCCCATTTCAGCCTCCCGAGTAGCTGGGACTGCAGGCATGCACTATCCTTGCCCTGATATTATTAATAATTCTTTTTGGTAGAGATGGGGTCTCACTATGTTGCCCAGGCTGGTCTCCAACTCCTGGCCTCAAGCAATCCTCCCACCTCAGCCTCCCAAAGTGCTGGGATTACAGATGTGAGCCACCATGCCATGCTTCCCCCACCTTTTTTTAAAAATAAAACTTTATCCATATTAAAAGTCTTACAATAGCAATGGCCTCCTTTTAATGAGACTCTTACATGAGGTGTTCATGGGTCTTCTTGGGGTACCTGGAAACCCCAAGAATATAGCAGTCAGAATACAAAGGACAGTCATCCTTGTCAAAATGACCTACAAGGGTCCAGGCATGTGGCTTCTAGACTGTGGAGAACTGTGTTAACTGCATTAGTCACATGGCATTAAAAACAAGCCTCATTCCTCTTCCCTACTGCACTCTGAGTTTCTGCCAGAGGTTACCACTGGAGGAACATAGACTCACAATAGTAAACCACTTAACAGATCAATCCTGGGGAGATGCAACTCGTCTCAAATGGTAGCTGAGCAAATTTTCCTCCCTCCCTGAGGACATAGCTAACAGCTCTGCTGGCTTGCAGTAACAGACCAATAATTCTGGGCTGTCACTGCAGGGAAACCCAACTCCCTCCTCATTTACTTTCAATTCATTCATAGTGCAAGCTGGGGTACAGGAAACAAACTTTACTTATCTGTCAATTTGCTTCTAATACAAGATAGAGAATCCATTTCAAAACGTGCATTTAAAAAAGAAAGCAATTCAATTTAAGCAGGCACCATCTTTGGAATGCCTCATGCTATAAATGAGTTATTAAACAGGCCGTCCTTTGGGGTGGCACATGGGCTAAGTGGCACCAACTTGCCTGAGAAATGGCATTTTTTTTCAACCTAGCCAAGAAAGGAGGCAGTTGAGAAATACATACTTCTCCAAAGTGATAACCTCTTTACTGTTTGCAATATTTTGCATCACTTGGGTATAAACACATTATTGCTATAAATCAAGGGTATTTTCAAAGTCAGTCCCAAGGGCAGAGCCTGCTCCAGCAGTATTATGAAAGAGGTGAAAGTGGCCTGTGGTATCTGTGTGAGAGGCATTTCTGTTGTGCATCCACACCTGGACCTCTTCTCTGTCCTGAGCCACAGGGAAACGTCTATGTCCCAGATCCTTTGCAGCCAATAAAATACGAGTGCAAATGATGTGTGTCCCTTCCAAGCTAAGGCAGAGAAGAACCAGTGTGTCAGCTCTCTGCTTCCTCCCTCCCTGGTGGCACAATCAAGGGTGGCAGTATCACAGGATAGTGTGAGTTGGATCCCTGAGTCACTGGCTGGAGGGGAAGCCAGGCTGACCTGCACCGCACTTTGCATGAGTGTGATTAATACACTTTGGCTGTGTGGAATCCCTGAAATTCCATCAGTAGTCTGTTGTGGGAGCTAGCTGGAGAGCTGCTGATAAATCACCACGAGAGCCAGGCTGGCAATCACCTGGACACGATGGAGTTCTCCAGTAAACACACTCACATACAATGCTGATGGACTCCAATAAACACACTGACATCCAATGCTGATGGACTCCAGTAAACATACTTATCCAATGCTGATGGACTGAGCTAAACACACTCACATCCTACGCTGATGGACTCCAGTAAACACACTCATCCAATGCTGATGGACTCCAGTAAACACACCCATATCCAATGCTGATGGACTCCAGTAAACACACTCATCCAATGCTGATGGACTCCAGTAAACACACTCACATCCAATGCTGATGGACTCTAGTAAACACACTCATCCAACGCTGATGGACTGAGCTAAACACACTCACATCCAACGCCAATGGACTCCAGTAAACACACTCATCCAACGCTGATGGACTGAGCTAAACACACTCACATCCAATGCTGATGGACTCCAGTAAACACACTCACATCCAACGCCGATGGACTCCAGTAAACACACTCATCCAACGCTGATGGACTGAGCTAAACACACTCACATCCAGTGCTGATGGACTCCAGTAAACACACTCATCCAATGCTGATGGACTCCAGTAAACACACTCATCCAACGCTGACAGACTCCAGTAAACACACTCATATCCAATGCTGATGGACTCCAGTAAACACACTCATATCCAACGCTGATGGACTCCAGTAAACACACTCACATCCAACACTGATGGGATCTAGTAAACACACTCATCCAACGCTGATGGACTCCAGTAAACACGCTCATATCCAATGCTGATGGACTCCAGTAAACACACTCACTTCCAATGCTAATGGACTCCAGTAAACACACTCATATCCAACGCTGATGGACTCCAGTAAACACACCCACATCCAACACTGATGGGATCTAGTAAACACACTCACATCCAACGCTGATGGACTCCAGTAAACACACTCATATTTAACGTTGATGGCATCTGGTAAACACACTCACATCCAACGCTAATGGACTCCAGTAAACACACTCACATCCAATGCTGATGGGATCTAGTAAACACACTCACATCAAATGCTGATGGACTCCAGTAAACACACTCACATCCAATGCTGATGGACTCTAGTAAACACACTCATCCAACGCTGATGGACTGAGCTAAACACACTCACATCCAACGCCAATGGACTCCAGTAAACACACTCATCCAATGCTGATGGACTGAGCTAAACACACTCACATCCAACGCTAATGGACTCCAGTAAACACACTCACATCCAATGCTGATGGGATCTAGTAAACACACTCACATCAAATGCCGATGGACTCCAGTAAACACACTCACTTCCAATGCTAATGGACTCCAGTAAACACACTCACATCCAACGCTGATGGGATCTAGTGAACACACTCACATCCAACACTGATGGGATCTAGCAAACACACTCACATCCAACGCTGATGGACTCCAGTAAACACACTCATATTTAACGTTGATGGCATCTGGTAAACACACTCACATCCAACGCTCATGGACTCTAGTAAACACACTCACATCCAATGCTGATGGGATCTAGTAAACACACTCACATCAAACGCTGATGGACCCCAGTAAACACACTCATATCCAACATTGATGGGATCTAGTAAGCACACTCATATCCAATGCTGATGGACTCTAGTAAACTCACATCCAACGCTGATAGGGGCTAGTAAACACACTCATCCAATGCTGATGGGATCTAGTAAACACACTCATATCCAATGCTGATGGGATCTAGTAAACACACTCACATCCAACGCTGATGGACTCTAGTAAACACACTCACATCCAATGCTGATGGGCTCCAGTAAACACACTCACATCCAACACTGATGGGATCTAGTAAACACACTCACATCCAACGCTGATGGGATCTAGTAAACACACATCCAACGCTGATGGACTCCAGTAAACACACTCACATCCAACGCTGATGGACTCCAGTAAACACACTCACATCCAACACTGATGGGATCTAGTAAACACACTCACATCCAACGCTGATGGGATCTAGTAAACACACTCACATCCAACGCTGATGCACTCCAGTAAACACACTCACATCCAACGCTGATGGACTCCAGTAAACACACTCACATCCAATGCTGATGGACTCCAGTAAACACACTCACATCCAACGCCGATGGACTCCAGTAAACACACATCCAACACTGATGGACTCCAGTAAACACACATCCAACACTGATGGACTCCAGTAAACACATTCATCCAATGCTGATGGACTGAGCTAAACACACTCACATCCAATGCCGATGGACTCCAGTAAACACACTCATCCAATGCTGATGGACTCTGGTAAACACACTCATATCCAATGCTGATGGACTCTAGTAAACACACTAATCCAACGCTGATGGACTGAGCTAAACACACTCACATCCAACGCCGATGGACTCCAGTAAACACACTCATCCAACGCTGATGGACTGAGCTAAACACACTCACATCCAGCGCTGATGGACTCCAGTAAACACACTCATCCAACGCTGATGGACTCCAGTAAACACACTCATATCCAATGCTGATGGACTCCAGTAAACACACTCACATCCAGCGCTGATGGACTCCAGTAAACACACTCACATCCAGCGCTGATGGACTCCAGTAAACACACTCACATCCAACACTGATGGGATCTAGTGAACACACTCACATCCAACACTGATGGGATCTAGTAAACACACTCACATCCAACGCTGATGGACTCCAGTAAACACACTCACATCCAACACTGATGGGATCTAGTGAACACACTCACATCCAACGCTGATGGACTCCAGTGAACACACTCATATTGAAAGTTGATGGGATCTAGTAAACACACTCAAATCCAACGCTGACGGACTCCAGTAAACACACTCACATCCAACACTGATGGACTCCAGTAAACACACTCATATCCAATGCTGATGGACTCCAGTAAACACACTCATCCAATACTGATGGACTGAGCTAAACACACTCACATCCAATGCTGATAGGTTCCAGTAAACACACTCATCCAATGCTGATGAACTGAGCTAAACACTCATATCCAATGCTGATGGACTCCAGGAAACACACTCATCCAACACTGATGGACTCCAGTAAACACACTCACATCCAAAGCCGATGGACTCCAGTAAACACACTCACATCCAGCACTGATGGACTCCAGTAAACACACTCACATCCAGCACTGATAGACTCCAGTAAACACACTCACATCCAGCACTGATGGACTCCAGTAGACACACTCACATCCAAAGCCGATGGACTCTAGTAAACACATTCATATCCCACGCCGATGGACTCCAGTAAACACACTCATCCAACGCTGATGGACTGAGCTAAACACACTCCCATCCAACGCTGATGGACTGAGCCCAAAGGGGGCCCCTGCTGGGGCACTGGCATCTCAAAGGAACCACAGGTAGAGAGAAACACTTCCAAGAGAGGGATGAGCTAGCAATGGTGGCTTGAGTCAACATCCATAGGCTATCAGGAGAGAGAATTTGGAGGCTGGTTTTCTTGGTGCCCATAAAATCATAGAAAGCTTTCATCAAGTGAGGATTTGGGGGTGTGACCATAGAAACGAAATCTGGATAACTCAAGCGAGAGAAGAATGTGCTGGAAGGATCTCGGGTGCCCCACAGAATTGGCGGTCAGGTGCCATGACTGGGCCTGGGCAGTGAGGGCTTCTCCACGTCTTGGTAGGAAGATGCTGGCGAGGGGATGCCAGGTGGCTTCTGTTCTGTCCTTGCATCGCCAGTCAAGAATCAGAAAGACCCAGTTGGCCCAGCCTGGGTGGTGCCCATCCCTGGCTGTGGCAAGGCCGTGAGAGAGGGCTCTGGAGGAGAGAGGCCGTACTGGTTCTGAAAAGCCACAGCGCCATAGTCCACCCAGACCCTCCACAGACGGTGGCTTGGGCACAACCACATCTAGTTTCCCAGGCTTTCTCCAGTGCGGCCAGGAGTCCCCCCTCAGGGTCGCCTCTGATCTGTTTCAGTGAAGGCCAGGAGGTTCACAATCTCAGTGCCCCATTAGTTCCACTGCAGCTCTCAGCACAGAGGACTCATTCTCCCTTTCAACGCTGTTCGCCCCCAAACCCCATGAATCCTACTTGACCCTAACCACAGGTTGAAAGCCCAGCACCTGCCACTTAAATAATAGATGGCACCGCCCTCTTGTGGCAGAGACTGGCAGCACAACGCGTCCCAGCAAACATCTTACCTGTCGCGGACTTTTCTGAACAAAGAACAAGCTGCAGCTCACACACCTGACCAGAGGAAAACGGACTTTACTCCTCTCATATTGTCAACACCTCCAGAGCCCTACTGAGGGGAAATATACATGCCATAAAACTTAACAATTTAAGCGTATAGTGCCATGGAGTTTAGTAATTTTATACAATTGTGTAGCCTGTACCACAATCCAGTTTTGGAACACCGTTATGCAGAAAGTCCCTTGTGCTATTTGCAATTAATATGTGCTTCAAAATCCAGCCCCCAGCGATCACTGATCCTGCTTTCTGTCCCTATAGTTTTGCCTTTTTTAGAAAGTTCATCTAAATGGAATTCTACAATATGTAATTTTTAAACGCTTCACTTACTTCATCCCAGTGGTTTCTTTATGGCCAAATAGTTTTTCATGTATTTGATTTATTTTTACTTATTGTTCTATTTGATTGCCAAATCATGTTTTATTCTTTGGCTACCCACAAATTTGTTTATTCTTTCCCCAGTTAAAGGACACATGGATTGATTTTGGGTTTTGGAGATTATGAATAATGTTGCATGATAACATTTCCCTTCCTATCTCCATGTGGACAAATGTTTAGCTTCCTGAGAGCAGAATTTCCGGGTTGTATGACAAGCATACATTTCACCTATTAAGAAACTGGCAAATTGTTTTCCAACAACTCTTTGTCACCCTACTGCATTCCCACCACCAGCGCATGCAGGTTCCAGTTCCCCACATCCACACCAACACTTGGTATTGGCCACTGTTTCCATCTTAGCTTTTGTCGTGCATGGGAGGCGATATTTCATTGTGGCTTTAATTTGCAGTTCCCCCATGACTAATGATATTGACCATTTTAATTTATCTACCATTTCAGATTTCAATTAATTTCTATTGTAGGTTTGGGCTCAAATCCATTTTCTAATATTATATTTAGACCTTGCTTTTTTTTGGCTCAAGTTCATCGAGCCATTACTGTAACATCATACTTAATCTTTATGTTGGAAAATTTGAAAAGAACCAGATAATAGGATGAAAAGGAGGCATTCTGGCTTATCATCAACCAAAAAATAAAAATAAAATAAGTGAAAATCTAAAGAAAACGAGAGCAGTTGGAAGCAGCTTGACGTAGCAAACAAAACAATAACATGTTTTATATTATCAACAATTTAAATGATCAAAACACATATAATTAGATGTACTTCTCTCTCCTCCCAAATTTCCCTGTAAAAATGGATTTTTAAAAATCTGCCCGTTGTCTATCCCAGCAAATACAGTGTCCGAATACTGAGATTTTTGGGGCCCCAAATGGACGTGTGTGATGCTGTCAGCTGAGCATGTGACTTGCCGCTGCTCTCTGGCCAGTTTTTCTCTGCTCTCGGTGAGCCAAGTTCCTCAGCCGAGGTTTCGTTACCTCCTCAATTGTTAACGAGCATGTCTGCTGAGGAGTCTGGGAGTATCCGCCAGAACGTGAGGTCCACATCAAATGGGTATGCCCAGACAGCAGCAGCCAGGGGCCTCCCTTGCGGCCCTGGGTTGATCTCTTGGATTAATTCAAACCTTTTGCAAATTAGTGGAGACATTTTCCAGTTTCCTGTGTCTCAGCCCAGCTTTGCAGATTTAATTTTGAGAAGCACAAGCGGTAATCCGGTCCTGAAATCCCTTGTCCCACGTGGTGTTACTGACATATTGGACAAATAAAAGCCTCTGGGGAAAGAAAAAGAGGATCTTGTCTCTTTCTTTGAAGTGATTAAGGGGAAGTGAACTGGTGCGTCGACGCCATGGTTTTTCTGGCAAATTCAAGAAAGCATTCTCTGAAGTCAGTGAGAGATCGCTACAATGATAAGAAGAGACCCGGGCATCAGAAGACACAAACATTTCCTGCCCCCTGCTTTAGGACACTTGCGAAAACTCTCCTCAGTCTCTGCCCACTGGCCCAGCTGGTGCAGCACAGGTGAACAGCACACACTTGGAAGCCAGTTCGCTGGATTCCAACCACAGCCTGCTGCTTCTGAGTTGTGTGTCCTTGGCAAATTACTTAACCGTTCTGTGCCTCCGCTTCTCTTTTAGTTTACTTTGCATTGCCATAAAGGATTATCTGAGGCTGAGTAACTTATAAAGACAAGAGGTTTAATTGGTTCATGGTTCTGCAGGCTGTACAAGAAGCACAGTGCTGGCATCTGCCTCTGGGGAAGCCTCAGAAAGCTTTTATTCAGGGAGGAAGGCAAAGGAAGGTTGGCATCACATGGCGAGAGAGGGAGCAAGAGAGAGAAGCGGACGTCTCAGACTCTTTAACAACCAGGTCTTGCATGAACTCATTACCACCAGAAGGATATCAAGACATTCATGAGGGATCGGTCCCCATGACCCAAATACTTCCCATCAGGCCCCACCTCCAATGCTGGGGATCACATTGCAGCATGAGATTTGGAGGGGACAAACATCTAAACCATATGAACTTCCTTCCCTTTAAAAACAGGAAATACCTGAGCTCAGGAGTTCGAGACCAGCCTGGGCAACACAGTGAAACCCCATCTCTACTAAAATACAAAAAATTAGCCAGACATGGTGGCACACACCTGTAGTCCCAGCTACTTGGGAGGCTGAGGCAGGAGAATCACTTGAACCCGAGAGGTGGAGCTTGCAGTGAGCCGAGATCGCACCACTGCACTCCAGCATGGTGACAGAGTGAGACTCTATCTCCAATAAAACAAAATAAAACAAAACAAAAAAAACAAAAAATGGGAAATAAGCTGGGCGTGGTGGCTCATGCCTGTAATCCCAGCACTCTGGGAGGCAGGTGGATCACTTGAGGTCAGGAGTTTGAGATCAGCCTGACCAACATGGTGAAACCCCATCTCTACTAAAAATACAAAAAAAAAAAAAAAAAAATTAGCCGGGCATGGTGGTGCACACCTATAATCCCAGCTACTGGGGAGGCAGAGGCACAAAAATCACTTGAACTTAAGAGGTGGAGGTTGCAGTGAGTCGAGATCGTGCCACTGCACTCCAGCCTCGGTGACAGAGTGAGACTCCATCTCAAAAAATAAAAACTTAAAAAATAAAAACGGGAAAATAATACCAATTTTAGATTAGTTTCCCGTGGCTGCTATAACGCATGACCACAGACTTGATGGCTTGAGTAACAGAAGTTTATTCTCTCAAGGTTCTGCGGCTGGAGGTCCACGATCAAGGTGTTGGTGGGGTCACGCTCACTCTGAAGACCCCGGGGAGGTTTCTTCCTTGCCTCTTCCAGCTGCTGGTGGTTGCAGGAATCTTTGGTGATCCTTGGCTTGCAGCAACCTCACTCCAATCTCTGCCTCCCTCTTCCCACAGTGCTCTCTGTGTTTCCTCCTTTTCTGTCTCTTATGAGGACACTTGCCATTGGATTTAGAGATCACCCTAATCCACTATGATCTCATCTTGATCCTTCACTTAATCACTTCGGCAAAGACCCTATTTCCAAGCAAGGTCATATTTACAGGTACGTGGTGTTAAGACTTGGACATACCTCTTTGAGGGACACAACCCAACCCACTCCAGATCTCACAGGGACACTGGGGGGACATGTCTGCAGTTGTTGTCTTAGTGTTATTGAGGGAGATGCTGGACATGGATCTGTGGGGAAGATGATGGAAGTGTGTTCATGCAGGGACAAGGGCACAAATGAGGCCTGAAGGCTGAGGAGGCCTGGGGAGTTGTGTGAAGGGGGCACCGTCTAGTGTCAGGACCCAGATCTGAGCATTCATCTCCTGACTCTGCATTCCAACCACGGGCTATTGCACTCCTCCCTCTGGGAACCTCCTGTGTTTTTCTCTTCATCTCTTCAGCCCTTTTCTCATCAGCAAGTGTGGCATTTGTACTGGAAACCAAGCTAGCCTGCAGCACACTTTTAGAAAACAGTTTTATTGAGATACAACGCACATACTATACAATCCACTCACTGTGTGTGTGTGCGTGTGTGTGATACAGGGTCTTCTTGCTCTGTCACCCAGGCTGCAGTGCAGTGCTGTAATCATGGCTCACTGCGGCCCAACCTGTTGGGCTCAAGTGATCCTCCTACCTCAGCCTCCCCAGTAGCTGGAACTACAGGTTTGTGTCACTACACCTTACTAATTTTTAAATTTTTTGTAGAGGTTTTGCCATGTTACCTAGGTCTTGAACTCCTGGGTTCAAGTGATCTGCCCGCCTCCGCCTCCCAAAGTGTTGGGATTACAGGCATGAACCACTGAGCCTGGCTCACTCATTTAAAATATATAATTCAATGGTTTTTAGTAGATTCTCAGAGTTGTGCAGTCATCTCTACAATCAACTTCAGAACATTTTCATCACCCCCAAAAGAAACTCTGCACACTTTAGTTGTGAGTTGCCCCCAGTCCCTCCCAGCCCTGGGCGGCCACTAAGCTCCTTTTTGTCTCTGTGGATTTACCCCTTCTGTAATCTCACATAAATGGAATCATACAGCATGTGGTCTTTTGTGACTGGTTTCTTTTACTTAGGATAATGTTTTCAAGTCTCATCCATGCTGCAGCAAGCATCAGTGCTTCATTTTTATTGCTGAGTGACTGCAGTACTCTTGAACTGAGAGCTACTAAGCAGAAATCATAAATTAAAATGGCTATATCTCTGAGTACTTCCCAAGTGCCAAACCCTGTGCTAATTACACACATTATTTTAATTGAAATGCTTACAGAGGTTGGGCAGGCAAAGCAAGGAGGTGAAATGGACTTTGTAGAAATTATTGTAAACCCCAGCCCACGCCTGATCCAAAGCTAGCAGGGATGCAGCCTCCAATAGGCCTTGCTGATTTCTGTCTTGTGGTCTGTGAGTTGCCAGATATTTTCATTCTTTAAGTCAGGAATCTGGATTTATTTGTGTGAAATCTCCCAAACAATAAGTATGAACAACAACAAAATTCATCTTAAGATTCTGACAAAGAACTTCTTCCATGTAACAGTCTTCACTTGTAAAGCAAGAAAATGGTATTAACATAGCCACAGTGGACTTACACATCCTGTTTGTAACCCCAAAGTCAATTTGGGAGGAAGGATGACAAATTCATCTTGTTTTTCCCAGATGTCCCAGTTTTAAAACTGGGAGTCCCACATCCCAGAAACCTCCTCAGTTTCAGGTGAACAGGGATGGTTGGTCAGCCTACTGGAAGACCGCAGTCTATTCCCATAGGTATCCATGTTTGACATATTATGGCTGTCCACCTTTGGGAACTGCTCTCAGAGTTAATTTATGAACACAAGAAAGGAAAGAAGTCAATCCCTTCAATTTATTGTCACCTTCTTTTGGGTCAAAAATGCCATTCTCTTTCTCCAATTTTCTCATTTATCAGATCTGATTTTTGGCTATTCTCAAACATGATGTCACCACTATTACCATGACCATGACCATGATTATCATCACCATCATTCTTGCCATCATTATTATCATCATCATCACCATCATCATTGTCATCTTTACCACTACCATTATCACCATCATCATCTTCATCACCAATACCAACATCATCACCATCATCACCATCATACCATCATCACCATCATCATCATCACCATTGTCATTATCAACACCATCATCATCATCACCATCATCATTATCACCATCATCATCACCATTGTCATTATCATCACCATCATCATCACCCCACCATCACCATCACCACCATCATCACCATCACCACCATCACCATCATCATCACCATTGTCATTAACACCATCATCATCATCACCACTGTCATTATCAACACCATCATCATCATCATCATATCACCATCATCATCATCACCATTGTCATTATCACCATCATCATCACCACCATCACCATCACCACCATCATCATCACCACCATCACCATCACCACCATCATCACCATCACCACCATCACCATCACCACCATCATCACCATCACCACCATCACCATCACCACCATCATCACCATCACCACCATCACCACCACCATCATCACCATTCTCCTCTTCATCACCACCATCACCATCATCATCATCATCACTACCATCATTACCATCAGCACCATCATAATCACCATCACCACCAGCAGCCTTACAGTCATTATAACCACCACAACTATCATCAATGCCATTATCATTCTCCTCCTCTTCTCCACCCTTTTACTATAAATATTTTCCAATTTAAGGTGTGCCAGTCAAAAGATAAACCCTGGAGCCAGAGATACATAGGTTTAAATTCCGTAACCACCTTTCCAAGCTGTGTGACCAGGGTATATTAGCTCTGCCTTCAGGCCTCAATGCCCTCACCCGTAAAATGAAGATAATATAGGTTCAGACACCGCTGAAACAGATGCTATGAGGATTAAACGAAATAATGAACATGAAGCACTTAGCATGGTGCCAGCACTGAGGAACTGTTAATTATTATCACTGTGGAAATGAAACTCAATAGGGTTCAGCAAACTTTGATCTTACAGATTTACCAAACCAGGGCAGCTCTAATTTCTGGAAATTCTTGCTAGTTTTTACTCTGACTTCCTCTGGTTAGGTGCCCCAGGATTACACAATCCTATTTTGGGGGATACTGATGATGTTTGCCTGGAAGGGGGATTTTCCATGACTGACACCAAGAAAGACAAAACAAGACCAAATATGTGAAAGCATTTTATAAGCTGTAGAGCACTGAGCAGGTGTCAGGAAAGGAGATGATGACTCATTATTTAGCCTTCAGTCACTCACAGAGCTAAGAGGGTTATCCAGTCCAGTTCTTTACCCCAACCTCTGCAGAAGTGAAGACAAACACACAGGGTCAGGCTTCCCATGCAGAACTGGAAGCTTCTAGAGGTTTTGCAGAAAATGAAAGCACTCTCATGTTTCCCATGGTGTCTCTCTATGCATAAATAATCTCAATTAAAATCAGCCCCCAAATTATGGCTGACATTTTCTTTTGCTGATTCTGAAAGTCCCAGGGTTCCTACCTAGATATGCAAGGCTGCAGAGAAATTAGGTCACAGAAAGACAAATATTCGCAGTTGAACTCAGCAAAGTTCTGTTCTGGGAGCTTCTGCTGTGCCAACTGTGGGATCCCACTGGGCTGTTTGTAGCAGAGCAGGCCTCATTTTATCTGCAGTGCTTCCCAGAAGCAGGTTTGTATCGTGGCGAGAGGAACATGGGGGAGATGCCTTAAAAATGAGACGGTATCCAGTTACTCAGGAGGCTGAAGCAGGAGGATTCCTGGAGCCCACGAGTTCCAGGCCAGCCCGGGCAATGTAGCAAGACCCCATCTCTAAAAATAAAATAAAAACCACTTAAAAAAGAGAACAGCAAAAACAATTTAGAAAAGATTGTGGTAAATACAGAGGCTTACACTATAAATACAGCCTCTCAGCTGGTCTCTCAGCTTCTGCAGTCATCTGAGGGAGGGGGAAGGAGATCAGATAGACTGAGGTCAAGCCCCATGGCAGCTCCTTACAAGCTGTGTGATTTTTGGGTGAATGACTTTACTCTTCTGAGCCTTGACTTTCTCATCTGCGAATGGGAGTAATGCCTGCTACCATACAGAGCTTTCGGGATGACTTAAGGAGCTCCTGAGCACATGGTGAACACTCCACAATGTTAGGTACTGTTCCTGTGGGGATTGTAGGCTGTGGGGAGGATTTCTCACAATCCTCTTGGAAAATCAACAAACCTTGCAAAAGAAGACCTTAAAAATAAAAAATAAAACTACCATGTGATCCAGCAATCCCACTTCTGGAGGTATATCCAAAGGAAATCAAATCAGTATGTAGAAGAGTTATCTGCACACCTATATTTATTGCTGGGTTACTCACAACAACCAAAATATGAAAACAGTCTAAGTGTCCATGGACAGATGAATACATAAAGAAAAATGGTAGATACACACAGTAGAATATTACTCAGTCATAAAGAAGGAACTCCTACCATTTGTGACAATATGGATGAACCTGGAGGACCCTATACTATGCAAAATACACCAAGCACAGAGGGAAAAACGCTGCATGATTCCATTCATAGGTGGTCTCTGAAACAATGCAACTCATAGAGGCAGAGAAGGAAATGGTGGGTGCCAGCGACTGGGGGAGGGGGAATGAAGAGATGTCGCTCAATGGGTGTAAAGTTTCAGTCATGCCAGGTGAATACGTATGTTCTAGAGATCTGCTGTCCAACCCTGGGTCTGTATTAATAATAGGGTGTTATGCACTTAAAACTAGTGTTAAGGGGGTGGATCTCATGTTAAGTGTTCTTAATACACACACACACACACACACACACACACACACACACACACAAACAAAAACCCAAAAAACAAAACAGAACAAAACCCACAAAAGGACATAAGTAAACTTTGGGAGGTGACGGGTCTTCTTGTTACCTTGATTGTAATGACCATTTCACAGGTAGATGTGCATGTCCAAATTGATGAAATTGTGTACATTAAACATGTGCAGATTTTTGATACATCAATTATACCTCAATAAAGTTATTTTTAAAAATGTGGATGACACCGGGTGTGGCAGTTCACGCCTGTTACCTTAGCACTTTGGGAGGCTGAGATGGGAGGATGGCTTGACCCAGGAATTTGAGACCAGCCTGGGCAACAAAGTGAGACCCTGTCTCTAAAAAAAATTTTAAAAAATTAGCTGGTGGTGGTGATGCATGCCTGTGGTTCCAGCTACTTGGGAGGCTGAGTTGGGAGGATTGCTTGAGCCCAGGAGGTCAAGACTGCAGTGGGCTATGATCGTGCTACTGCACTCCAGCCTGGGCAACAGAGTGAGACCCTGTCTCAAAAAAAATATGTGGATGAGAAGAATTTAGAACATCTCCTGAGAACCTAGTAGAACTGGCAGAGCTTGCCTCCCACAGGGAATAAAGCCGAGATTGGGCAGCTATGGGGAGGTGGCTAGACCCGACTTCTGGGGCTCTCCGAATGCAGGATGTGTGGCACTTAGAACTCTTATCCTCACCTTTGTGCCTTTGTCACAACTTGGGGGCAAGAGGAAACTCCCTCTCAGATAAAGGTTTTAGGGCAGGGAGCTGGCATGTTGGGACTGTACACTGTGAGTGACATCCACCTGGGAGCGCTGGCTTTTCAGAAGTTCTCTTTAGGTTCAGAAATAAAACTGTAAGTTGCCCATGGCTCTTACAATGTTCTGCTGCAACCCTGAGAGGTTACAACTTCACTGTGGGTTGCTTTTAGACAATGGAGATCTGTTTCAGGGGCTCATGTGTAACCTGGTGGCAGGTGGCCCCTCAAAGGGAAAACAGAACTCTCCCATATGTGTGCTTGGAAGGCACAAAGAACACTTTTTAATAAAATAAATGAATGTGCTGATTTTGACCTTTTTAAACTCCATGACAAAATCCAGATAGAAACCAAAAAAAAAAAAAAAAGAAAAAACTCATTTCATCTAGCTATTCTCATATTAATTTACAAAGCAAAATACTCAAGATTAATTCTCATTCTAATCTGCACCCACCTAAGGTTCTTGAAAATGAAATTCCATTAACAATTCCTTTTCATTTTTACTTTCAAGAATCTTTAGTATGCAGGGACTTCGGCTTTGGTGATTTCTGCACTTGAGCACAGCAGGAATTCTGTAAGCATTCTGAAAACTTTTTTTGCTTCAATTATAGGATACAATGCAGTATCTTAGCAAGTTTGCTGTTTAGAATCTCTTAACATTATGAAAGCATGTATTGGAGATAATGTCAGGAACACATTTGTAAGTGAATCTAGGTCTGATTACAGCAAATGCTTGCTTTAAAATACTTGCTCTGAGTAACCTGATCCCCATTATTTTTTGTGGGTGATATGTGCACACACACCAGCCCAGCATTTACAAGAATGAAAACTGCTTCTTCCCTACAGCTGCCTGACAGTTATACTTAGAAAAGGAACTATCTACTGCTCATATACTCATTTCCTAATAAATCCAGCCTTTTCCAGGCCCCTTCAGAAGGAAAGGAAATAAAAGGGATACCATGAATCTTAAGCTAATAATAACAGTAACTTCAGGCTCTGGCACAGGCAAAGCCAGAGTCAAAGTCTTTGGTTTGGTGCTAAAACCTAAAATGCAGGTGAAGGAAAAACTAATGAAGGAATGAACACCCTATAGATGGCGTCTGTTTCTCTGTAACGAAGGAAAGTGGGTTTTACTCAGTTTGTAGATGAGATCGCACAAGGCTGCCAAGTACAGTTGGACAGGCTGTGCACAGCACAAGGGCTCCACATCTCAGGAGGTGTCACTCACATAGCAGGCATCATGTATTTTCTGATAAAGGGAAGTCAATTATCATATGGAAAGCACTTTCTAATTTGTTTGGGTTAGTGTTGGGGCCATTCCCTTGAGACATAATGAATTACGAAGAAGCAGCACGCAGATATTTTCAAAGCCATCTGTCCTCAGATAGAGAAGCACTGGTTTCTAAATCAAGTCCCGTCTCCTTACTTTTTGGTTTCATTAATGAAAAGACATGTTGGCTGGGCACAGCGGCTCATGCCTGTAATCCCAGCACTTTGGGAGGCTGAGACAGGAAGATGGCTAGAGGCCAGGAGTTTGAGACTAGCTGGGCAACATAGTGAGACCGTGTCTCTACAAAAGGAATTTAAAAATTAGCTGGGTTTCGTGGCACATGCCTGTAGTCCCAGCTACTCAGGAGGCTGAGGCAGGAGGATCACTGGAACCCAGGAGTTCGAGGATGCAGTGAGCTGTGATCACGCCACTGCACTCCAGCCTGGAAGACAAAGCAAGACCCTACTCAAACAAAGAAGGAAGGCATGTGATTCTTGTACCAGGTAAGCAGGAACCTTGATTATTTTGTTCACTTCCTGAACTCAAAGTCTAGAATATTTTCCTGGTGCTTTGTGGATATCCAATAAATATTTGTTATATGAATTAATTGATAGGCAATTTTGTATATGAAGCTGCAGTTAGCTTGACATCTGCCCTTGGCTCTTATCCCATTATCTTGGGAATATTAATTATTAACCATGATTTTTTTTGGTGGTGGGGTATAACATAAAGGAGTGAAGAATAATCTAGATGAAAAGTTAAATAAATGAAATCTCCACTCACACTTGACTCACATATTTGCCAAGAACTGTTTGGTAAGAAAAACTAGATTTCCATGTGAGAATCAGGAATTAAAGACTCTTCCCAAACATCTCTTTTTGGTACTACTATTTAATTCTTCCAGCCTTCTTAACTAGGTGAGGGTTTCTCAGAATTCCTGGTCTTAGGATCCCTTTATTGTCTTAAAAATTATTGAGAACTGTAAAAAGCTTTTACTGGCGTAGGTTGCATCTATTGATACTCATTGCATTAGAAATTAAAACTGAAAAGTTTTTGAAACTCAAGATGACACAGTCACACTTTATATTTATTGTCAGGGTGATGACAACATCCTATGTCTCTGTGCACTTGTGAGGGACTGTGAGCAAAAAAGGCAAATAACATTATAGCATTTTGGGGAGTCAGCTTCCAAGATGGTCCCAGTAATCCCTGTCCTCAGTAATCACACCCTGTGTATAATCCCCTACAACACTGAATCAGGGCTGTCAATGTAACCAATGGGATGTAGCAGAATCCATGGTGTATGGCATCCGAAGCTGTCATAAAAGGCTCTGCAGCCTTGATCTCTGGGGGGAGCCAGCCACCATGTTGTTAGGCCACTATGCGGCCTGCTTGGGAGGAACTCACTTGCCAGCCAGGTGAGGAGACCACCTTGAATATGGATCCTCCAGTCCCAGTCAAGCCTTCAGATGAGACTGCAGCCCCCACCAATCTCATACCTGCAACTCATGAAAGACCTCAGGACAGAACCACCCCACAGACCTGCTCCTGAATTCCTGGCCCTATATTGCTATTTTAAGCCACTGTGTCTCAGGGAAAATTGTTATGCACCAATCGATAATTACTACAGCACTATTAGAAAAATAGTTTTGATCTCACAGACTCCTTGAAAGGGTCTTGGGGACCTCCAAGAGTTTCCATACCACATTCTGAAGACTGCTGAATGCAGCCATGCAGGATTTAAAGAGATATATTCCATAAAGATTTGAGGTCAGGAGAAGCCTTTGCCTAGAAAAATGAATGGAAAACGCAAGGTTTCATGCTAAGGAGACTGTTCTCATTCAGTGACCTTATTGATTCTGCACACATGGTCGAGGTGCAAAGAAAAGGGCTGGTTGCTTTCCTCCTGATCTTCCAGAAGACTGAGTGCTCCTCCTACTCTGTTATCTTCCCATTTTCGTAGTCGGAAAAAAATTACTCCTGTTCCTCCACTCACCTGGGACTTTAAGCGCACAATTTTACCAGGTGTGTCAGCACAGAAACTAGCATAATACTAATAAATTTGGAGTATGCATCTGGAGAGAAAAAGAACATCAATTAAGTCTGTATGGATCATAAATAACAGCAACTAGCTCCTTTGTAGTAAACAAAGCAATTTCCTATGAACATGGAGGAAGAGCTAATTAATGTTACTGTTACTACTGCTACTAATTAATAATAATGGCCAATATTTTTCTATAGTATTTAATATGTGCCAAGTACTCTTCTAAGTGCTTTACACAGATCAACTGAAGTAATCCTTGCTGCACTGGTGAGGGCTGTTAGCCTCTGACACCTTATTCTCTTTTGTGTCTTCATAACATTGGCAGAATTTAGGCCAAGGGATGAGGGTCTGTGGCTGTGAAGGCCCGGATGCCTCACTCCGGTTGAAGCTCACTTGCCCCTGATCTCTGATCAATAGAGATCGGTATGCTACAACTAAAATAGTAGCAGCCAGATCTGGGGTGTCTGTAAAGCCGGGGGTCACAGGCATCTATTGGGGTTTGTCAGCCCCCCTTCCCCCCATCCCCACTCCAATTATTTTGGCTCCTGTTGGATCTGAGGTTATGCGGGAGGCAGGCACACACCATTCCTGGCCAGTCACAGTCAGGGTGGCTGCTTCAGAAATGGGATGACAATACCGTTAGGAGGAATCCTGGGATTTTTGCTGGAACTCTTGGTAAAGAGGCAGACTTTTTACTGGGGATGAGAAATTGCTTGGATGCCAGGAACTACCTTTGGGAAACTATGCCTGAGAAAAAAAATCCACAGACAGAAAAAGCAGAGCTGAGACAAAGAGACAAATGGCTAGGCTAAAAATGTTCAGGCACCTGGAACCAACTGTGCCTGAAGCTACATGGTCAATCTAATTCATTCTCCATTTGGATTAAGCCAGTTGAGTTGGGTTTCTGCCACCTGCTCCAAAATTGTGCTGATGAAACACCAGGAATTCAAAATCTTCCACTATGCGTTGTTTAATTTTTAGAGTTTAACATACCAGATTTCACACAATCTGAAAAAAAGTAGCCCCATCACTGGAGGATCTCAGAAGAACCACACTAAAGGGTGAAGAGATGAAGAATGATGAGGAAAGAGACTGTGACTCCCTGCAGGGCTGGGGCCGAATCTGGTTCTTGATTTCTAGTGAGTCAACTCCATCACCACAGATGCTCTCTATCACTGCTCTGTGCAGTAAAGTGGCCACTAGTCATGTGTTGCTACTTATGTTAAAATTAATTAAAATTAGATAAAAATAAAAATTTAATTCCTCTTTTTTTCTAGCCAATTTTAAGTGTTCAATGACCGCATGTAGCTGGTGGTCCCCAGAGTGGACAGTGCAGACACAGACCATTACGACCAAAAGCTCCATTACATAACACTGCTTCGTCTGTTTCTAAATGTGAATCTTTCCTTCCCAGACCAGGACCAAAACCACATAAAGTTTAGAAACATATAGAAAACATACACATTATTATTATTATTACTATTTTTGAGACAGTCTCACTCTGTTGCCCAGGCTGGAATGCAGTGGCGTGATCTCGGCTCATTGCAGCCTCCGCCTCCCAGGTTCAAGCGATTCTCGTGTCTCAGCCTCCTGAGTAGCTGGGAATACAGGCACATACCACCATGCCCGACTAATTTTTGTATTTTTAGTAGAGATGGGTTTCACCCTGTTGGCCAGGATGGTCTCGATTTCCTGACCTTGTGATCTGCCTGCCTCGGCCTCCCAAAGTGCTGGGATTACAGGCGTGAGCCACCGTGCCCGGCCCACACATTATTATAACTCACTTATTCAATGTAGATATGTTTTGGCCATCGACTAGATATTGAGCAGTGATCTGGAAGGTGAGGACTAGGGAGTGGACACAGCCAAGTTCCCGAGCCTCTGGGCATGACCGCCCAGAGGGAACATGGACGATGGAGAGGCTGACTGCACAGATAGCATCGTGTCTGGCAGAGATGAGACTGCAAAGGGAGTGGGGAAAGCTCAGAGGGGTTCCAGGTTGCTCTTTTAGGCAGGTTAGTCAGGGGGCCTAGTGAGGAGGGGATATTTGAGTAGATGCCTGGATGAAGCCTGGGAGCCAGCTGTGAGAAGTTCAAGGGCAGCCGTGCTGAATCTTGGATGTGCATGGAGTCACCGAGCAGTGAACTATAAACACAGGCCCAGGTTCTAACTACGCTGATTTGGCTTAAGTGGTGTGGGATGTGGCCAGAAGCTCCAGCCCCTGCCCCCTAGTGACCCTCATGGGCCGTCAGTGTGGCAACCCTGGACCCAGGGCAGTGCTTCTCAAAGTGGGGTCCCTGGAGCTTGTTAGGGATGCAGATTCCTGGGCTTGCCGCCAGCTTGCCGCCTGAGACACCTTGGAGGGGGGCACCCAGGCTTTCCCAAGTCCCCAAGGCCATGCTGTCCCTGCTCAAGTTCAAAGACCCCTGAAACACAGCCATGCCTCTCCCTTAGCCCACAGCTTGCATTTGAATTTTTAAAATTTATTTTATTATGGTAAGAACAGGTAATATGAGATCTACCCTCTTGCCTTTTTTTTTTTTTTTAATTTAGACGGAGTTTTGCTCTTGTCTTCCAGGCTAGAGTGCAATGAAGTGATCTCAGCTCACTGCAACCTCTGCCTCCCGGGTTCAAGTGACTATCCTGCCTCAGTCTCCCGAGTAGCTGGGATTACAGGTGTGCACCACCACGCCCAGCTAATTTTTGTATTTTTAGTAGAGACTGAGTCTCACCATCTTGGCCAGGCTGATCGCAAACCCCTGACCTCGTGATCCACCCGCCTTGGCCTCCCAAAGTGCTGGGATTACAGGCGTGAGCCACCGTGCCTGGACAAATTTTAAAATGCAGAATTCAGTGTTGTCGACTACAGGCAGATCTCTGGGGACTGTTGGACCTGCAGGGCTGAGACTTCATGGCCCTCGATTCATAACTCCCCATCTCCCCTTCCCCAACCGCAGGCAGCCACCATTCTGCTCTTTGTTTCCATGAATTGGACTATCTCAGATACCTCATATTAGTGGAATCATATTGGTTTTTTTTTGTTTTGAGACAGGATCTCACTCCCATCGCCTAGGCAGGAGTACAATGGTACAGTCATGGCTCACTGTAGCCTCAACCTCCCAGGCTCAAGCAATCCTCCCGCCTCATTTTTAAAAAATTTTTTTTGCAGAGACAAGGTCTCACTATATTGCCCAGGCTGGTCTTTAACTCCTGGGCTCAAGCCACCTTCCTATCTTGGCCTCCTGAAGTGCTGGAATTATAGGCGTGAGCCACTGAAACTGTCCCAGGTTTTTTTTTATTCTTAAGATTAACAAAGGCTGAACAAAGGGCCACGTATAGAACTTGAACTCCATTCTCGTTTGAAAAATGAATGGATGATGATGTAAAGCAGGTCCCAGTGTGCATGATGTTTGTAAGAGAGATTGAAATCACTCCAAAGTTATCCCTTGCATCCACACAGACATGTATTCCCCATTTTTTTCCTCCAAAATATTTTCTTTCCTCCTCATGTGACAATTACTTAAAATAAATTATAAATTCATTCATAGATCAATGCTCTCACATGTTTCAAATGATGACATAATTATGAGGCTGTAGAATAAAGGCTGACAGCTTTTAATGTTAGCCTTGGCACCATAATCATATACCAAACAATAAGGATAATGCATCTTCCTTGGGCTGCATTCATTTAGGCAACAGGTATTCACGGAGCAATTTCCATGAGGAAGGAGCTGTGCTTGGCAGTGGTGATCAACACATGAAACAGATCAGAGTCCCTCGCCTCCGGGTGGAGCAGGCAGATGTGGCGGGTCATACACCCACCTATACATCCTACAGCTCCTTGTTACGTGCCTACTGTGTGCCAGGCATTGTTGTAGAAGCTACTGATAGAGTGTCCGCTGCCCACATGGAGCTGACACCCCACTGGGGAAATTCAGATAATGAATGTACAAATAGACATGCATTTTATTTGGTCATGTTACGCAAGAAAATCAAGCCGGTCAGGGCATAGAGTGGCCGGCTGTTATTTTAAATCAGGTGATGGAGGTGCACCTGAGAAGATGTAAGCACAGACCTGAACAGCAGGAGGAAGAACACAGTTTGGAATGTGGGGAAGAGGCTCCTGGTACAGGAAATAGTAAGTGCAAAGGCCCCAGGGCAGAGCGCATGGGAGGGGCTGGGAAAGGAGGTTAGATCTCAGCGTGCCGCCGTGGACCAGACATTGCACTTTTTAAAAAAGTGCAGTGGGCTTTTCAGGGAGGCAAGAGCAGGGAGGAGATGACCGGTTCAAGGCTGTTACTGTGAGGAAGGGGCTCCCAGGGGTCAGCATTGAGCAGGGGAGACCAGTCCAGAGGCAGATGATACATCCAGGTGTGAGATGATGGGGCTAGGCTGAGACTGGAAGTGGTGAGGTGGGGGGAGACTGCTGCATTTGAGATGCATTTCGAGGGATGGCACAGATGGGCAGGTGCGATACCAGAGTGTGCGGCAGGCCTGGGGAGACCTGGCTGATGCCAGGATTCTGCACCTGCACCTGAACCTGCACCTGCACCTGCACCTACACCTACATCCTAGATTTCTCCTGCAGCAGCAGCTCCGTGGCCACCTCAAGTGGTGCAGCTGCTGGCCGTGAGCTGTCCAGCAGTTTCACAGCCATTTTTGGCCTCCTTTTCATGGCACTGACCAGGACCCAGCACTTTCTGGGCACGGAGGCCTGACTCCTCGGCGGAGGGAGCTGGGACACTGCAGAGCAGAGCTGCAGGGCGGGGGGAGGCATCAGACCTACAGTACCTGCTGTCTGGGGTTGAAGGCAGCAGGACAGGGGACCCAGGGCTCACAGGGGCTTTCCGAATGATGGTCACAGGATTAATGTTCACAAGATAATGCCTGGGGTGCCGGTGCTTGGGCACAGGAACCTTATGTCTGTTATGCTCGTTGCTGTTTCCCTAGAGTGGCACTCACCAGTCCCCCAGGGAGTGTCTGGTGGGAGACTAGGAGGCAAGAGACTCAAGGGTAAAATGAGATAGAGACAAAATCCCAGCTGTCAGGGAGCCAGCATTCCAGACTGGGGTGGTTGGGGGAGAGGGATAAATATATACACAAATGAAAACATAAGGAAGATAATGTCAGATAATGATCAGACAGAACAATAATTTTGTCAAGGCTAAAATGAGAGAGAGATGAAATTCCAGCTGTCAAGGAGCCAACATTCCAGATTTCAGCGGGGAGGGGAGTAAACATACAAACAAATGAAAACATAAGGAAGATAATGTCAGACAATGATCAGACAAAACAATAATTGTATTGGATATGCCAAAAATCAGATCAGGCAATGTGCTGGAATGGGGGCAGGGAACGCAGCTGTCAGCACCATCTTGGGGCAGGAGGGCCTCCAGGGATGAGGTGGGCAAGGAGTCCTTAATGAAGAGGAGGAGGAGGTGAGGTGCCTCTCAGGATGGCACAGTGAGGACAAAGATGCCGGGTGAGGAGAGCTGGCAGCATCTGCAACAAGGCTTGCACACAGTAGGTGCTTACTAGGGAGAGGCCCTTGGTGGCTCCTCCCTTGACTCGGCAGGCTGGGGTGGCAGTGGGGCTGGAGTGAGCGTTTCCTTCTGTATGCAGCAGGCCTGAGCTATTTCTCTGTGTGGGTCGTGGGCATCTCTAGCTAGCAGGTGAGGTCTGAGAATCTTTTCTCAGAATAAAGTTTTTAAAGGCATGCAGTAAGATATGTGTGCTCACACAGGAAATCAATTGTATTGAAATGCAGTTACTGGCCGGGCATGGTGGCTCACACCTGTAATCCCAGCACTTTGGGAGGCCAAGGCAGGCGGATCACTTGAGGTCAGGAATCTGAGACCAGCCTGGCCAACACGGTGAAACCTTGTCTCTGTTAAAAATACAAAAATTAGCTGGATACAGTGGCAAATGGCTGTAATCTCAGCTACGCAGGAGGCTGAGGCACGAGAATCGCTTGAACCCAGGAGGCAGAGGTTGCAGTGAGCCGAGATCACACCACTGCACTCCAGTCTGGGTGACAGAGTGAGACTCCATCTCAAAAATAAAAATAAAAATAAAAATGTTCAGCACAGGCCAGGCGCAGTGGCTCATGCATATAATCCCACATTTTGGGAGGCTGAGGTGGGCAGATCACCTGAGGTCAGGAGTTCGAGACCAGCCTGGTCAACATGGTGAAACCCTGTGTCTCTGCTAAAAACACAAAACATTAGCTGGGCGTGGTGGTGAGCGCCTGTAATCCCAGCTACTTGGGAGGCTGAGGCACGAGAATTGCTTGAACCTGGGAGGCGAAGGTTGCAGTGAACCGAGATCGCACCACTGCACTCCAGCCTGGGTAACAGAGCGAGACTCTGTCTCATTAAAAAAAAAAAAAAGAAAGAAAGAAATGCAGTTACCAAAATTCAAAATAACTTCAGGTACTGTAGTACATGTGTTTCTTTATTACTGAATTAAGTAATAAGATGTAGTGCTTTACTTTCAAAGCAGTGAAGAATATAGAAGGTATTTCATGACATCTGTATCAACTGCATATGCTATGACATGGAAATGTGTGAGTTTGGTGGCAGCTGCTAATGCTTTTGGGGCTATGACCTGTGTTCACAATGGTTGTGTCCCCCAAATTCATATGCTGAAATGCCAACCCCCAAGGTGATGGGTTAGGAGGTGGGGCCTTTGGGAGGTGATAAGGTCACGCAGGTGAAGTCCTTATGAATGGGATCAGTGTCTGATATGGTTTGGCTGTGTCCCCACCCAAATCTCATCTTGAATTGTAGTTCCCATAATTGGTACATGTTGTGGGAGAGGCCCAGTGGGAAATAATTGAATCACGGGGGGCAGTTTCCCCTATGCTGTTCTCATGGTCATGAATAAGTCTCAGGAGATCTGTTGGTTTTATAAGGGGTTTCCCCTTTCACTTGGTTCGAAATTCTCTTTGCCTGCCACCATCCATGTAAGATGTGACTTGCTCCTCCTTGCCTTCCACCATGATTGTGAGGCCTCCCCAGCCATGTGGAACTGTAAGTCCATTAAACCTCTTTTTCTTCCCATATTTGGGTATGTCTTTATCAGCAGCATGAAAATGGACTAATACAGTGTCCTTATAAAAGAGACTTCAGAGAGCTCATTTGCCCATTCCACCACGTGGGGACACAGTGAGAAGCCACTGTCTATGCACCAGGAGGCAAGTCCTCACCAGACACTGAACCTGCTGATCTTGAACTTCCAGCCCCCAGAACTGTAAGCAGTAAATGTCCACTATTTATAAACCATGCTGTTTATGGCATTTTGTTATAGCAGCTGGAATGGACTATGATAGGAAGAAAATGCTCAGTTTCAGTTAGAGGTTAAGTGGAAATGCAGGTGTAACTTTCCCATTCAAGTTCAGAGAGCCGTGTGGATTCTCTGGGGGTTTCTCCACCTCAGGACCCCTGCAGGGTGGCTGCAATGCTGCTGCAGCTTTAGGGCACAATCTCCTATTGGCACAAGCATAGGGTCACCCCCCTCCCTTGCTAGTTTCTCTCGGGACTGTGTTTCTTACATTCCAGTGGGAGGGCTCATCATTGAGAGAGTGAGCTGGCAGGTGGCATCACTCTTCACATGAGGGTGGCACTGGGTTTACGGGGCTCTATGGACAGATTTCACTGAGAGTGCTACCTCCCCGACTCAGTAGGATTCTAACCGGCACATGGATGAACATTCTGTAGTAACAGTCAGGTTTCTAGTGTAAAGTGATTTATGAACTACTGTTTGAATACCCACAAATAATATCTGAATACTTTTATTCTTATTAATAAATATAAGTAGAAGTGTAACCTGAAGCTTATTTAAGCTAAAATAACTAGCATTTCCTGAAGACTTACTAAGTGCCAAGCAAAGGTTTCTGAGTACAGTTAGTTCTCGAAACAGGCCCATGAGTTGGGGGTCATTTTCATTCCTTTTTTTTTTTTTTTTTTTTTTTTGAGATGGAGTCTCACTCTATCACCCAGGTTGGAGTGCAATGGCACGATCTCGGCTCACTGCAACCTCTGCCACCCGAGTTCAAGCAATTCTCCTGCCTCAGCCTCCCAAGTAGCTGGGATTACAGGCCCCCGCCACCACGTCCAGCTAATTTTTGTATTTTTAGTAGAGACGGGGTTTCGCTATCTTGGCCAGGGTGGTCTTGAACTCCTGACCTTGTGGTCCACTCGCCTCGGGCTCCCAAAGTGCTGGGATTACAGGCCTGAGCCACCACACTCGGCCTATTCCTATTTTACAGATGAGAAAACTGAGGCACAGAGAAGTCAAATCACTTGCCCAAGGTCACACAGGCATTAGGAGGAGGCATTGGGACTCACCCCAACACAGTCAGGCTGAAGCTGAGCGCCCAATTTCTATACTATTCTCTCTTTAGAAAAAAATATTAAGTAAACGATAGACTCAGTGGTTTTTGGAAATGGCAAAAAATGAGAAAGGCTGTCATTAATCAACACTGTGGCATGGTGTTCCCTCCTGGGCCCTCCTCCTACCTTACGCAAACTCCAATTGACCTGGAAAGTGAGGAAGAAGAAAATGCTGACCTAAGTCATTCCCGCTGATTTTTCTGTTCTAGCACCACTCTTTTCACTTTCGTCTTCTTCTTCTTATTGCTTATGTAAATATTCTCTGTTTTCATTTTTCAATCATCTCTCATGAAGTTATATCATCATTTTTTTTTTTGAGACAGAATCTTGCTCTGTCGCCAAGGCTGGAGTGCAGTGTGGCAATCTCAGCTCACTGCAACCTCTGCCTCCCAGGTTCAAGTGATTCTCCTGTCTCAGCCTCCCGAGTAGCTGAGATTACAGGTGCCTGCCATCACGCCCGGCTGATTTTTTGTATTTTTAGTAGAGATGGGGTTTCACCATGTTGCCCAGGCTGGTTTCGAACTCCTGAGCTCAGGCAATCCGCCTGCCTTGGCCTCCCAAAGTGCTGGGATTACAGGTGTGAGCCAATGCACCCGGCTGAAGTTATATCATCTTATCATCTTTAAAATTAGAACATAGCTTTACTTTTTTTTTTGGCAGGTTTCATTTTTTTAAAATTATATATATACATATATATATATAAAATTATACTTTATACTTTAAGTTCTAGGGTACATGTGCACAACGTGCAGGTTTGTTACATATGCATGCATGTGCCAGAACATAGCTTTACTTTCTAAGTAAAGCAAGTCCCATAATGAAAGCCTAAACTTGGAAAGGCCAGTGCTAGCCCTCAGTCCCCCACTTTCCTTTTACTGATAGGGAAACCAAAGTTCAGATAATGATGATGCTACTAAAGACAGCAATGATTCCTCAAATTTTTTGATTGTTGACTCTGGCAGGCAGTGGGTATGGTATCATTTATTGGAGAATTAATCAGTGACCCTGCAAACATCGCTACCAAGGCAGAACAGCTTCATGTGCATCAGAGATTTACTTTTTAGGCAAAAATCTGGGCCAGTTAGTTGGAGGGGAGGGACATTTTTAAACCTAATCCCAAAGCAAATTTCCAGCTGTGACAAGAAAATACTTATTCTGTCCATATAGTTATTTTTCAACTGAGCAAATATTTTTCAATTGCCCTAGAGCATCCAACCCATCCTTAAAATTCTCTTAGAGAGTTACAAATAGAAACATTTTGAAGTTGGAATAGGAAAGTGGAGATCAGGACGAGATGTTTTTGAAAAACAATAAAACATTATTTTTCCATTGTCTCTTGAAAAGCAATATTCTCCAATCCCTGTCAAAGGAGATCTCCCCCACATCCTACGACACGCCTGCCTCTGCCCTTCTTGAACACAGAAGATATTGCTAACGCGCTTCCCCACGGACCCCAGAGCAGAGTGAAGCCATCCATCACCTGCAGATTGACGTGCAGATCCGATAGCATCTCTGCAGTGCCATGGGTCTGTTCATGTACGTCCGGGTCTCTGAATTTAGCAAGGGCAGAGGATGCAGGAAAACAACCACAGGATGCCCCCAGGTGGGAAAATCCAGTGAAACCACTGGGGTCAAGATACCCCAACAGGATGTCTTAACGGCTCCCTTCCATTTTGACTGTCTATGAAGAGAAGAAAGACCACCCTGGGAATGTTTCCTGGTTATATATATATATATATATATATATATATATATATATATATTTTTTTTTTTTTTTTTTGAGACAAAGTCTCACTCTGTCACCCAGGCTAGAGTGCAGTGGTACCATCTTGGCTCAGTGCAACCTCCGCCTCCCAAGCTCAAGTGATTCTCCTGCCTCAGCCTCCCGAGTAGCTGGGAATACAGGCACGTGCTGCCATGCCTGGCTAATTTTAGTATTTTTAGTAGAGATGGGGTTTCACCATGTTGGCCAGGCTGGTTTTGAACTCCTGACCTCAGTTGATTCGCCCACCTCAGCTTCCCAAAGTGCTGGGATTATAGGTGTAAGCCACCATGCCCAGCCCATATACATATATATTTTGAGGATAATGGTGTGTTCTCAGCCAAAGAGAGTCTAGAGGGAGCGTGCAGCATTTAGCTCTCAGGTATCACTCAGAGTCGTGGCTGGAACAGACAGCCTGCTCAGGGTGGTTTAACTGGAGGGAGTGTTGTAAAGGCTGAGCCATAGAGCTGTGGGCATAACGGAGGGAAAAAGCCAGGGATGGTGCAACACCCCACGCTAGTCCCAGCTGGGAGCTGTTTCTACCCCAAGGCCTAGGGGCAGGGCAAGGCAGTTGAGATGCTGGAGCCCAGAGAGAGGAGAACCACAGAAAACAGACTTCCCAGTGGGACAGGTGTGTGGGCGTGGAGGACCACACGCCCGCAAGACACACATCAGGCCGGGCAGATGAGGATGCATTGTGTCCCAGGGCTCCCGAAACAGTACCACGGATGGAGGATGAAACAACAGACACTGATTCTCTCATAGTTCCTCAGGCTGAAAGTCCGAAATCAAGGTGTCAGCTGCAACACAATCCCTCTGAAGGCTCTAGAGAGAACCGTCCTTGCCTCTCTCCTAGGCTTGGCATGTTGCCAGCTAGTCTTTGCTTCCCTTGGCTACGGGGTGCTATCGGAAGCTCCAGTCTTTGCCACCATCCTCACATGGCCCTCTTCTTGTATCCTCCATGTTCAAATCTCTGTCTCCTTGTGTACACCAGTCATTGCATTTGGACTCCACTCAAATCCAGCATGATCTCCTCTCAACTTCAGTACATCCACAAAGACCTTACTTCCAAATAAGGTCACATTCACTGGCTCCAGGAGTTAGGACTTCAACCTGCTTTCTTGGGAGGGTGGGCATAATTCAACCCATTCCCTCCAGTTCTCTCTGGTGCCTCCCACTGGTTAAAGCCCTCCAGAAGCCAGAGGGCAAGGGAGCCTGGGGGCTGTAGTTCACATGGGCCAGCCCCCAGGGCCCAGAGCAGAGCCGAGAAGGGTCTGGAAGGGCAAACCAGTCACGGGAGAAGGCCCCGCTGCCATCTCCTTCTTGATCATCCTTTCTAGTGGCGTGCTTCATCCAGGGTCTCCAAGGATCTCTCAAGCCCTAATGAATCTCTATGACACCCCAGAGAGGTAAGAATTAGATAATCATTTTGCAGATGCAAGAATAAGTAGCAATCTCTCCTTTAAACAACCCTACTGATTGCCACTTTATTTTTAATTTGATTTTATGCAGAGAGATAGGAACATGTTCTAGGAATTTTGAAAGCTCTGTGTAAGAAAAAAAAAACCCAAGTTACTGTCATGTTTTAGGGGTCAAGGAAAATGATTTCATAATGAGTTTGCAAAGGATGAAAAATGGCAATGATTTGAAACTTTTCAAAATTCCAGGTAAATCTCACCACTTCTCAGGAAATTTAATTTCAGACTAAATATATCAGTCCCGGGGGCAAAGAACTTCTTCCTACACCGCCAAAATTAGTGGTTACTGCCTTCTCTAGAGTTTTTTGCCTAAAATTTAGTTTCTTTGTTTTTTGTTTTGTTTTAATTTCAAATAAGCAGTAGGAAGAAAGTCCATGACGCTAACAGAGCTAGAAATCAGTTAGACCCCATCCCCTTACTCCTCCTTGATTTGTGTGACAGCAGCGTCTGATCACTATCTGGACCTCACCTTAGGAAGTATCTACCTGTTTGCTGTCTGTCGCTCCACTAGAGTATACCTGCAGGAAGGCAAACTTTGTCTGTTGACTGCTGTCCTCTGAGGATATGCAGCAATGAATACCTGCAGAGCTTAGTGTGAGGTTGAATGAATTCTGCTGCTTGTTTATTCCTTTTTTTTTTTTTTTTTTTTTTGAGACAGGGTCTCATTCTGTTGCCTGGGCTGGGAATGCAGTGGCACCATCACGGCTCACTGCAGCCTCCAACTCCTGGGCTTAAGCGATCCTCCCACCTCAGCCTCCCTAGGAGCTGGGTCTACAGGTGTGTGCTACCGCACCTGGCTAATTTTGGTATTTTTTTGTAGAAATGAGGTCTCACTATGTTACCCAAGCTGGTCTTGAACTCTTGGACTCAAGCAATCCTCTTGCCTTGGCCTCCCAAAGTCCTGGGATTATAGGTGTGAGCCATCGCGCCTGGCCTTGTCCATTTATTCTTAAAAAGAGACCAGCACCCCAGCCACTCGCATACAGAAACTATCACTTGGAAATCTGTGCCTGGTCTCTGCTCATGTGGCCTCAACTTGGGATATGAACCCTTTTTTCTTACATTGAAGAAGAACTGAACTGCCAACATTTTAGTTGTCCCAAATGCTCCTTCCTCTGTAGTTCTGAAAGCTTTATGTACGAAAGTGGCCTTGGTCCTCCCATTCAGATACCTCTCTCACCCCATCCCCCAAGCCTAACACTGGCACAGTGGGGACAGCGCAGGGAGGAGGGGATTAGGGAGAGGTGGGTGCTGGCAGGAGGGTCGTGGAGCTAAGACTTGGAGCTTTCCTGCCCTCACAAGGCAAGAGGCTCATTGTCAACAAGCCTGGAGGCAGGACGAGCAAAACGGTGGCCTTGGGAATCAGTCCTCTCCAAACAAAAGAGTGCCCAGGGACCAGCAAGTGAGATTCAGGTGGCTTCCGCCTGCAGGGTCTGCTCTGGGGAGAGTCGAGAGCACGTCTCCCTGCTTTTCCCATTGCATTTACTCAGGGGGAGTCAGAGGCAGTAGGTGACGGGGAATGCTGTGGCTGAATCCTCCTATCCGTGGCTCTCTCCTTGGATTTAAAAAGGAGCTTCAGAATGCTTGATTTTAAGGCAAGAACTTCCCCAGTGAGGCAGATTTTCCATCTGTTAATCCCCTGTTTCACCTTTCTGAAGTTTGTTTTCTTTAAAACGATCAACAAATTGGAAAATATGCTTAATTGGTTCAAAGATCTAACCAGCTGTCTCACTGGCTGCTAACAGACAACACAGGATTTGCTTTGTGCTCAGTAATTTTTTTTAAATTTCTCATCTTCTAGTCAAAGCTGCAGTTTTATTAGCTAGTTACTTCCAATAAAAGTTTACTTTTTGCCTGGTTATAAATGTCCTAAAGCTTATTCTGAACCAAAACTTTGAACATACAGAAAATAGGAGAATAGAAGTCCCTCTAAATTGCCTCATCTATTTTCTAATTTTCCATGTTGCTTTGCATAGCTGAGGTCAAGTTGTACATCCCAGGGGATGCAAAACGGTGATACTGCATGTATTAGTCTGTTTTCACACTGCTGATAAAGACATACCTGAGACTGGGTAATTTATAAAGGAAAATAGATAATGGACTCACCATTCCGTGTGGCTGGGGAGGTCTCACAATCATGGCAGAAGGCAAAAAGCATGTCTTACATGGCGACGGGAAGAGAGAATGAGAGCCAAGTGAAAGGCGAAACCCCTTATAAAAGCACTAGATCTTTTGAGACTTATTCACATTCATGAGAACAGTATGGTGAAAACTGCCTCCATGATTCAATTTTCTCCCATCGAGTCCCTCCCACAACATGTGGGAATTATGGGACCTACAATTAAAGATGAGATTTGGGTAGGGACACAGCCAAACCATAACACTGCACGAGCACCCAAATCCAGTGTTCAGAGCCCAGAGCTCTGTGCTGGTGCTGCAAAGGTGTTTGTTTATCAATGAACTTTTGAATAAAGCTTGTTTGAATTCACATGCATTTACTTGCAAACAAAAGGATCCTGACAAGAGTACAGACATTAGTAATCACTTCACTTTACCTTAAAGGCATTATGAAAACACAACCACCACAAGAATAACAATACATCCATCCAAGGAAGACCTGTGCTCCCTTGAAAAGGACCATTATAATATCTCACACTCTTAAGATGGCTTTTCCTTTTCAAAGTATTTGAATGTCTTATCCTTCTGAAATAGGTCGAAACTGAACACTTGTAATCCAGAGCTGATGCTGGTGTGTGCTCTAGGACACAGGTCTGCAAATTTTCTCTCTAAAGGGCCAGATAGTAAATATTTCAGAGTTTATGAGCCAACAGGCAGAACTGAGCATATGAAGAAGCTAGACAGGACCATTTAAAAATGTAGATATTTAAAAATGTTAAAACCATTCTTAGCTTGCATGGTGTACAAAACCGGGCAGCAGATTGGATGTGGCCCATGGCTTGTTGTTTGTTGACCCCTGTTCTAGGACATAAAAAGTCAAAAGGAATCATTCTCTGACTTCCAAGTGTTTACAGATCTTTATGGTAGATGATACCTTCTGGGGTGCACATCTGCTATTTTGTCTGACCAGCATCTGTTCCCTGTTTCAGTGAAAGCCAAATTTTTCCATGATGCACAGGCTCTTAGTCTCATTCCACACTTGCCCCACCTGAGGCTACACCTGCCCTACCTGATTCCACACCTGTCCCACCTGACTCTACACCTGCCCCACCTGATTCCACACCTGCCCCACCTGATTCCACACCTGTCCCACCTGACTCTGCATCTGCCCCACTTGATTTCACACCTGCCTCACCTGATGCTACACCTGTCCCACCTGCTGCTACATCTCCTTCACCTGATTCCACACCTGCCCCAGGGTGATACATTCCCCAGGCCTGGCCAATCAGAGCAACACATCCTTTTGATTTCAGTGATTGGCTTCAAGTTGGGCTCATGACCCAAGCCAATCAGTTCCAATCAGTCTCTGTCCCAAAGGATTTGCTGGAGTGATTGGCAGTGAGGTTTCCACTCATTTCTTGCTGGACATGATGCTGTGAAGAAGCCAGCGTGGCATTGCCGGGGCCACCTTGTGACTAACAAAGAGGAAGGAGAGCTGAGAAAGGAAGAGAAGCCACTGTCCATACCACATCATTTGCACACGTGGGCCCCTCACACTCCAAGTGTGGTCTGCAGACCAGCCGCGCTGACATGGCTTAGGAGCTTTGAAAAATAAGTACCCAACCCAGACCTCCTAAGTGAGGATGGGCATCTACTCAAAATGTTCCTGTGATCTGCATGCCCGATAATGTTTGAGAAACACTTTTCTAGACTTTTAAACTTACATGAGCCAAGGTGAAGTTGGGTTGTGTTTGTAGCCTTTATAACTCAAAGAATCCTGAATAATCCATTTTCTTATAATCCTGATTAATCCATTTCTCATAGCATGATTCACACAAGTAGCATGTTTGCTTACACGTTCTCATCAGTGTACACTACTAACAGTAATCTAAGAGTGGCCACATTGTGAGTCAGATAGATGGTGCTGCACTACTCAAGCCCATTGTCACTCATCTACTTTCTACATTTCAGGTTGACCTCACAGCCCAGTGACAGCCTCTGAGAGTTCAATGCTGAGTGAGCTCCATCATCCTAAGGAAAGAGGAGATGAAGGGCATCTATCTCAAGCATGGAGTGGGGAGCAAGAAGGAACCGAGTTTGCAGAAAGATGGCAAAGCTGACCATCCTTTTAGCTCAGGGGTTTCCAACCCTGGCTGCACACTGAAATCACCTGGTGAGCTTCTTAAAATCACAGGTGCTCACTTCCACCTCCAGCAATGATTGTGACTTGCTGGACTAAACTTCATGACTAAAGTTGAGAAAGGCCAGGCTCATGAAAAGTAACAACTTCCAGGGTGAGGAAAGACGAGAAACTTTGAAAGTAAACACTCCATAAAATCATTGTAGCAAACATCCCATGACAGATAGGAAGGACACAGGATGCAGTCAGGTGGCTGAATGCAGGAGCATCCAAGGTAACTCAGGACTCACCATAGCCAAGGGAACGATGCCCACCAGGTCCTTCTGGCTGACAAAGATCTCGGACACGGCGATGTCTGTGGTCCCCTTCCGTGGGTACTCCACCTGCCACGTGATGGGCTGAGTCCCTGAAAGGCTGCTGAAACTGGCTATTTCAAAGTTCATCTGCACAACCTCATTGAATAAACTGCTGCTCCTGGAAGAGAGAAAAGAAACTGGCTTTAAGCCAACTTTGTTCAAAGGACCCTTCTCTCCTCATAATAGTACGCAGAAGATAAAGACAAAGAAACACATCTCAGGGATGGCTCCAGGGTTTTGGTGGGGGATCCTGGGGCATGGAACCACCTACAAAGTGAGGACTGGCATCTGGGACAGAGAAGCACCCACAAGTTAAGGATATGGGCCAAGAATATTCAACAATGAGCAGTAACCTGTGTCTGTGTTGATGAGGCCTTGGAATGATTATTACCAGCTCTGCAGATGATGAGCTAAACTAGTTTATCTCACACCTGCAGTATGCACCTGAATGGCCTCTGTTCAGTTCTGTAGGTGTGGCAGATGCTATAGGCTGGGGTCCCCAACCCCTGGGCCATGAACCGGTACCAGTCCATGGGCTGTTAGGAATAGGGCTGCACAGCAGGAGGTGAGTGGCGGGTAAGTGAGCAAAGCTCCATCTCTATTTATAGCTACTCCCCATAGCTCACATTATCACCTGAGCTCCACCTCCTGTCAGGTCAGTGGCAGCATTAGATTCTCATAGGGGCATGAACTGTATTGTGAACTGCGCATGTAAGGGATCGAGGTTGTGTGCGCCTTATGAAAATCTAACGCCTGATGATCTGTCACTGTCTCCCATCACTCCCAGAAGGGACAGTCTAGTTGCAGGAAAACAAACTCAGGGCTCCCACTGATTCTACATTACGGTGACTTATGTAATTAGTTCATTATTATTCAACATTCATTATTCATTATCATTACAATGTAATAATAATAGAAATAAGCTGCACAATAAATGTAATGTACTTGAATCATCCCAAAACCATCCTTCCCCCACCACCGCCATCTGTGGAAAAATTGTCTTCCATGAAACTGGTCCCTGGTGCCAAAAAGGTCAGGGACCACTGCTGTAGGCCACTCACTCAATAGCACCTTCAACCCCCTCTGCTTGTCCTCCTCTGCTATAGGGGCTGAGAGGCCTAAACTACATTCTCAGAACCCCTTGCTGCTAGATGCAGGATTGAAGCAGTTTGCTCCAGTCGGACCCACTCATTTGGGACGTAGAGGAAGAAGTGGGTTCTAGAGCAGCAGCCAGGAAGGCAGTTGGGGTTTTCTGGTGAGCACAGTGGCCCTGGTTCTCCTGGGGCAGCTGTGGGGTGCCCCTGGCATCCAGGCCCTCACATCATCATGCCGAGGGGTGACAGTGGTGTTTCCACCACAACAGTCCTCTGCAGAGGTTGGACCTTTGTCGTCTGTGTTATCACTGGCTGCCCTGTCCCTGGCTGTGTAGTAAATACATTCAATTCAGTGGTTCTCCTAGAGATTATGTGAATTGCCTAGTATCCTTTAATGACATCTCTTCTGCTCAGAGGGGCTACTTAGCTAAAGGGACTCTTTGTCTGCAACTAAGAATTCTGACCAATTCCATGCATTTGAGATATATGTATTTTGGGAACTACCGTTGGTCCAAACTTTTTCATTTTTTAGATGATAAAATTAAAGCCAATAAAGGAAAGATGGCTTGCCCACAACCACATATCTGGCTAGGGCAGAGTTAACATAAAATGTAGCATCTCCTGTTTCCGAGTCCAATGCTCTTTACAGATCCTTGCCTAAGACAGCTGGTGGTCAAATATGACATCACAAGTCTCCAACAGTTTTTTTTTTTAATTTGTTTGTTTGTTTCCTTAGGGCAGGAGACAGCAAACTGTGTCCTGTGAACCAAATGCAGCCAGCTGCCTATTTTTGTGAGTAACACTTTACTGGAGCACAGCCTTGGATATTTGTTTACATTTTCCTGTGGTTGCTTTCGTGTTATAAGAACATGGTTGAGTAATTGCATCAGTCAATGTAGAGCCTGCAAAACCTAAAATATTTCTTATCCAAATCCTTACAGAAAACTTTTGCCAGTATTGGCTAGAGAAGGTCAGAGAAGGGGAAGTTGGCCGAGCTTTGTAGAGCTGTTGATCAATAGAACCGCTATTGGTGGAAACAAGAAGGAAGAGCATGGAAGGCATCACGCTGAGTTTGTAGGGGGGCCAGGGTTCTGGTGAGCCTTGGCATCCAGCCTGAGGTGTCTCCAGTGCCCTCTGCTGATATGCTAAGGATGGCGCTAAGTGGTGGGTCAGTGGTCAGCAAGACCTCAGGCTGCCATCTCCTGGAAGGCTACATGTTTGCAGATGAATTAAAGGAGATTTTCCATGGCATATCAAGAAAGAAACACCAAATATGCTTAAAAACTGCATCTCAAGCATGTGCCAACATGAAGAGTAGCAGTGAAACACTTTCCTTTGCTGGGGCACTAATATCGAGTGCACCATTCCATCTTCAGGGCTTGATTGACAGCCAGAGCACTAACTCTCCACCACATCACCCTCAGTCCTGCTCAGTGGCTGGGGAAGGATATAACGGGAAGGTTACTGCACCAAACAAAGCACTGGGTTTTGTGAATCTTCCTTAAGTTCACAGGGCCGGGAACAGGGCCCACAGAATCATGATTTATGAGATGCTAGAGATTCCTCTGGGAGGGAAAAGAAATCTAAGGTCTTGACCATCAAGCTAGGGGCTGCAAATCTCAAGCATGAATTGCTAGTCTTTAAAAATGAGGGAGAGATGTCTTGAGTCTAGAGTGTTTCCAAACTAAGAGATGTGTTCTTGGTCCAGCAACTGAGGCCCACAGGTGGTTCTTGACCACCAGCTGTCTTAGGCGAGGATCTGTAAAGAGCATTGGACTGGGAAACAGGAGATGCTACATTTTATGTTGACTCTGCACTACTCAACATCCAGGAGATCCTCTCTCACTGCTGGCCTGCAGACAATCTTGCATTCTAGGGAGTTGCATCTCATCTTCTTAGCAAGCACGTCTGGACCTGATTCTCCTTATCTGCCACTGGGTACCAGTACTGGTGCTGTCCAGGAGCTGCATGGCTACTTGACTGACTCTACTCAGCAAGTAATTCACTTCCCTTAGTATTGGATGTGGCAACCATCCAAATGTCCAAAGACCCCCTTTCAGTCCCAAACGGATGCCTATACTGGCACAGAACCACAGAGGTTGCAATGAGCTTTCAGCCTGCACTTCTCTTCACTCTCTTACAAAGTTCTGTGAGCATTGCAACCACTCACATCATCTCTCCGAGACTCAGAGGCACCATATAGAAGACTGAAATAATGACATTCCCATTGTGCAGGGAGGAAAGAGGCATGAAAAAGAAGCCAGCACAACTTCTCATGCTCCAGGAGCAGCCTCCTCCACTGCAATTCTGCTAACGAAGGGCATTAAGAAAGGCATAGTCATGGACAAGGGAAAAGAGAAGGGGTATTTTTCCTTTTGGCTTGAAAGATATTGTTATGTGATTTTTGTGAGCAGTGAGGTGACCTCCCGAAAGCGTTTTGTTGTAGTTGGCATAAGAATAAAAATAACACGTGACTGTTAACAATATACTCACTATGTGCCGGGCACTGGACCAGGTTCCACGCAGACCTTATTCCAAATCCCAATCCAAACCCTGAGGTGGTGATTAAGGTTCTCATTTTGCACCAGTGTCAGAGCAGACACTTTTGAACCTCTGCAGCCAGAAAGTGTGTTTGCATCAACTTGCTCTTCAACCACAGATAGAAGGCAGCAACTCAGCAGGATCCTGTTTGGAACATTCTGTAGCTCCCCACTCAGATGCCCATCACTTGTGAGCCAACTCAACCTAATCTTGGTTTCAGAATGGAAAAAAAAATACAAGTTTCACAACTGGATGAAAACTCCAGCTTTCTGGCAGCTGCACAGAATTCTAGGTCAGGGTGACATCAGGGCAAGCTCTCTGGTGCACTGGGGGCAGGGGCCTGGCTAGAACACCGACATCCGTCTTTCAGGGAGTTGGAGATCTCAGACAAAAGGAAGAAGAGATAGTTCTGTGTCCACCTGGACCCTGGGAATGTGTGTGATAGAGCAAAGGTCAGACCAGACTGACCCGACAGAGAAATGAGCCCCCGGGAGGCCTTAGGATTCAACGTTCTGACACAAGACAAAGAATTCCTCTGGGAAGATACAGAACCAATGCCCTTGTCTCTTTATTTTTGTACATTCATATTCTTTCCTACCCCTTCTCCACCCCCACACAGCCTTTGTCTTCTTCGTCTCTAAAAAATGCATAGTATGATTGTCTAAGTTGAAGAAAATGCAACCCCATTTTGAAACTTGACCCTTTCGTGGAGATGAGTCACTGGGCGATTTGGTGTCGCTGGTTCCGCTCTGTTCATTTTAAGGGAGCATCTCCACTTTGTCCTTGCTGACTGATGGGATGGCTGGCCAGTGGTACTAGAGAGCAGAAGATTTTCCTAGAGAAGCTGGGAATCTAGGCTTTTTTTTCTCTAAAATCTCTGGATTTTAAATTATAAGAACCTTCACTTTTTAGCTATAGCGTAGCTCAGACAACATCTCTGCTGACTCTCAGTTTCCTGCCTCTGGCTTAGAAGGTTTCCCTCCAGTATCTACATATTCTGGCAAAAGCATTTTATAGTTTGCTGTGACCTGAGGTGGAAGATGTCTTCCCAAAAATGATGCATGTGGTGATTCTCCAACTGCAGTGCCCAGGATCCGTGGCACTCCAAGGGGTGAGACAGCAGTGGGCATGGGGCTGGAGCCAGTCCCTAACCCCGCTCCCGCCCCAGACATATTCCTGTTGCAATGAGAGCACCTCCAATCAGATGTGTTGTCAACATTAGGCCTCCAACAAGTCTTTCATTCAAATAATGAAAGAGAAAAGAAGAAATGAAACAATAAATGAAATGAAGAAGAGAGGAGAGAAGGAAGGAAAAAAGTGAGAGAGGGAAGGAGAGAGGAAGAAAGTTAGCAGTTTGAACCAAGGCAAAAAGCCATGGCCCTTTAAGGGGAGCACACACATGTCAGGAATCACGTTGTGGGCTTCAAAGGACTTCCTGACTCACAGCCTGGCTTCCCCAGGTACTGGCTGGATGACCGAACAACTCTGCCTCATTTTCTCTATTTGCAAAATGGGGATGTTAATCCCTCTCATTTTGGAGTTGATATGAATGAACAAGTCAAAGTGCTTAGAACAGAACTTGATGCCAGCAAGCATCAATAAATGGAAGCTGTTTCTTGTTTTTAGCAGGACTTGACATCGCATTCAGGCTCAGTGGCTTTAGGGTTGGCTGCCTAAAGCCACCATTCAGGCACACTTTTGAAGCCTGGTTCAGGAGCTTCCTGAGAACGAACCACAGTGGAGGGGCAGGCTCTCAGCCATTCACTGTGAACTGGGACTCATTAAGATTTGTATACAGTGCATTTCCTGAGTGCCTGCCTCTGTAGACACAATGCCATAATGCACGTTGTACTGGCAGATAGAGACTAAAAAAATAAGAAATCTTTTCTTCTTTCAATTCTTCTGTGGTCAGTGCCTTTCCGCTGACTCTAATCAGACTGAAATATTTGCTAAGCTTTGCCTTGAAGGGACCAAGAGTCTTTCACATCAGCTCATATGGGGCTTGTGATGTTGTTGGAGTAATAAAGAGAGGAATTTAAACACTTAAGTGACTCCAGAGAGCACCCAAGAACTATCACTTGATAAATCAATAGTGTAGATTTCTTGCAGTAACTCTTGAACTAAATTTTCAAAATTGGCTTAAAAAGCTCTTACTCAAAAGCAAATGAATTCTCCCAACAGTCACAATAAAGTTTGGACCACTGGAAACCTAATTTACCAAACCTCTTAGCTGTCAGACTCTATTTGGTAAGAAAATTGAGTCTGGGGGTGAGTTAAAAGCCAAAAGGGCTTTACCTCCCTACTACAGGGAGTCAGGGATTTTAGCTCCAAAGTTGGTTGACAGCTTAGTGCCCGCAGAAAGAAAAGAGACTAACCAAATAAAGAAAATCAGCCTTCTCATAGGGAAGCCGCTTCAGGAGAAGAGAATCACTCGATCCAGGCTTGGCTTTATTTCATTCTACCTCATGAGTATTTCATGAAGGCAAGGACACTTGCTTCCTCACTGGAAAGGGCTTTCTTAGAAAGTCTCATTGACCCTAATGTCAATACTCACATCTGAGGGCTTTCTGGGATCTCTCCATGGTGCTGAGGCACATCCCTTGGTGGCACAAGTTGCAAGCAACAGAAAAGACCCTGCATTGATTGACAAGGAAAAGAGAATGGAACAAATGCCTCAAAATTACCAGGCTGACTGGAGAAATAGGCATGGGGCCTAGGTGGGAGCAAAGGAAGGCTACAAAGCTAGAACTTCAGATGCCAGTTCTAGAGAGGACAGTGCTGTCAAAACTTTCTCCTGTTCTTGAGGCTTTGCCTTAAGGATCCCTCATTCAAAGGTCTGACTAAGGAGCTCTGATTGGCTGAGCTAAGCTAACACACCCAGATCCAATACGCCAGGGGAATGAGAAAGAATCTGGCCTTTTACAGAGGAAGTCCCTCCTTCATCCATGCTCTCTGTACCTAGTTCAGGGTGTGGGATAACAGAGACAGGCAGCAGGGAGGAGCAAAGAGTATGAAGGTCACCCTATTTCCAAGCACCCTTGAATTACATTATGAGTTCAAATTTGAAAAGCCAAACAGGCTGTGCACGGTGGCTCATGCCTGTAATCCCAGCACTTTGTGAGGCCAAGGCAGGTGCATCACTTGAGCTCAGGAGTTTGAGACCAGCCTGGGCAACGTGGCAAAACCCTGTCTCCACAAACAAACAAACAAAACAAAAACAAAAACTAAAAATTAGCCAGGGTGGTGGTGCAGTCTGTGGTGCCAGCTACTTGGGAGGCTGAGGTGGGAGGATCCCTTGAGCCTGGGGAGGTGAAGGTTATAGCAGGGTTGCAGGGAGGCGGGGGCTACAGTGTTGCAGGGAGGTGGGGGTAACTTGCAGGGAGGTGGGGGTAACAGTGTTGCAGGGAGGCGGGGGTTACAGTGTTGCAGGGAGGTGGGGGTTACAGGGTTGCAGGGAGGTGGGGGTTACAGTGTTGCAGGGAGGCGGGGGTTACAGTGTTGCAGGGAGGTGGAGGTTACAGTGCAGGGAGGCAGAGGTTACAGTGTTGCAGTGAGCTGAGATCTGGCCACTGCACTGCAGCCTGGATGACAGAGTGAGACCTTGTCTCAAAATAAAAAAACTAAAAACCCAAACAAGCCACATTTCACTTCTCTCTACCCCATTCTCCAAAGCCTAAAAATTTACAGAAGCAGATAATGCATGAAAAGATGAAAAAAGAAAGAGTATTGCAAATCATATCCATGCCAGTGAAACTGCTTAAAAGATCTGCAATCCTTATGGAAGAAACCTGAGCCTCCCCCTCCTCTAAATCAGGGGCTCTCCATCCTGGCTGAATATTATAATTACGTGGGGAAATTAAAAGAAAAACTATCAATAGCTGTGTCTACCCTACACTAACAGAATCAGAATCTTGAGAGGTGACACTCAGACATTAGTAATTTTTAAACTTAAGTGATTTTAATGTGTTGTCAATGTGGAGAATTACTGCTGTACACAGAAGTGTTTTCTCTCTGTGATTAACAAGCTTTTCACTTTCTTTTTTTCTTTATTTCCTAATTTCTATGCACAGATATGGTTGGGTAGATCTTACAACTCTGGGTTCTGAACTGAACACATTTGGGTTTGAATTCTGACTTCACTATTTAGCAGAGGGGTAACTTGGGCAAATTACTTAACTCACTAGTTCTGAACCGTGGTGACACACAGATAATTCTGATGCCTGAGTCCCATCTCAGAGATCTTGCTTTCATTGGTCTGAAGTGAGTCCTGGCTGTTGGGAGTCTTAAGAGATCCCCAGGTGATTCTAATATGCAGGGATATTAACTTCACCTCTAGAAGAATCGGTTTTTGACCTGTAGTAAGCCAACCCTTGTGAGGCTGTTTGTTGCAAGGATAAATGGCACAGCACATGTGTAGAGCTTAATGCATATGGTAGCGACTACCCACCAAGTGGAAGCTCTTAGCATTGCTACAACTATTTCTCCTGTTTAATAGCCCAGAAAGACTTCAATGCATTTATCTTTCTAAGGCCATGTGTCCTAAGATTTGCTGACGGTACCAGGTGAGTGATGAGACTTTATCCAAGCTCCCCAGGTCCTGATCTAAGTGATCTTTCCAGAATGACATTTGCATCCCTTCCTTCCCCTAAATATAGCTAGACCTGGCCCTGTTATTTATTTTCCTTGCTGCAGCATATGGGAGAGCGTGACCACAAGCTTTGGAGTCAATGCCCTGGGTATGAATCTCACACTTAATTATTTACTAGCCTTGAGACATTACTTCTGTGATTTATGCTCTCAAAACCACAGTTTCCTCATCTCCTTCCAGGGGTGCTATGCATACTTAGAGAGAGAAATGTGCATACCTAACACGCCCAAAGAGTCGGGCACACAGGTGATGCTCCACAAATGGTAGCTCTTACTATGACATCAGTCGTCATGTGAGGAGTAAACACAGCTAAAATTTCCAGGAGTCATTCTTGAATGCTCTCTTTCTTTCACATGCCACACCTAGTCCAACAGGATTATCTTGAAAACATATCCCGAACCTGAGCACTTCCCACCACCTTCGTTACGACTGCTCCAGCCCAAGCAACCATCATCTCTTACCTGGCTCACTTCAATGCCTCCTAACTGGGATATGCCCATTTCGGCCCTAACCCCCTACTTCCCCTACCTCTCTCCTCAATGCAGCAACCAGAATAATTCTGCTGAGATGTGACTCGGGCCAGAGATTTCTCCGGCCTAAACCTCCAAGGGCTTCCCCATCTCACTTGGCTTAAGCTGAAGTCCTCACCAGGGCTTCTGAGGCTGAGCCTAACTGGTGCCACCCACCCTCACCCCTGGGACTCTCCTACCCCTCCCCTTGCTCATTCTCCTCCAGCCCCACTGGCCTCCTGGAAGCTTTCAAACACTCCAGGAACATTCCTGCTTTAGGATCATTGCACTTTGCTCCCTCCTCTGCCTGGAATAATCTTTGGTCACACATCCGGAGGCTTTCTCAACCTCCTTTAGGTCTCAGCTCACATGAACCCTCCCATATCACCCTCTCACCTACACCTCCTGCCTCCTCTTCTACTTCTGGCCTTTTCTACAGCACTCGTCACCCTCCGACCTGTCCTGTGTCTTCCTTATTCATCGTATTTGTTGACTTCTTCCACCTCCTCTTATCTAAAATGTAAGCCCCGTGAAAGGGTTTTAAAAACTTGCTTTGTTTACTGGTGAGCCCCAGCAATAACAGGACTTCATATCCATAAAATGCATTTTAAAAATTCTAGAAAAGATCTACTCTCTGAAAAGCTTGTCAATATACAAGAGAGGCCCCTGGAACCGAGACCTGCCCCTTTGATAAGTCGCTTGGCATGAGGGCAAGAGAGGCAGAGAGGTGTGTCCATCTGTGGCAGAGTCCACAAACTCAAGCGCCTTTGGAAGCCAGGCAGGTAGAAAGCAAGTGATTGCACTGTCACACACAGGCCTTGACAGAGGCTGTGACACACTAGGGGCCCCTCTGCCACATTTAGGGGCAGCTGCACCACAGCCAGGTGGAAGTCTGGGCCCCTTGTTGCCAGAAGGTCTGTTTTCCAAGAATAAAACAGAAGTTTGGATTTTTTAAAAATGGGAAATCTCCCACTGCATAAATGTTGAAGCGAATCCAATTAAGAAAGGAGGCTGGGCAGCGAGGGAAATACAGGCAGGGGGAATAAAACTATGGATGAAACGAAGCCCTTAAGAGAGGAGAGAGACTATGGGAGCTTCCAGTTCTTCCCGGCCCCTCCTATGTGAAAGCCCCAGGCGGTGGCTCCAGGGAACCCCTGGCCACACGGGGGAGGGGTCTGTTGTGCTCTGGAGAGCCTGATGGTTTTTATTTTCCATGCAGGATGCAACTTCCTGAAGCACAGCAGGTGGCCTGCATGGGCCTCACATACCAGAAGTGTGTCATGTAGTCATTCTCCAGCAGCTGAAGCTTGAGCTAAATTAGGTCACACTTCAGGAAGTGCAGTTGCTGAGAAGGCCTCAGAGGTTTGGGTGTCTTGGCTTCAGATAGCCCCCAGCCCAAGCAGGCTCCTGGTGCTCCACAGACATCACAGTGGGCTTCCCAGTGCTGCAATGGTGGGCCCTAGGCCAGCCCAAAGCGGGCACTGAGTCCAGCCCTTCAGATCCAATTAACATGCTGGGCAGAGGGTTCTGCCAAAAAATGATGAATCTTTCAAAGTGATTCTCAGAGAAGAAGGAACTAGGGTGCATGGAGGCTCTAAAGACCCCACAAATGACCTGAAAAGATCAAGGAACCTGACAATGACCCTTTCACATCTCGCTCTCCAATGAGTATAAATTCTCCAGCGTGGGAAACCAACCTTGCTGCCCAGGACCTTATGAGACACCTGAAGCAATAAAAAGGGGAATGAGGGAAAACCCAGTGGTGCCTCATGCATGAAGCTGTCCTCTCCCACTTCCTTCTCCTCAGCCGATGCCTCAGGAGGTGGTTTGACGTGATGCCACTGAGGGTGTCGAAGGCTATCACACCAGATCCGTAATGCACCCCTGTCCTCCTGCCCCATCTGGTCTCTGTGAGGGTTAATTTTATGCATTACCTTGACAGAGCCATGGGATGCCCAGACATTTGGGCAAACATTATTCTGGGTGTATCTGTGAGGGTGTTTCTGGGAGAAATTAACACCTCAGCTGAGTGAAGCCCTTGGCCCCCCACAATGTGGGTGAATGTCATCCAATCAACTGAAAACCTGAACAGAACAAAAGGGCTGACTCTCCCCAGAGTAAGAGGGAATTCCTCCTGTCTGATTGCCTGGGACATCAGTTTTTTCCCTGCCTTTGGACTCAGAATGAAATATTGTCTCTCCTGGTCCTCATACCTTCAGAATGGAAGTACTTTGCTGGCTCTCCTGGGTCTTCGGCTTGACAACTGCAGTTTTCGGGACTTGCCAGCCTCTATAATTGCATGAGCCAACTCCTCATTATCTATGTATCTATGTATCTATGTATCTATCTATCTATCTATCTATCATTTATCTGTCTATTCATCCATCCATCTACCTATCCATAATCTGTCATCTATGTATTATCCATCCATCCATCCATCCATCCATCCATCCATTCATCTATTATCTATGTGTCCATTTATCTATCCATCCGTCCATCCATCTACCCATCTATTATTTATCTATCCATCTATTTATTATCTATGCATCCATGCATCCATCCATCCATTCAACCATCCATCCATCCATCATCTATCATCCATCTATCCATCATTTATCTAGCCATCTGTCTGTCTATCTATCCATCTATTATCCATCCATCCATCCATCCATCATCTATCTACTATCTATTCATTATCTATCTATCCATCCATCCATTTATTATCTATCCCTCCATCCATTATCTATCTTCCATCTATTATTTATCTATCTAGCCATCTATTATCTATCTACCCCTCTATGATCTATCTATCCATTTGTTTCATCTGTCTATCCATCTATTATCTATCTTCCATCCATTTTTTATCTATCTAGCCATCTATCCCTCTATGATCTATCTATCCATTTGTATCATCTATCTATCCATCTATTATCTATCTATCTATCTTCCATCCATTATTTATCTATCTAGCCATCTGTCTATCCCTCTATGATCTATCCATTTGTATCATCTATCTATCCATCTATTATCTATCTATCTATCTATCTATCTATCTATCTATCTATCTATCTTCCATCCATTATTTATCTATCTAGCCATCTATCTATCCCTCTATTATCCATCTATCTATCCATCCATCTTTCTATCCACACGTCCATCTATCCATCCATCCACTCATCCCATCTATCTACCAATCAATTAATCACTCTATCCATTCTATCTATCCTTCAATCCATCCATCCAATCTATTCATCAATCAACCTATCATATCTATCCATCCATCCCACGTATCCATAAATCTGTCTACCTAAATCTATATCTATGGACTCATCCACCCCATTGGTTCTATGTCTCTGGGGAACCCTGACTCATACAAGCTCCTTGCTGGAAAGGCTTTGGATGGGAGAGGCAAATTCCACCAGGGAGAGAGACACGGAGGGAAAACCTGCACCTTCAACATTCTTTCTCGACACTCTCTTCTCTCTACACTTCCCCATTCCATAGCAGCTAATATGACCCTACTTCCACTCTGGCCCAACCACAAGTGGGGTTCTTCCCTGTCCTGACCACAATCAGAGTCCTTTCCTTAAGGACATAGAA